>NC_000003.12:44252424-44555454 GCF_000001405.40 Homo sapiens | reverse complement strand
GTACCCGCAGATACCCGGCTCCGTGCCACGCACGAATGGTCAGGGGTATGAGACAAAGAAGCGGCTCTACATCGGGCGGCTTCTGAGAGTCACGGGGACCGCGCCGCCTGCCGCCGGGAAGAAGCGCGGTCCTGGCCAGCGTCGGCGACCCGAGCTCCGGCCGCGCCTCCCTCCGCGTCTCGGCCCACTCGCGGTGGCACTCGGCACCGAAGCCGGACACTCTACTGCCCGTTAGACCAAAAACAATGGCCGAGCCGGAAGCGAGAGAGGCCTCGACTTCCGCCCCCTCCGGGATCCCGGAAGTCTCGTTTGCGAAGGTGGGCGCGCGCGTCCCCGCACCCGGGAGAGCTGGCAGGGCTTACTTCTCGGCTGTGCCCGGCCACCTGCCGCGGGCGGGGTCGGGGTCTCGCGAGGGCCCAGGCCACTCACATCCCGCTCTCAGGCCATAGTCGGGGGATCCAGACGCGTCCCAGCTCTACACCTTCTCCTCCAGGTGTCCTTGGGAAAGATACCCAACCTCCAAGCCTGTTTTCTCATCTGAAAAAAATGCAGAGCATAATGCGTACCTCACAGGGCTGGGAGCACCGCATGAGGTTAACAGACACTACATAGCAAAAGGCCTGGCATATCCTGAGCAGTCAGTTATACCATGTGTGATGCCCAATCTGAAGTCTCAGTGAAGGGAGCAGCAAGCATCTCCCATCTTAAAAATGAAGAAGCATGTCTAGAAATTGTGATATTTTGGCCCATAAATGTGGTTAATATTTCGTAAGACAGCACCAGCATTCTGGTGTCCATGTAGAGGTTCCTAGGGAGACCAAGAAGCAGATAAACTGAGAAGGTGTGGGGACAGTTTGTAACCTAGTAGGCAGTTGTCTAGCCTCTGGGTGGCAGGTGGTACCCAGGTGACTTTCACTTTGAAGAATGGTTTGCATACAGAAGGAGGATATGAACTGGTCCTTGTTACAAACATGGTTGAGCAGGCCCTGTGTGTTAATGACCACGGGTGAAGGGCAAAGGGTGTGATGAAGTTAACTGTGTATCTTTATTATAGCACAGGAGATAGGTCCTTTACAGGGCCCAAAGTAAACAGTCTCCTGGACTGTCTAGGGATGGCAATATTTCAAAGGTGCCCTGGGCCTAACCCTGGCCCTGACATATGTTCCTCATATATCTGTGTGAGCCAAGATAGAAACAAAGACACCAGAAGTCCTGCTCCAGAGTTTCCACAAGCTTAAAAGTAATCTCTTGGAGCAATCTTTGTCCATTGATCCTAATGGTGGTTTCCTGTCATCAAGGTCCCCCTCTCCATTTGGAAATCTCACAAGGAGGTTTTGGCTATTTAAAACCAGGAACCCCAGCCTCTGCCTGACATTGATGCTAGACATTGCCTACTGGCAAATCAAGGCCTCAGAAGCTTAGGATTCTTGAGGTGGAAGGCAAATCAAGGCCCCAGAAGCTTAGGATTCTTGAGGAGGAAATCTCCCAAGGCCAGGCTAAATGCTCTCAGACCTGATTTTCAGGTCTCCTTGACCACGTGTTGTCCTGCAGTCCTGGCTTCCTATTATAGGAGACACAAGGATTTGGAAACCAAGATTGAGGTTTTTTATTCTTCAGAGCTGTTTCATGCACAAGTGGTTGGCTTTCATTGGCTGTAAGGACCAGGCCCATCTGAGCAGTGTGTTTAGACTTCAGAGGCACTTCTGTGACCAACACTGTGGGCCTGGCCCGATCTACCATGACTGGGTTGGGCCCCAGTGGGCAAGACACTTGATGATGCCTCGATATAGCACCTTAGGACACCTACCTTTGGGCCAAAGACAACCACAGAAGGCTTTTAGGAATTCTGTACTCCAACTCGATTTCTCTTGAAAATCATCACTCAAGCTTTGGTATGAGAGCTAACAAATAGGTAACTCAAATTCTACATGCCTGAAACGAAACTTACCATCTATCCGCAACCCTGAAGCTCCAACCCATATCCCCATCACTGTAAAAAGTATTATCATTCACCCAGGGACCCAAACTAGAACCCTGGGTGTCATCCCATGAGCTGAGTGACCATGGACAAGTTACTTAGCCTCTCTGTGCATAGCTTCCTTATTTGGAAAATGGGGATAATAATATACTTGAATTGTAGAGTTGTTGTGAGGATTGGATGAGATAAAATACATAAAGCACTTAGAATGGTGCCTGACACATTGTAAGTATTATAGGTGTTTTCTAGTATTGTGTTTACTATCCTTGTTTCCTCTCAGTTCATCCCCTGTATCCATTAATGTTAAGGCCTGCCACGTTTGCCCTATATGTATGTAATAATAAAAAAAGAGAATATCTATAGCAATTACTGTGCTGCTCTGCATCATCACTATCACTTCCCATGTTAAATCCTGCTTGGAGTGAGGGCAGCTGTGAGAAGTGTGTCCCCAGGAACTTACTGGATTTAAGACCACAAAGAGGCTGGGCACAGTGGCTCACACTTGTAATCCTAACACTTTGGGAGGCCAAGGCGGGTGGATCACTTGAAGCCAGGGGTTTGAGACCAGCCTGGGCAACATGGTGAAACCCTGTCTCTACAAAAAATTTAAAACTTAGCCGGGCTTGGTGGCACACACCTGTAGTCCCACCTACTCTGGAGGCTGAGGTGAGAGGATCACTTGAGCCCAGGAAGTTGAGGCTGCAGCGAGCAGTGTTTCTGCCACCACATTCCAGCCTGGGTGACAAGACCCTGTCAAAAACAAACAAAACAAAACAAAACAAAAACCCACAAAGAGAGGAGCACAGGTCTGGAGAGTCTCTGCCCCCAAACCGCTCAGATGTTCTGACATCATCTGTGTGGATAGTCCCTTTTCAACAGCCAGAACTCTCCTGTATACCCTGAAAAGAAGGTGGGGCCCTAGACACATGGGATGGGGGGACTTGCCATGATATGGGAAGAAAACCCCAGCCCACTGTGAATGGGAGTGAATGGGGCCCAAGCCCTAACTAAGAGAATGGAGAGACCCTCCTTTCACCTCGAAAACTCCTACTTATCCTTTAAAACACTGCCAAGAAACCCCTTCTCCAGGAAGCCTTTTCTGCACCCCACCTAGATTAGGTGTGGCTTCCTTTTTGCTCCTGTGGTGGCCTGCAATGCTATGCTATTGCCATAACCAATAGGTTATGGTCCCTATTGGACATACTGCACTAACACTGTCTACTTACTGGCTTCTCTACTGTACTGTAAGCCCCATCTTGGCTGACACCATATCTCTCTGGTTCACAGTTGAGTCCCCTGACACTAACTCTTGATGTGGTTGTTCCCTTAGCTGGATGTGAGTGCCCTACGGTCAGGCCACCATTGTTTTCGTGGCATCCAACACAAAGTCCAATATAGCTTCTAAGAAATGTGTCCTTGATCCAGGTTGCTGTGGAAGGCTTTTAGCAGGGAATGAGCTGATCAGTCTGGGTTGTAGAAAGTTGCCTGTGGTGGCTGGCTATATAGACGGGCTTGGAGGGAATGAGACACGGACATCCCTTATAGCTGCTTATCTGCTTTGCACTGTTAGTGCCTCTACAACAGTATCATAGGATCATTAGTTTGCAGATGAGGATCCTGAGGCTTGGCAAACAGCCTAGTAGCTGAGTAACATTTTACTGGCTGAGACGGGTAAGTTAGGCTTTGATTTCTGGTCTTTAGACCATTCCTTCTTCTCTTCTTTCTATTGCAAGATGCTTTCTCTGACCTTCATTCATTCCTGTTTCTTAATTCCTGTCAGGCTTCTTCCTGCCAATGGTGTTAGGAGAGCAGGGAGGGTCAGTGATGGTCACCAAACATAGTCTTGGGGATGACTTGGTGAGAGGAAGGGTTTTCTTGGTGCTGGGGTCTCAGGGACTCCTTCGGGGAGCTGATCTCAGGTGAGTGAATCACCAAACCCCACAGGCCTCTGACCTTCCTAGAGGGAAATGGAAGTTGTTCCAAGTGTGCAAAGAACAGGGAGGGAGTGGTGATATGGTTTGGATTTGTGTCCCTGCCCAAATCTCATGTCGAATTGGAGGAGGGGCCCAGTTGGAAGTGATTAGATCATAAGGGCAGACTCCCCCTTGCTGTTCTCATGATAGTGAGTGACGTCTCATGAGATCTGATCATTTAAAAGTGTGTAGCACTTCCCCCTTTGCTCTCTCTCTCCCCTGCCACCATATACATAAGGTACTTGCTTCCCCTTCGCATTCCGCCATGATCGTAAATTTCCTGAGACCTCCCAGTCATGCTTCCTGTTAAGCCTGCAGAACTATGAGCTGATTAAACATTTTTTCCTTCATAAATTACCAATCTCAGATAGTTCTTTATAGCAGTGTGAGAATGGACTAATACAAATTTCTTCTGGTGCTCTTTAGTTCAGGACTTGTCTCAGGCAATTGCCTGTGGGCAAGCCATCTGGGACCCCAGCATGGGAGCTGTGGCCCCAGGCTGCCCCCACTTGCCATTGGTACGGATTCTCCCTCATGATGACAGGTGAAGCCAGCTGGAATTCCTGGGTCAAGTGGGGACTTGGAGAACTTTTCTGTCTAGCTAGAGGATTATAAATGCACCAATCAGCACTCTGTGTCTAGCTAAAGGATTGTAAATGCGCCAGTCAGCACCCTGTAACATTGCACCAATCAGCACTCTGTATCTAGCTAGAGGATTGTAAATGCACCTATCAGCACTCTGTAAAATGGACCAATTAGCCCTCTGTAAAATGGACCAATCAGCAGGACATGGGCAGGGACAAATAAGGGGATAAAAGCTGGCCACTCCAGCCAGCAGTGACAACCCGCTTGGGTCCCCTTCCATGCTGTGGAAGCTTTGTTCTTTAGCTCTTCACAGTAAATCTTGCTGCTGCTCACTCTTTGGGTCCATGCCATCTTTAAGAGCTGTGACACTCATGGCGAAGGTCCACAGCTTCATTCTTGAAGTCAGTGAGACCAAGAACCCACCAGAAGGAACCAACTCTGGACACATCTTGTCAACCATGAAGGGACTATCGCCAAGCAGTGAGTACCATTGAACCCCTTTCACTTGCTATTCTGTCCTATTTTTCCTTAGAATTCGGGGGCTAAACACCGGGCACCTGTTGGCCAGTTAAAAGCGACTAGCGTGGCCACTGGACTAAAGACACGGGTGTCAGGCTTTCTGGGAAAGGGCTCTCTAACAACTCCAGACTCTACGGAGTTGGGAGCATTGCTTTGCCTGGAACCAGCTTCCACTTTTCCTGTACTTCTGGGCTGAGCCGAGGGTCAACAGAGAGGAAAGACATTCAGCTCTGGGGTCCTGACAAAAAGTTCGTTGACCCTGTAACCGTGAGCGGAACTCTCAAAGTCATGTCGCCCAAGCAAGACTCACCCATCTATCCTATCTACCCTGACCCTTGCCTCCTGGGTTCTAAGCCTGTCAGACAAACTTCCCCCTGCCTGTCTTCTCTGAGGCTACTCCCGCTTCTAAAAACCACTCCCTGTCTCTGGTGCTTTCTAGTTTCTCCTATAAAAATGATTTCTAATATAAATTTTGGGACTGTTCTTTAGGCACCTGGGCTCAACAATCAGAAAGACATAATTTTTGCCCAAAACCCCATCAGTGGGGGGGACTATCTGGAATTTTAGGATCCCTCCTCAGACTAGCAGGCCTAACAAAAGCTATTCCTGAAGCTAGGATATGGGTAGCCTCAGAAATTATATTCTCCCTATTTGTATGATGAGAATTGAGGACAAAAGCCATCATTCTCCCAACCCTGGAGATCCCTTCCCTCCCTCAGGGTATGGCCCTCCACTCCATTTTGAGGCATAACATCTTTATAAGACAAGGGTAAGTTCCTAATACTAACAGGAAAAAACGCTTAGGACTCTAACAGGTTTTCAAGAATGTGTCGGTAAGGGCCACTAAATCCAATTTTTCTTAGTCCTCTTTGTGGTCTAAGAGGACAGGCAAGGTGCAGGTTTTTGAGAATGCGTCAGTAAGGGCCACTAAATCTGAATTTCCTCAATCCTCTTTGGGTCTAAGAGGAAAACTAGTGTTTCTGCTGCTGTGTTGTGAGTGCAACTATTCTGATCAGCAGGGTCCAAGGGACTGTTTTGGGTTCTTGGGCAAGAGGGGGATCTGGTGCTGCATTGGTTAGCACAACTATTCCAATCAGCAGGGTCCAGGGACTGTTGCGGGTTCTTGCAGGGTTGGGGGGTGGGGGTAACAAACAAACCAAAACCATGGGCAGTTTTTTCTTTCACATGGGAAACACTCAGGCATCAACAGACTTACCCTTGAAATGCATCCTAAGCCATTGGGACCAATTTGACCCACAAACCCTGAAAAAGTAGTGGCTTATTTTTTTCTGCACTATGGCCTGGCCCCAATATTTTCTCTCTGATGGGGAAAAATGGTCACCTGAGGGAAGTATAAATTACAATACTATCCTATCCTGCAGTTTGACCTTTTCTGAAAGAGGGAAGGCAAATTAAGTGAAATACATTATGTCCAAGCTTTCTTTTCATTGAAGGAGAATCCACAACTATGCAAAGCTTGCAATTTACATCCCACAGGAGGACCTCTCAGCTTACCCCCATATCCTAGCCTCCCTATAGCTTCCCTTCCTATTAATGATAAGCCTCCTCTAATCTCCCCAGCCAAGAAGGAAATAAAGAAATCTCCAAAGGACCACAAAAACCCCCAGGCTATCGGTTATGTCCCCTTCAAGCTGTAGGGGGAGGGGAATTTGGCCCAACCCAGGTACATGTTCCCTTCTCCCTCTCTGATTTAAGGCAGATCTGGGGAAGTTTTCAGATGATTCTGATAGGTACATAGATGTCCTACAGGGTCTAGGGCAAACCCTTGACCTCACTTGGAGAGATGTCATGCTATTGTTAGATCAAACCCTGGCCTTTAATGGAAAGAATGCGGCCTTAGCTGCAGCCCGAGAGTTTGGAGATACCTGATATCTTAGTCAAGTAAATGATAGAATGACAGCCAAAGAAAGGGACAAATTCCCTGCTGGTCAGCAAGCCTTCCCCAGTATGGATCCCTACTGGGACCCAGACTCAGATCATGGGAACTGGAGTCGTAAACATCTGCTGACCTGTGTTCTGGAAGGACTAAAGAGAATTAGAAAAAGCCCATGAATTATTCAATGATGTCCACCATAACTCAGGGAAAGGAAGAAAAATCCTACTGCCTTCCTCAAGCGGCTACGGGAGGCCTTAAGAAAATACACTCCCCTGTCACCTGACTCCCTCAAGGGTCAATTGATCCTAAAATATAAGTTTATTACCCAGTCAGCCCCAGATGTCAGGAGAAAGCTCCAAAAGCGAGCCCTGGGCCATGAACAAAATATGGAGGCATTATTAAACCTGGCAACCTCGGTGTTCTATAATAGGGACCAAGAGGAACAAGCCAAAAAGGAAAAGTGAGATCAGAGGAAGGCCGCAGCCTTAGTCGTGGCCCTCAGACAAACAAACCTTGGTGGTTCAGAGAGGACAGAAAATGGAGCAGGCCAATCACCCAGTAGGGCTTGTTATCAGCATGGTTTGCAAGGACACTTTAAAAAAGATTGTCCAATGAGAAACA
The DNA here is from genome assembly GCF_000001405.40 of Homo sapiens. Taxonomy (NCBI): domain Eukaryota; kingdom Metazoa; phylum Chordata; class Mammalia; order Primates; family Hominidae; genus Homo; species Homo sapiens. Next base: position 44,547,881 of record NC_000003.12, on the reverse strand, counting down.
AGCTGCCTCCTCACCCATGTCCACTATGCTGAGGCAATCACTGGAAGGTGCACTGCCCCAGAGGACAAAGGTTCTCTGGGCCAGAAGCCCCCAACCAGGTGATCCAACAACGGGACTGAGGGTGCCCGGGGCAAGCACCAGCTCATGTCATCACCCTCACTGAGCCCTGGGTACGTTTAACCATTGAGGGCCAGGAAATTGACTTCCTCCTGGACACTGGCATGGCTTTCTCAGTGTTAATCTCCTGTCCCAGACAGCAGTCCTCAGGTCCGTTACCATCCAAGGAATCTTGGGACAGCCTGTAACCAGGTATATCTCCCACCTTCTCAGTTGTAATTGGGAGACTTTGCTCTTTTCACATGCCTTTCTTGTTATGCCTGAAAGTCCCATACCCTTATTAGGGAGGGACATATTAGCCAAAGCTGGAGCTATTATCTGTATGAATATGGGGAACAAGTTACCCATTTGTTGTCCCCTGCTTGAGGAGGGAATCAACCCTGAAGTATGGGCATTGAAAGGACAATTCGGAAGGGCAAAAAATGCCCACCCAGTCCAAATCAGGCTAAAATACCCCACCACTTTTCCTTCTCAAAGGCAATATCCCTTAAGGCCTGAAGTTCATAAAGGATTACAGGATATTGTTAGACATTTAAAAGCTTGAGGCTTAGTAAGAAAATGCAGCAGTCCGTGCAACACCCCAATTCTAGGAGTACAAAAACCGAACAGTCAGTGGAGACTAGTGCAAGATCTCAGACTCATCAATGAGGCAGTAATTCCTCTATATCCAGTTGTATGCAACCCCTATACCCTGCTCTCTCAAATACCAGAGGAAGCAGAATGGTTCACAGTTCTGGACTTCAAGGATGCCTTCTTCTCTATTCCCCTGCACTCTGACGCCCAGTTTCTCTTTGTCTTTGAGGATTGCACAGACCACACGTCCCAACTTATGTGGATGGTCTTGCCCTGAGGGTTTAGGGATAGCCCTCATCTGTTTGGTCAGGTACTGGCCCGAGATCTAGGCCACTTCTCAAGTCTAGGCACTCTGGTCCTTCAGTATGTGGATGATTTACTTTTGGCTACCAGTTCAGAAGCCTCATGCCAGCAGGCTACTCTAGATCTCTTGAACTTTCTAGCTAATCAAGGGTATAAGGCAACTAAATAGTAGGCCCAACTCAAGTCAAATAACTAGGCCTAATCTTAGCCAGAGGAACCAGGGCCCTCAGCGAGGAATGGATGCAGCCTCTACTGGCTTATCCCTGCCCTAAGACATTAAAATAATTGCAGGGGTTCCTTGGAATGACTGGCTTTTGCCAACTATGGATCCATGGAAACAGTGAGATGGCCAGGCCACTCTATACTCTAATCAAGGAGACCCAGAGGGCAAATATTAATCTAGTAGAATGGAAACCAGAAACAGAAACAGCATTCAAAACCTTAAAGCAGGCCCTAGTACAAGCTCCAGCCTTAAGCCTTCCCACAGGACAAAACTTCTGTTTATATGTCACAGAGAGAGCAGGAATAGCTCTTGGAGTCCTTACTCAGACTCGTGGGACAACCCCACAACCAGTGGCATACCTAAGTAAGGAAATTGATATAATAGCAAAAGGCTGGCCTCACTGTTTATGAGTAGTTTCGGCAGTGGCCATCTTAGTGTCAGAGGCTATCAAAATCATACAAGGAAAGGATCTCGCCAACTGGATTACTCATGACGTAAATGGCATACTAGGTATCAAAGGAAGCTTATGGCTATCAGACAACTGCCTGCTTAGATACCAGGTGCTACTCCTTGAGGGACCAGTGCTTCAAATACGCATGTGTGCGGCCCTCAACCCTGCCACTTTTCTCCCAGAGGATGGGGAATCAATCGAGCATGACTGCCAACAAATTATAGTCCAGACTTATGCCACCCAAAAGGATCTCTTAGAAGTCCCCTTAGCTAATCCTGACCCTAACCTATATACCAACGGAAGTTCATTTGTGGAGAATGGGATACAAACAGCAGGTTATGCCATAGTTAGTGATGTAACAGTACTTGAAAGTAAGCCTCTTCCCTCAGGGACCAGCGACCAGTTAGCAGAACTAGTGGCACTTACCCGAGCCTTAGAACTGGGAAAGGGAAAAAGAATAAATGTGTATACAGATAGCAAGTATGCTTATCTAATCCTACATGCCCATGCTGCAATATGGAAAGAAAGGGAGTTCCTAACGTTTAATGGTGGAACCCTCATTAAATACCACAAGGAAATCATGGAGTTATTGCACGCAGTGCAAAAACCCAAGGAGGTGGCAGTCTTACACTGCCAAAGCCATCAAAAGGGGAAAGAGAAGGGAGAACAGCAGCATAAGTGGCTGGCAGAGGCAGAGAAAGTCAAAGAGAGAAGAAAAGAAATAGAGACAGAAAGTCAGAGAAAGAAAGAAATAAAGAAGGAAAGAAAGAGAGAGAAAGTCAGAGAGAGAGAGGAAAAGACAGAGAGACAGAGAGAGGGAGGAAAGACAGAAAGTCAAAGAGAGTCAGAGAGAAAGAGAGAGAGACAAAGTCAAAGAGAAGGAAAAAGAGAGAGAGAAGAGATGAAGAGGAAGAGAGAAAGAGAGAGAAGTAGTAAAGAAAAAACAGTGTACCCTATTCCTTTGAAAGTCAGGGTAAAGTTAAAACCTATAATTGATAATTGAAGGTCTTCTCCATAACTCTATAACACTCCAATACCACCTTGTTGTCAGTGTAAACAAGGGTGTAGCCGGAAAGCACTGAGGCCACTGACAACCCATAGGCTTCCTATCAAAAATCCTTAACCCAGCAGGTTTCCTAACAGGGGATCTGAATCTTAATTACCATACAAAGTTCAGAGCAGACCTAGGAGGAACTCCCTTCAGGACAGGATGATAGATGGTTCCTCCTGGGTGATTAAGTGGAAAAGACACAATGGGTATTCAGTAAGTGATAAGGAAACTCTTGTAGAAGCAGAGTTAGGAAAATTGCCTAGTAATTGGTCTGCTCAAACCTGCAAGCTGTTTGCACTCAGCTGAACCTTAAAGTACTTGCAGAATCAGGAAGGAGCCATCTATACCAATTCTAAGTTAATATGGACTGAATGAGGTCTTATTAATAGCAAAGAATAATTAAAATCCCAAACTTACAAGGTTTTCAACAAAAGTAAAGTTTGCTAAAAGTTAACAGTGTAACATGTATTACCCTACTACCACGCACTCTCAAAGGATTTCTCAGACAGTTTGCAAGAAATAACAAAATCTATCCTTACTCTACAATCCCAAATAGACTCTTTGGCAGCAGTGACTCTCCAAAACCGCCTAGGCCTAGATCTCCTCACTGCTGAGAAAGGAGGACTTTGCACCTTCTTAGGAGAAGAGTGTTGCTTTTACACTAACCAGTCAAGGATAGTACAAGACATTGCCTGGCATTAACAGGAAAAGGCTTCTAAAATCAGACAACGCCTTTCAAACTCTTATACCAACCTCTGGAGTTGGGTGACATGGCTTCTCCCCTTTCTAGATTCCATGTCAGCCATCTTGCTATTACTCGCCTTCAGGCCCTGTATTTTTAACCTCCTTATCAAATTTGTTTCCTCCAGGATTAAGGCCGTCAAGCTACAGATGGTCTTACAAATGGAATCCCAAAGGAGCTCAACTAACAACTTCTACCTAGGACCCCTGGATCGACCCACTGGCCCTCTGTCTGGCCTAGAGATTTCCCCTCTGGAGGACACTACCACTGCAGATCCCCTTCTTTACCCCTATCCAGCAGGAATTAGCTAGAGCGGTCATCACCCAATTCCCAGCAGCAGTTGGGGGGTCCTGCTTAGAGGGGAGGATTGAGAGATGAAGCCAGCTGGACTTCCTGGGTCCAGTGGGGACTTGGAGAACTTTTCTGTCTAGCTAGAGGATTGTAAATGCACCAATCAGCACTCTGTGTCTAGCTAAAGGATTGTAAATGCACCAGTCAGCACTCTGTTAAAACGTACCAGTCAGTGCTCTGAGTCTAGCTAGAGGATTGTAAATGCACCAATCAGCACTTTGTAAAATGGACCAATCAGCAAGACATGGGCAGGGACAAATAAGGAGATAAAAGCTGGCCACCCCAGCCAGAAGCAGCAACCTGCTTGGGTTACCTTCCATACTGTGGAAGCTTTGTTCTTTCACTCTTCACAAGAAATCTTGCTGCGGCTCACTCTTTGGGTCTGTGCCACCTTTAAGAGCTGTAACACTCACCGCAAAGGTCCGCGGCTTCATTCTTGAAGTCAGCAAGACCAAGAACCCAGTGGAGGGAACCAACTCCAGATGCAATGACAGGTGGACAGATAGGCCTAAAGAACAGCGGTGACCTGCTGGGGACTGAGTGCATTAGCAATGGCATCTGGGACCCTGTGGGCCTCTGGCTCCTAACCCAGTACCACCCCTGCTCTAAGTGCTTCCTTCCTGGGGGTTCTACACATTGTTCTTCCAGGGGTGGGGCAAGGAGGGTAGAGCCATCCTACTCCTGGTACTCTGCCCTGACTAAATCCCTGTCCTGGGGTCTGTTGTCCTTTTCCCAATCTCCCCAATGGCCCTAGAGCTCGGCTTCTGGCCCTTCCTGCTACAAATCTGTGAAGGGAAAGGAGTATTTTCAGGCCAGCCTACCCACAACTCCCATATACCAGTTGTTAGCATGCATGCAGGGAGGATCCTTAGAGTTGCTAATCCAGTCACTACCTTCCTATTTTACAGGTGGGGAAACAGGTCCATGGAGAGAGAGTAACCCAGGTCTCCTGCCCCTCACTGTAGGGACCTTGTCTGTTTTTGGGCCAGAATTCTGTGAGCTTGATTCTCCAAAAGCATGATTTTTTTCTTGGAAATAATAAGCTTGACATCATAGGTTGTAATCTATTCGTTTCTGGGTTTTGTCGGGCCTCAGATTTGAAATCCAGATTCTTCCAGAAGGGTCTCAAACATACACTGGAGTTTCTTTCCAGCCTGTAAATATGGCAGAATCTAGCTCTGCCACATACCAGCTGGGATTGATACCTTGAACAAGTTACATATACACTGTGAGTCTTAAGTTTCTTTCTTTGTGAAATGGAAAAAGTATCCATGCCTGCTACCCTCTCAGAGTTGGGAGGATTCAGTGAGGTAAGGTGAGAACTTTGACACATCCTGTTAAGCACTATACATCATCACTTACCGAAGACATCTATGCAAAAAAACTGAATTCCAGGGAGAAGGCAGTAAGCCCTGGACCTTGGAAATATCAAAGGCAAGGGCAGGTAGATACCAGTGACTCCAACAAAGTCGGTATGTGATACCCAACATAAGAGAAGTTCAGAGAGCCAAACAAGGGATTAATCTAGAGGCAACTTAAAAGGGAATAGCACTGAGTTGGGCCTTGAGGAAGAGGGAAGAGCATTTCTGGCAGAGGGAACAACATGATCAAATTGCTGGGTAAGGGTGGGAGTCATTATTTCAGTACAAGTTGTTTCCTGTTATAGGATGTAGGAAATTAACAAAAACAGTGATTCAATCTCTAGATGCATACAATTTGTGTGAACTTAAGCCACCATAATGTCCCCTGGTGATTGGTTCTCCCATCAATTTAGAAAATAGGTGATACTTACATTCATTCATTCATTTTTTTTTTTTTTTTTTGGGGATAGAGTCTCACTCTGTCCCCCAGGCTGGAGTGCAGTGGCACAATCTCGGCTCACTGCAAGCTCCACCTCCCAGGTTCACGTCATTCTCCTGCCTCAGCCTCCCAAGTAGCTGGGACTACAGGCGCCTGCCACCACGCCCGGCTAATTTTTTGCATTTTTAGTAGAGATGGGGTTTCACCATGTTAATCAGGCTGGTTTCAATCTCCTGACCTCGTGACCCACCCGCTTAGGCCTCCCAAAGTGTTGGGATTAAAGGCGTGAGCCACTACGCCCGGCCCATTCATTATTTCTTACTTAAACAATGGACAACAGCCAAGGAGAAGCTGATACCCTAGTGAATTTTTAAATTCCCTTCACCTATGAGGCCTCCAGGATGCCACCATATGCCCTTAGAACTCTTCTGTGGCTAAGCCCATATCTTCTAATAGTATCTAGAAGATTGCCCCATGCCCAATAACACCAATGCTCCACACACAAATGTTTCTACAAATTAAGTGTGCAGAACTCCCAAAGTGAGGGGATGTTTCATCTTCCCTCACTGTAAGCGTTCTGGAGGGCCAGGCTGGTTTTCCCCAATTAAAGGGGGACAGGAATATTGCTTCCTTTTTCCTTCTACTAGTAAGGTCTGGAATAAGCCTAGCCCCAGGGGTTGCTCACCTGAAATGGGTTGAGCCTGTTTCCCTTTCATCCTAATTCCCTGTCATTTCTGGCTTCTTTCACCCCAGAAGCTGTCAGAACTTGGAAAGGTGATAACTATGAAGAAAGGTGATAACCATGAAGAAAATTCTGTGATATTTCCCTAAATATTGTTTAGGATTAGAAAAGACGGCTTTTTTTTTTTTTTTTTTTTTTTTCAGTCATTGGCATCAAGTTTACTGAGAGGGATGAAAAATAAGGCTTGGAGAGTAAAGCTCTAGTAGAAACTACTCTATGGGAAAAGGTCAGTTATGTATTGGAATTTGGCTTGTTTCCTCTCTGCTTCTTGGACTAGGATTAATGCTACAACTCTTCTCTAAAAGAAACACCCCCAATGACTTTATGTATACTTTCTTTTAGGACTTTTCTAGCCCTATCACTAGAATTCTGTTTCATCTCACTAATCCTAGTCATCCAACCCATTCCAAACAATTCTGCTCTGCTGCGATGTCCTCCAGTCTCAAAACCCTTGGCAAATACCAACCTCTAAAGATTTCTGCAAGCACTATTTGGAAAACAAACATGTCATAGCTGGCTTCTGTCTATGGCTTTGGATTCCTTCCTCCAGTTTACATTATACCAAGCAATTTCTAGAGTCAGCTTCATTAGTTCAGCCGGTTATTACATACACATATTTGTATTAGCATTCTCCAGAGAAACATCATATATAGAACGTTTGCATATTATATACAAGACAATATGTAATAATATGATAAAGTTATATAATATAGTATAAAAATAAAAATATATATGATATATGTAAAATAAAAATATATGTACAGGGGAAGCCCTCACTTAAAGTCATTGATAGGTTCTTGGAAGCTGTGACTTTAAGTTAAATGATATATAACCACCAATTTTGCCATAGGCTAATTGATATAAACGAGTTAAGTTCCTACGGCATATTTCTGGTCACAAAACCTTCACCAAAATTTTAAATAAAGACCCCAAACATTGCTAATATTAAGCATTGAAATAAATGTGAGTTATATATACATTTAAGTGGGGTGCAGTTATATATACATTTGAGTGGGGTGCAGTGGCATGTACCTATAATCTCAGCTACTCTGGAGGCTGAGGCAGGATGATCACTTGAGTTCATAAGGCTGCAGTGCACCATGATTGTGCCTGTGAATAGCCACTGCACTCTAGCCTGAGCAACACAGCAACACCCCGTCTATAGACTTTTTTTTTTTTTTAATAAAAAAAAAAACCTATTGGGTAAGAGATGCCTCACCAAGGACTTTCTCCTACACATTAGAACTGTGCATTTGGCCACTTCTAGTTCCAAGAGAATCTGGGAGACCATTTTAGGTTTCCAACCTCTAGAGCAGCTTTGTCCAATAAAACTTTCTGTGATGATGAAAACGTTCTATACTTGCTCTAATAAAACAGCTTCTAGCCACATGTGGTGACAACACTTGAAACCTGGCTAGTATGACTGAAAAGCTGCATTTCTGATATTATTTGACTTAAATTAATTTGAATTTAAATAGCCAAATGTGGCTAGTGGCTACCATATTGGACAGCCACTATGTCCATTTGGAGACAGGATCTTGCTCTGTTGCCCAGACTGGAGTGCAGTGGCATGATCATGGCTCACTGCAGCCTCGACCTCCCCAGCCCAAATGATCCCTCCACCTCAGCCTCCCAAGTAGCTGAGATTACAGGCGTGTGCCACCACACCTGGCTAATTGAAGAAAAAAAATTGTAGAAATGCAGTCTCACATGTTGCCCAGGCTGGTCTCAAACTCCTGGGCTCAAAAGATCCTTCCACCTGAGCCCCCAAAGTGCTGGGATTACAGGCATGAGCCACCACACCCAGCTACAATAGCTAGACTTTTGAAATGAAGGAAGTTCAGGAGAAAGAGAGTTAGAAAAGATGTTGGGTGAGCCAAGCTACGGTGCTTGTCACAGGACCACTCTTAATTTATTGCACTTCTCTTCTGTCTTGACTTCAGTAATAACATACTTTGTCAGTTCTACTTCTTTGACACAACTTTCCTAGTACATAGCATCAAACATCTGGGCTCTCAAAATGGGCTGATCTTTTCCTCCATCCACCTCTTAAATGTTAGTGTTCCCCAGGGTTTCCCTGACCTTTTCACTTCGTTTTTAACACCCTCCCTCTCTAGATGAGCTCACTGACTCCTTGCTTCACCCACCTCTCATAAGCTGATGATTTCCACATCTGTATATCTACTTCAGTGAATTCCAACTCCATGCATTTGTCTCCCTACTTGTCTCTCCCTAGATATCTCACAGACACCTCAAGCTCAGCACATCTCAAGTTGTATAGATACTGATGGAACAAATATTCATTTTGCACCAACTGAATGTCAGGCAGCGAGTTAGATGCAAGTAGGCTAGACATGAGCCCTTTGGGTGTTTGCAGTTTAGCAGGTGCAATAGGCAGGTTTTCTCTACTATACTGGCTTCAAACTGTCTTCTTCTGGTTCTGTTCATTCTCACCCAAGTGCAGAGTTGGTTGTTGTTGTTGTTGTTGTTGTGTTTTTACTTTCACAATTCCGTCCTTCTAGATCAGAGGTTCTCAAGCTCTTTAGTCAAAAACTCTTGACACCCCTAAAAACTATTCAGGACTGCAAAGAACTTATTGGTGTTCACTTATAAGTAAGATAGACATTTTAAAATATCCATTAATTCATTCAAATGCAATAATAACTTCATTATATGTTAGTATTTACATTATTTACAACATTTTAAAATGAAAATAACTGTATTTTTCAAAACCAAAGATTAGTTAGAAGAGTGGTACCATTTTACTTTTTTGTAAATCTCCTTAGAGACTGGTTAATGGGAGTTGGCTGGATTGCTATATATTCTTTTGCATTTAATCTGTTGGGATATGACAAATATGTAGCCTCTATACACTCATATGAGAATGAGAATAAGGGAGGAAAAGAAAATCTTAGTTCTTTAAGAAAATAGTTTGTGAAATTATTGTGAAAATAGTTTGGGCTTCACAGAGCACCTGAAGGGGTTCCAGGAGTCCCCACATCATGTTTTGAGAACGGCTTGCTCTCCAGAACACCAGGGCCACTTTCTTATTTTAGGCTTGCAGATGACCTAGACTATTGTAAAGGTGGTTTGTTACATAGGGTGGTTTGGTTGGGCTGTGCCTACCTCAGGTCATAGATGAATTCTCCCTTGTTGGTTGACCAAGGGCAGGCTGCAGGCAGCTGTCAAAAGAAGACCCTCAACAGTTGGCTCCTGGCTACAGGAGTGTGCACTTGAATTGTAAGGGGTGGTCTTGGGCCACTGACACAAACTCGTGCACTGGTGATGATAATGCATGCACATGTGGGAAGCTGGACACACTCCACATCTGTGTTCCACCTCCTCGCTTTGTGGTCTCCCCAGTTCAAAAAGTCCTCACAAAGGTCCTCCCTCCTCATGCTTCTTCATTTCTCCTGTGGTCCTCAGGTCTCTCCCCAGTCCCAGACCGAATCCCCTCTTATATTATTTTCTTTCCATTATAATGTTAATTTAAAAAAAATCACTTGTTCCTTTTATTGGCTTTTGTTAATCAACATCTTGGTTTTAAAAACTTATTTCTGATGTGCAGTTTTAGGAATCTTATTTGGATATTAGAACTAAATATTGTTTTATTCTCCTTGCGTTCCTGCTGCAACAATGCCAGATTTTTCCTGAACTGCCTCTAACTGAATAGGTAAGGGACTCCTACATGGCAGGATAGAGGGAAAAAATTAAGTCAATTAACATTTCAACTGATTATCCGCCAAACAGGGAGTTGCAGACTTCATCTCCCTGTCCCCATAAACCTATTCCTCCTGGGTTCCCCAGTCTGATGGATGGCCCCAATGTCTTTCCACCCAAACAGTGGCAACAAGGAGAATAGAAGTCAGATCTCCATTCATTCATTCATTCATTCATCCTCTCATTTAGCATAAGAATACTTACTATGTGCTGGGGATAGAATGGTGATGAAGAAAAACACAGGCCTTGTTCTCATACAGCTTACCTTTTAGTGGAAGAGATAAACAATAAACAATTTCCATTATTAAAGATACTGTGAAGAAAAACAGATTATAAGGTCAGAGATGGCTGATGCCAGTGTTGGAGTGTTCTCAGTACACTCTATAGCTCTCTGTAGCTCCTGGCACATTACCTGGCACCAGTGGTCATATATTGAATGAAAGTACAAGAAAAACAGATGAGCTCATACAAGTAAGGGTTAGTGAATGGGCCTCTGTGGCTGAGCTGTGTTTTCCCCTTCACTCCTGTACAAGCTGTTCTATTCTGACCTCCCTTCCACAGAAAACCTCCAGGTTTCTAGAATGGGATTCCAACTTAATGGCCTATGTAATTTTCAAAATAATAAAAAAAGGAAGGGTTTCATTGTTTTGGGCTAAATTCTAGGTACAGGAGTGGTGAAGATGTAAGACCTTGTTGAATTTTGGAAACTAATCTACCTTTATCGTGGTGGTTAATTTTACATGTCAACTTGACTAGGCAAAGGGTGCCCAGATATCTGGTTAAACATTACTTCTGGATGTGTCTGTGAGAGATTAGAATTTGAATTGGTGGGCTAAATAAAGCAGATGGCCCTCCCCAGTGTGGGTGGGCATGATCCGTTAAGGGCCTCAATAGAAAGAACAAAAAGGCACAGGAAGGTTGAGTTCTTGCTCTGCCTGACTGCTTGAGTTGAGATATTGATCTTCTCCCTTCCTTGGCACTCTTGGTACTCAGACCTTCAAACTCAAACTGGCATCCATACCATTGGCTCCCTGGCTTTCTGGCCTTCAAACTATGCCACCAGCTTACCTGGGTCTCCAGCTTGCAGTTGGCAGATTGTGAGATTTAGCCTCCATAATTGCATGAGCCAACTTCTTAAAATAAATTTCTCTCAGGGCATCTATATCTATATCTAATCTGTTGGTTCTGTTTCTCTGGAGAACCTTGACTAATACAACCATCCTTATGAGATTTTTGAAAAGATGTGGAGATGTGGCCGAAGGTCACTGAAGGCTTCTGATCTCCCACATGGTTTCTGTGTAGGTGGAATAAAAAGAGATCTAGAAGCTTGGGAAGGTGGTGAAAGAGGAGTTTTGGTGTTGTATTCTCTTCCTGGGAAATCTGCTCTAGCCCCGAGGTTATGAGAGAAGTTACTGCCTCAGGGTGATGACAGCAGCGAAGGAGTGAAGCAGGCCCTTCCAATGTGATGGCTGAGCCATGGCACCTTTGTGTGGAGCTGGCAGTGTTTAGACCATATAGCAATGTCACCACCTCTGAGATAATTCTAGTAAATAAGAACAACCAGCAGGGCTGTCCAGCCACAATGACTGGGCACAAGCTGGACTTGGAAGGTGCCAGGGACCCAGCACTAATGGGACTAAGGAATCCCCAGAACAGTTTCCTCTTGAGGAGAAACCATAATGCATCTGTACAGGATCATTTCTTGACGCTGTAACTCCTAATGTAACATTTCCTAATATTAGGAAGTGTGTGATCTTGGGCATGGGGAGTCATCTCTCTGAGCCTCAGTTTCTTCTATCTATAAAATGGGCATAGCTATACTTAGGTGGCCATGAGGAATAAATGGGACAACAACGCCAAGGAACCAAACACAATACAAAGTGCACAGTAAGATTCTCAACAAATGTTAGTTCTTTTCAGTTTCCCTTGTGTCTGCAGGCAGATGAACCCCATGCCAATTTCATTCAGTTATTGGAATGGATACAGCAACCATGCTTTTAAGATCTTGAAGTTTGAAAACCAAAGAGCTCTGAAGATCTCCCAGCTTCCCAAAGAGGGGGGGCAATGTTATTAGTGGGTTAGCAGGGTGACGTGCATGAATTGTGGTTGGGCTGGTGCCAGGCCTAAAGGGGTTGGCCTGGGAGGGTTCCATTGTTGTAGGGCTTGGGGGTGAGTTGTTCTGTCCAACTGGGAGTAATGCAGAGGAGGGGACAAGGAAGATCCCAAGTGAAAGGGGATGGGAGGAAGTCCCATTCCTCCTGGGAGCACTTTTGTAGCTGCTTGGTCTGGCTAGTCACAGCTGGAGGGAGAGCAATTCAGTCAATTTGACATTAATTCACATCTACCAGGCCTATTGGAAGGGAACATCTATTAAGACCAATTTGTCCTGGTCTCAATCACAGAAATTTAGTTTGCCCACACTAGAAAGAAAAGCAATGAACATTTTGGATTATTCCCAGGAAGATAGTCTGTGATTTGCAATAACATCATAAGGAAAATAATTTAAAAATATGGGCCCAATATGTTCTTTATTTGGCTCCCCTATGAGTCCTCAAACAGAAGCACCCCTGGGTGGAGTCAAGAGAGGCAACAAAGGAAAGGAGGTTTTGGGTTTGTAGAAATGCCTAAAGTCATCCTGCTCCAGTGCCTGGAGGGCACTGCAGAATCACTGGTGCTGCTGTTAAATCTAGTGCAGATGACAAGTTATGAGAAAGTGTATTTATGTTGCCTTATCTGTTACAGTGATTGTTTGGGGAAACCAGCCCCACACCACCTGCTACCCTGAGTCCAGCGGAGACAAAGGAGTTAGAAAGAGACAGAATAAGCGTTTAAAAAGCAGGTCCAGGGGACCTGAGCATCGGAGGCTTGCTCACAGCCCAGGCTCTGCCTGATTTATTGGTTTACAAGCTCTTTGTTCTTAGGGCAGATGGGAGGGGTAGGAAGGGATGAGGAAAAGGATTAATCAGTGAAGGAGAACTCATGAGTCATTCAATAATATGTGTAGCTGTGGTGGTTTCTGTGAATTTCCTTGAGCAAAGGCATGTGTCTAAACTACTTAAGATCTTTAACTTATCGGGACTGAAATGGGTGGGAGTGGCTTTCAGGAGGGGCCAAGATGTTTGATTATACTCCACTGCTTCAAGGGAGTGTTACCTCCTTGAGCAACTGTGGAATTCTGCTGAGTGGTTATGCTGTCGGGGCATAAAGACATGAAGGCAATAAGAAGACTTTTCTCCTCAGAGGCCGCCCATGGCTCCCCTTGGGTGTCTCACACAGGGAAGACCAACTCAGCTGGCACCGCAGAAACTCTCTTTCCCACAGTGATCAGTATAGCTGCCCAAAAGATACTGTGGATGGAAGGGCCAGCTGCCACATACCCTCCTGATGGAAGTACCGAGTACATTGGCCTGAGACTGGAGTCCTCTCCAATAGCCCACTGTCCAGCCCCTGGCCTTACCAACGCTCAGGACAGATTAGAAATGGACCGTAAGTCAACAGCACCCTCCTTTCCTCAACTTGCCACTTGGGTGGGCATTAGCTCATCCAGAGAATTTGATTTGGCAGATACCATGCTTCTTTTATATCATTTCTTTGCCACCTAATTTGTACTTATGATTGTAGAAATATAAGAAAATATAAAGAAGTAAAAGAAGAAAATAAAAAGAAATTATATTTCAAAGATAACCAGTTAAGCTTTGGTCTTTTTTAAATAGACATTTAAATTAAGGAGTAGTGCTAAAAAAAATACATAGAAGCACATACTTTTTTTCCTTACAAAACCAGATGGTGGGAGAAATGAAGCTCTGCAGGGCATTAGGTCAGATCTTCCTTTCACTTTATTGTAGAGTAGCCTCCACTGCAGGGAGAGAATTCAGCCTGGCACGTCACCTCATGCTATCCAGTGAACCCTGCCCCTCACAGAACACAATTCTGGTCACTCTGGGTGACAGAAGGGGACTTGTAGTCAGTTTCAGCTGCAGAAGGGGTTACTAGCCATGTATAGAACTTTTTTAATTCCAAGAAGTTATGATTTTTAGAATAACTCTAAACAGGCTGGGCGTGGTGGCTCACACTTGTAATCCCAGCATTTTGGGAGGTCAAGGTTGGCAGATCACCTGAGGTCAGGCATTTGAGACCAGCCTGGCCAACATGGTGTAACCTCGTCTCTACTGAAAGTACAAAAATTAGCTGGGCGTGGAGGTGCAGGCTTATAATCCCAGCTACTTGGGAGGCCGAGGCAGGAGAATCACTTGAACCTGGGAGGTGGAGATTGCAGTGAGCTGAGATCATGCCACTGCACTCCAGCCTGGGTGACAGAGCAACACTCCGTCTAAAAAAAAAAAAAAGAATAAACCTAAATATAATCCTAATGTTATACACCTTCCTGTCACCTTCCATCTTGGTGTGCACTTAACACCCCTGAACAGGTTTGACCAGCTCCTTAGAACCATAGTAAAAGACTTTACAATTTGAGAAGGGAACATGAAGAAAAATTTAATCTCATTTATCAAAGTAATACATATTAATCCTGAAAAAATAATTCAGAAATACAGAGGGTAAAAGCAGTCATTCTACTTTTGCATTTAAAAAGTTCTTTGTTGTTTTGGGTTTCCCTAGTATGTTTCTAAGGGGTGTGGGTTGGCTTCACACTCGTCTCTTTCTTTTTGTAGACCCATTTGCCTTATATATTTTAAAGCTGTGCTGATAGGTTCAGGGTGCATGTAAGTTTATGACAAATCATTCAATAGTTACGGAACGGTTGCTGTACACCAGGCACTGTCCAGGGTCCTGAAAAGAGTCAAGAACAGGATAGAACAGGCTAGAAGCGCCATCTAGTGGATGGTACTTGTTTTATACAAAATTTAGCCGGGTGTGGTGGCGCACGCCTGTAATCCCAGCTACTTGGGAGGCTGAGGCAGGAGAATTGCTTGAACGCTGAAGGCGGAGGTTGCAGTGAGCCGAGATCGCACCACTGCACTCCAGCCAGGGCGACAGAGCAAGACTCCGTCTCAAAAAAACAAAAAAGAAATAAATTGGACTATTTGAAGGAGAATCCTTAGTGTTCCCCCCTACCCCCATTTGCTCTCGCTGTCTCTGAGACAGGGTCTCACTCTGTCGCCCAGGCTGGAGTGAAGTGGTGTGATCATAGCTCACTGCATCCTTGACCTCCTGGGCTCAAGCTGTCTTCCCTCCTCAGCTTTCTGAGTAGCTGGGACTATAGGTGTGTGTCACCACGTCCAGCTGATTTTTATATTGTTTTTTTGTAGAGACAGGGGTCTCACTATGTTGCCCAGGCTGGTCTCAAACTTCTGGCCTCAAGTAATCCTCCTGCCTCAGCCTCCCAAAGTGCTGGGATTACAGGCACGAGCCACCGTGCCCAGCCTCTCAGTTCTCTGTTTTCATCATAATTCAACATTTCACAGATTAGTGTTAGTAGTCTATGTCATAAGAAGTTTATTTATAAAGGTAACAAATAGGTTGAAAGATAATTACAGTAATTCTTATGCTCCTATATTAACAAGTATTGAAAAACTTCACCCTCCTTTCTTAGGGGGTGCCATTTAAACTAACAGATGAATTTTAAAGGACTGCTATACCCCTGAAGGTGTGAGAAAGGAGCATTCTATGCAGTGGGAAAAGTTGCTGCAAAGGCTCAAGATGTAACTGATTGGGCTGATCAGGTGACAGAAGGGAGGCCACTGTGCCTGGATGAGAGTCACAGTGTCAGAGGTGCAGTCAGAGTTGGGCAGAGGCCTGCCTGCGGAAGACCATGTTGGCCAGGTTAACCAATTTGAAGTTGCTTGGGGGAGATTAATTTCAGTGTCAGGAGGCCAGTTAGAGCACCATTGCAGGACTACATTTGAGAGAAGATGGTGGCCAGGACTAGGGATGATGTGCTGTGGAGATGGAAAGAAATGGGTGGATTTACAATGCATTTTGGAAGAAGAATAAACTGGACTTGCTGATGTTTTAGATGTGAGAGGGTGGAGAATTAAGAGCAACTTCTAGACTGGGCGTGGTGGTTCATGCCTGTAATCCCAGCACTTTGGGAGGCTGAGGCAGATGGATCACTTGAGGTCAGGAGTTTGAGACCAGCCTGGCCAACATGGTGAAACCTTGTCTCTACTAAAAATACAAAATTAGCCAGGCATGGTGGTGTATGCCTGTAATCCCAGTTACTTGGGAGGCTGAGACAGGAGAATCGCTTGAACTCAGGAGGCAGAGGAGGTTGCAGTGAGCCGAGATTGTGCCATTGCACTCTAGCCTGGGCAACAAGAGGGAAACTCCATCTCAAAAAAAAAGAAAAAAAGAGTAACTTCTAGGTTTCCTGACTTGGACATTGTTCGACAACTTAGGGATTGATTATTGGTTTTTTATCAATATGAAATATTCCATTCTATGCCCATTAAATGCTTAGCCTTAGAGTCTGTTTTGTCTCATATTAATAATTCTACACAGCTTTTTCTCTTGTTGTTAGAACTTGCTTGGTGTACCCTTTTTCCTTCCTTTCTTTTCAACCTTTTCTATTGTTTGGTTTTATTGTAGGTAAATCTCTTGTAAAAAGTCTCCTCCCTTCTCTGTCTCCCTCCTTCCTTTTAATGAGGAAACATAACATGTTTGTATACATTGTGATTAAGGATAGACTTGGACTTTGTAACACTATATTAGTGTCTTTTATGGCCCATGCTTTCTCTCCTATATTCCTCCTTGTCTGCTCTTTGGTGCAGTAAAAATTGAGTGGAAAAACCAGAAACAGGGAGACTTAGAAGGCTTACACCCGTAGGCACACTGGGTCTTTCTAGAGTCACCTTCATCTTTTCTGGGCCCACCTCACATGCAGAGCTTTCTGGTTTAAGACACAGCGAGATAGCTCCCTCTTCATGGCCTGTACCCACTCCCCATTGAAAGCATTGTTTCTCATTCTTTCAAAGACTGTGTTCCTTTCAAATTTTTTTTTTTTTTTTTTTTTTTTCCTGAGACAGCCTTACTCTGCCACCCAGGCTGGAGTACAGTGGTGCAATCTAGGCTCACTGCAAACTCTGCCTCCCAGGTTCAAGCAATTCCCTGCCTCAGCCTCCTGAATAGCTAATTTTTGTATTTTTAGTAGAGACAGGTTTTCACCATGTTGGCCAGGCTCGTCTCGAATTCCTGTCCTCAGGTGATCCACCTGCCTCAGCCTCCCAAAGTGTTAGGATTACAGTCATGAGTCACCACGCCTGGCCTTGAATGTTCTTATTTCCATCCCTTGCCCCCATTTAATTATTGGGCCTCCCAGTCCAACAGAGAATCACTCCTCTTGTCCTGTATTAGAAATGAAATATTCTGATGAAGGATCCGGGAAGACTGACTCCTGCTCTGCCAGTCCCACTTCCTCCATGCTGAATTCCCAAAGGAGATCCATGCAAGGAACAGTAGCCTGTTAGGAAATGGAACTTACCAACTGTATCTCATCATTACTGAGTTGGTGCCTGTTTCCCTAATTCAGGCCCTCTGCTGAAGATGAGTTTGATGACATGACTCTTGGATGACCATAATTTATTGTCCAAACTGGGAAACTCTGTAGAATAAAAATGAGTGAAAGAAAGGGTCTGCCATTAATAATCATACCAAGAAACCATGAAGATCAGTATATGCTGTCCTGCTTTTTAGATCAGACTCAAGCAAGACTTCTACTGCCCTCTGGAGGCTGCAACCAAATCTCAGGCTATTACCCTCTGCCCTGTCCCATAGCAGAAGAACAAAGTCACAAAAAGAGAGGGCAATGAAGGTCCCAGCTTTAAAAGAAACATTTATCATGTCCACTAAATAAGGTTGGCCAGCTAATGTCTGGGACTCTGACTCATCCAATTAGCAACGGCCTCTCTTTTGCTGGGGAACTTTAGAAAGGGGGTGGGAAGGGCAGTTGTCAAAGTAAGCTTTCTCATCAGGAAGAGAAAACAGAGTTTTCCTCCCTGTACAGTTCTCTACTGTGAGAGTTCCTGTCTTGGCTTTCCCTCATCACCTGCTAGCCTTCCCTTGTTTGCTACCGAAGAGTTCAATTCCTTGTAGTTGGTTTGCTGACCCCATCTCCTTGGTGTGCTCTCCATTCCATCTTCTCTGCACTGAGTCTCACAATGGTCTCTGACCTACCCTCTCAAAGGGCCCCACTAGTGTTCTAGTAACTTTCCTGTATGCCTCTTGTATTTGCCTTTTCTATTCTTGGCAGAGGGTTAGAACAGAACTCAGAGCAAGATGTTGATTCTGGTTCAGAATATGATGATAAATTCACTGACATTAATATCAGGGGAAAAACAGATGTTTGAATCTGGAGCAGCCTGTGAAATGAAAAACAACTTAGAAAAGATACAGGGAAATCCTTTAGGAAAGAACATAAATAGCAAGAGATCTCATGTGAAAACAACTAAGGATTAAAAACAAAAATCTCCACAAGTTAGGGAGGCCAGAAATATAAGGGATTTGGACAAAGATTCAGTTCCAGCTCCAACTTAGTTCAACATCACAAGGTTTCCATAGAACGCAAAGCTGTAAATATGGTGAATGTGGTAGAGTTCCCCTGCATCTAGCTTTTCATCATTGAGAGAGAATTCACAGTGGGGTAAGGTTCTGTCAATGTGAGTGTGGGAAGTCCTTCACTCTGAGCTCTATCCCTTATGCCCCACCAGAGGAGACATTCTGGGGCTAGACTCCCCTGAAAGATTTGCCCAACTGTGGAAAATCTTTCAGCCAGATTTCATATCTTAGGCAACATCAGCAAGTGCATACTGAAAAAAAATCCTATGTATGTAATGAGCATGGGCAAGTTTTAACCTGGAGCTCAGCCGTTGCTGCCCATCAAAGAGTCTACATCAGGGAGTGCTCAATAGGGCCAGGGGCCTCATGGTGCAACTCAGGGCAGGGTTGGAGAAACCATTTGAGGGGCATTGAGTATGGGAAAGGCTGAAGTGGGCACCAGAGGCCGTGCCTGCATCAGCAACCACACTGGGGAGAAACATGTGAATGTGAGGTGTGTGGGAAAATCTCAGAGCAGAAACCTGACAAGGCACCCACACTGGGAGAAACCCTAAGGAAGCAGTGGGTCATGGCTTTGCCACTCTCCCTGCAGGCTTCTCCCCACTGCAGCTTCTGTGATGTGAGAGGAGACCTCTGACCCAGAGGAAGCCTTCCCCACACTCACTGCGCTGAGTGCTTCTCCCCAGGGGGATTTGCTGGTGGGCACCAAGAGCAGAACTCAGAGTGAAGGAATGTTTGCCCACCTTCACTACACACATAGAATTTCATTCCAGTGCATGATTTCTGACATTTCCTAAGGCCTGAAATCCGCTCTAAAGACTTCCTATAACCAGAACAGGTATAGCCTTCTCCTCTGAGTGACTCCATTGGTGGGTGAGCAGCAGGGATGGAGCAGAGGAAGAAGGCTTTCCCACACTTGCTGGAGGTTCTCTCCAGTGTGGAGTTTCTGATGCTGACCCAGGCTTGAAATTTGACTGAGAGCTTTCTCATGCTCCTCACCTACATAGAGTTCTCTGTGATTTGGATTTCCCGATGCCTCAGGATAGATGAGCAATGAACGGAGGCCAAGGTCTTGAGGTATCTGCAGACATCAGAATTGCTCCGCTGCCCAGAGGTAGTTCTAGGTGAGCCTGCTTGAAATCTGACCAGAAATGCCTTCTTGGAAATGACTAGCAAAACCATGCTTTGGGGATTTGCCCTTCTTTTTTTGTCAAAAGGTTATTTGGTCTCCTCACTATAAAAACTGGTTCAAGAGTTATGTTGGCTGGAAGAAACAAAGCATTTTGATCACATAAAGACAGTATAGCTCTTTCTCACTTTCCCATTAAGCAGTTGCTTAAATGATAGCAATAAAAGGGCCTTCAGAGTTGACTGTGGATACAATAATATGGGTTTTTATTTTTCTTTAAATTTTTTTTACAGACAGGGTCCCACTATGTTGCCCAGGCTGGTTTCGGACTCCTGAGTTCAAGAGATCGTCCTGCCTTAGCCTCTGAGTAGCTTCTGAGTGCTAGCTGACTACAATGGCACCTGGAGCCCAGCACAATAATAACTTTTAAAAAATAGCTTGGGCCAGGCGCAGTGTCTCACACCTGTAATCACAGCACTTTGGGAGGCCAAGATGGGCAGATCAACTGAGGTCAGAAGTTCGAGACCATCCTGGCCAACATGGTGAAACCCCATCTCTACTAAAAATACAAAACTTAGGCAGGCCTGGTGGCAGGCGCCTATCATCCCAGCTACTTGGGAGGCTGAGACAGGAGAATCGCTTGAACTCCGATCGGGAGGTGGAGGTTGCAGTGAGCCGAGATTGCACCACCGTACTCCGGCCTGGGTTACAAGAGTGAAACTCCATCTCAGAAGAAAAAAAAAAAAAAAAGCTTGCCCACTCCAAGTTTTAAGCTCATTGGCATTTCTCTGTCACAAACAAGAAACTTCAGAACTCTGAAGCATGACACCAAAGCCTCTCCGTGCTCTGGTTCACACCCTCTTTTCTGGCCTCCTATACCCACTGCCCCTCACCTTGTTCTCAGGGCAAACCTATCCACAGGAGATGAAATCTCACCAGAAGTTCCCGTTGGAACCACCAATCTGCCTCTGTCACCCATGCTTAACCAACTGAGAGGAAAGCAGCAACCACTCTTTCTGTACCTTGGGCTACATTTATAGGGCCCAGTCCTTTTACATCCCCGGTTCCCACTAACGATGCTTTTTTTTTTTTTTTTTTTTTTTGAGACAGGGTCTCACTCTGTTGCCCAGGCTGAAGTGCAGTGGTGCGATCACAGCTCACTGTAGCCTCGACCTCCTGGGTCCAAGCGATCCTCCCAACTCAGCCCCTCCAGTAGTTGGGACTACAGGCACGTGCCCCATGCCTGGCTAATTTTTGTATTTTATGTAGAGATGAGGTTTCGCCATGTTGCCCAGGCTGGTCTTGAACTCCTGAGCTCAAGCAATCCACCCACCTTGGCCTTCCAAAGTGCTGGGATTATAGGTGTGAGCCACTGTGCCTTGTCTGGTTCTTAACAATCTTTAATGTCAATGGGGGAAAGAAGAGATTTGGTCCTTGTTCCTCCAAGCGTGGCCCTCAGACTAACAGCTCTCCACCACCTGGGAGCTTGTTGGAAATACAGGCTTGTTGTGACACATTGAGGTGAAAAATAAAATTTTAAAAAGATAATAATACTAATACTAATAATAAGAAGAAATGCAGGCTCTGAGGCCCTACCCTAGTCCCACAGTATCAGAATCTTCTTTTTAACAGGCTCGCCAGGTGATTTGTTTGTACCTTCACATCTGAGAAGCACTGGTCTGGATGAAAACTTTTATTTACAATTCCTACTTCATCTCTAGGATCACTGATAGTCCCAAGGAGGAGAGATTGAGAAGCAAAGGGCACATAACAAGGTTAACGTCATCTCCTTGACAGCAACTAGCAGGTCATGCTGGAAGCTGTGGGCTCTAAAATCCCAAGGCAGAGGAGAAGGAAGCTGAAACCAGTGGAACCATTGGCCAGCCTTGGGGCCAAACATAACTGGGGGTGGAGCAGTTTTTTGTACAGCCCCACTCTCCAGTCAGGCAGAGGCCAACCTTATAACCTTATTGGTACAAACTGAAGAGGAGGTTTCTACTACCTTTTTCATAAGAAATCAGTTGGAAACCTTTCCACGGGGCCAAAACAAATTTAGAGCAGTGCTTCTCAACTTTAATGCATGGAAGCACCACTTGGGAGCTTTGCAAAAATCCAATGCCTGAGCACCACCTACAAGATTCTGATTTAATCGGTTTGAAATAAGGTAGAGAATTGCATTTAAAAAAATCTCCCTGTCTCTGCAGCCCAGGCATGGCCAATGTGGGCATAGCATCCCAACCCTGGGAGCACCCCGGTGGAGCAGGCTGCCTGGCACAGAGGAGCCAACTGGGCCCGTGGTGGTGGGTGAGGGGCCAGGCTGGAGCCGTGGTGGCAGAGCTGCAGGGTCCTTCATGATGAGAGATTGGGGGCACTTATATCTCCTCTGCGTAGTTGATAGTTTGGGTACTGACGACATGGCTGACAGTGTCAAAACCTTTCTCCAGGACCTTTCCAGGGGAGTCAAAGACTTCATCTGGGATATTTGTACCATCTCCAGCTAGACACTCCAATCCATCAAAAGAGGGGAGCAGCGTGGAAGAAGGGCAAGCATTGTCCTGGCACAGAGAATACCCCAGAGTATAGAGTGGGAGCAAGAGAGTGAGCCAGCAAGTGTTAGTAGAATTTTCCAGTGTTGCGCTTGGAGGGGTGGACTGCTCTGGTTCAGTCTACTCTTGCTTTATCGGGTGTTTATTCCTGGGCTTCAGTGAGTAACAGCGTGAATTACTTATGATCCATCACTGTGTGGAGATGCTTGGTCATGGCTGGAATTTTTCCTCGTATAAATTTCCAGGCCTTTGGGTGCTCCCCTTGTACATGCCTAGCAAAGTTGTGAATGCCATGTGGTTCCAAGATACAGCTGACCTGGCATTTGAAGCATCAGGGAGGAAGCCTCACCCATTCCCTAGTGTCCACAAAATAACTGCTGACATGCTCTCCAATCTTTTGCTGCAGGCTCTTTTCCCCATTCAAGGAATGTCTGTGAGTCTCTTTCCCACCCACCTTGTTGGTCAGCTGGTTACTCTCCGGCGTTTGTCTCTTCTTGACTCATTCTACTGCTTCAAATATGGTTGGTTCAGTAAAGGAATTGAAATGCACCAGCGGTTCCTCTAACACAGAGAGGAACTGGCTTTACTACTTTGGGTTTGGTTTTTTTGGCTTTTCTCACAGCAATGCAGTCCTCATATATTTTCCATGGCTGCCTTTTCTCTATCCTCTTTCCTTTATTCATTATCAGTGCAATGAGGCAAAGATCCCCGGCCAAGCATACCTCTTTGAGTTGCACCTCTCCTCCTTCGTGGTCTTCTTAAGCAACAGACTCTTCCACAAGACACTCTCACCTGCAGTCTGCCTTGAGCAGCTCAGCCTCTGCAGAGAAGTTCCCTTCACCACATATGTCTCTACCCAGATTGAAGGCTACTGAAGGCCTGAGTCACCTGCCATCGAGGGGATGGGTGGGATTGGAAGGAGGCTGTGGCAGCTCTTTTCCCATTTTACCTCCCCCTGCCAGGAAAGGCACGATTCATCCTGCCAAAGGCCCTCTGCATATTCCCTCTCTGAGGAATTGGAATCTTTATCTCTGGTGCACGTAAGGTAGAATCTTCCTGACACCAGCGTGTGGATTTTTAACACCACTGAGAGTCTGAAAGGACCACAGTTTTTTTAGTTTTAGTTTTTTTTTTTTTACAGCGATTTTTCTAGCATTTGCCAGTCCCTATGGCTGGATTGATTTGAATATTTTGTTTTTCTCCCTGTGCCATTTACCTTCCCACCTTTCCTTCCTGCCTTCTACCACCCTTGGGTGAATGAAATTTGTAATTCCAGCTGTTGCATTTTGTGGATTTGTTATTTTTGTCGTTTTTCTGTGAAGCACAAACATTGGATGTGGGAGGTAAAGGAGTGTCTCAGTTGCTCCTGGTCACTCCCTTTATAGCCATCACTGTCTTGTTTCTTGTAACTCAAGTTAGGTTTTGGTCTCTCTTGCTCCACTGCCAAAAAAAAAAAAAAAAAAAAAAAAGGTCTGAAGAGATGGGACAGGAAGAAAGAGAAAGACCTCACAGCCAGATCTTCAGACCTTCTGGGTTTTGGGGAGAGATTTTCTTTCTTCCCTTTGAAGGAGAAAAAGCTATTTTCACTGGTACATTTAAACTCCCCCAACTAGGCAGAGGTACCAATTCTGGACAAGTGCCACTGCAACACAATGCTCAGAGAGCTTGAACTTTTCATCTCTGTTGTGGGGTGCAGGGTAGAAATTTACTGTTGGCCACTGCTGGGTCTGTTTCATATTTCAAAGGAATATTGGGTGCTGGGGGCTACAAAGAGGAATTGAAGGGGTAAATTTTTTAAACTAATTAAACCTGTGATTGGTTGATGTTTTCCTGTCGTTTTAAGAGACTAAATGTGGGGGGCAGATGTCAAAATACTTGTACAATTTCAAAATGTCACAATGAAACGTGAGCTGGTTACACACACACAAATTTTCCCAGTGTTTTCTAAGTGCAGCTAAGGTTGAACTACCAATTTAGAGGTCTCCGGAGTGGTTCTCCAAGCATGGTGCCCCAAATGGCTGTGTCACCTGGGAACCAGTGATGAAGGCAAGTTCTCAGGTCCCTCCATAGACCTACTCAATCATAAATGTGAAAGTGGGGTCCAGTGATCAGAGTTTTAACACGCTCTCCAGATAAGACTACTGTGTTTCCGAACCATGTCATAAAGGCCAAAGAAACACACACAGGATGCAACTTGAAGGTCCCTTTTGTGGATTCCTGTAATAACCTACATGTGTTATTGAACCCCGATATTTAGATCCATGTACCTGATGTGCAGTAAGCCAAACACTGACACATCAGCACTTAGGAGCAGAGAAAGGTTTATTTAATTTGACCAAACAGAGTGGGTGAGAGACACTCAGAACCAAGTCTTATGTTCAAAGATTTCCCTTTGAACATAACTGGGGGCTTTTCTGAGTAAGGTAGGTAGGCAGGAGGTGGAATGCCTGACAATCAAAGCTGTTTGCATCTCTTGGTCTGATCAAACTTCTGGATGCCATCAAGAAGGTCTGCATCACCTAAGACTCATTGTGATTTATTTATTGTCACGTATGTCCATATAGAAGACCACCTAAACAGGCTTAGTGTGAGCAACAAGGCTGTTTATTCACTTGGGTGCAAGTGGGCTGAGTCCAAAAAGAGAGTCAGCGAAGGGAGATAGGAGAGGGGCAACTTTACAGGACTTGGGTAGGCAGTGGAAAGTTACAGTTGAAGGTGGTCATCTGTTGTCAGCAGGGGGAGGAGGTCACAACGTGCATGGTGGGGAGATCATGAGATCCATTGTCCTGGAGAAAAATGTCATAAGGTCGATTGATCAGTTAGGGTAGGGCAGGAACAAGTCATAATGGTGGAATGTCGTAAGTTTGGTTAATCAGTTAAGGCTGAAACTGGCTGTTTCATTTCTTTTGTGGTTTCTCGGCTGCTCCAGACTTCTTGGCTCCTGCAGGCCGTCTGGATGTATACGTGCAGGTCACAGGGGTTACAATGGCTTAGCTCCGGCTCAGAGGCCTGACATTTATTTGTTTGTTTATTTTTAGAGACAGGGTCTTGCTCTGTCACACAGGCTGGAGAGTAGTGGTGGAATCATAACTTACTGCAGTCTGCAACTCCTAGACTCAAGTGATCCTCCTGAGTCGCTAGAGTTACAGCACATCCAGCTAATTTTTTGATTTTTTTTTTTTTTTGTAGGGAGGGTCTTCCTCTGTTGCCCAGGCTGGCCTCAAACTCCTGGGCTCAAGCAATCCTCTTGTGTTGTCAGCCACCCAGAGTGCTGGGATCACAGGTGTGAGCCACATGCCTGGTCTCCTTGTTCTTTAAAAGAAAAACAAGGCCAGGCACGGTGGCTCACACCTGTAATCCCAGCACTTTGGGAGGCCAAGGCAGGCAGATCACGAAGTCAGGAGTTCGAGACCAGCCTGACCAACATGGTGAAACCCCATCTCTACTAAAAATACAAAAGTTAGCTGGGCGTGGTGGTGTGCACCTGTAATCCCAGCTACTTAGGAGGCTGAGGCAGGAGACTTGCTTGAACCCGGGAGGCAGAAGTTGCAGTGAGCCGAGATCTCACCACTGCACTCCAGCCTGGGTAACAGAGCGAGACTCTGTTTCAAAAAAAAAAAAAAAAAAAAGAAAGAAAAACAAGTTTATCAATCTTGCAGGCAGCCACAGGGGTTAGGATATGAAATTAATCAATTACTAGTGACTACCCTCTACTGAAGTGACTATGTGCAAGCATGCATGGAGGAAGGAAAAAAAAAAGTAAAACAGCTTATGATTCTTTTAATAAAGTCTTGGTTACATATGTTCTAAAAAGAACTTAAAGAGCTTAATCTAAACTCCAATTTGTTTAATGCCATGGCCAGCAAGCTTCATAGGGGATTTTGAAATCTGCCTTGGAAAGGTCTCATAGAACTTGTTTCAACCTCTTGAAGAACCTTGATAAGGGTATTTTTGTTTTTTGGTTTTTCTGTGTTTTGTTTTCACAGGAAATATGCCAAGTCCAAAAGGAGATCCCCCTACCTCCTTCATACCCATTATATCCATTTTCTCTTCAGTAAGACCTTCAGGACCTGAACTGCCAGCCTTCCATCAGCCCCTCATTTATTCTGGCCCCTCAGTATTAGTCACTCCAAATTCACTGTGTGGAGTGAGAACTCCAGTTGGCTCAGGAGGCTTATTTCCTCTTCCCTCCCGCTTTTCTCCCTTCTTGGAGAATTGGCTCAGCAGATCTGAATGGGCTTAGCAAAAAACAGGCTGATACCAGCCTTGAAGTTGAGATTCTGCTAACAAAAGCTGTACCTCCCTGCAGGAAGCTCCCATTTACATAGGCAAGCACCTTGCTGGTGTCTGTGGGTGATCCCTATTGATACATAGACCATTGTGGGATGGCACAGTATCTTTCTGGAGCCCTTTCCATGATGGGTGGAATCCTGGTATTTTTCTTTTTAAGCACTCTTCTCTGGGGGATGATGGGAACTCGGGAGCTCCTGTAAGGTCTATTTCTTTATTTGTTTGTGCCTCGTTCTCCTGCTCCTGAACTCTATAGCAGTAGTGGTGAGGATGTCTGTGCCACTGAGGGACTGTCTCTCTTCTGTTGTGTGTCCCCACAAGGAAGCAGAACAGAGCCTAGACATGGGCACTGCAGGTGTCTGGAGTTCAGCAGTGATACAGGACAAATGTCCCACTCTGTCTCTCTAGAATGTCTCTGTCCTCTAAAAGAATTAAGATAGGCTGGGCGCAGTGGCTCACACCTGTAATTCCATCACTTTGGGAGGCCAAGGCGGGCAGATCATGAGGTCAGGAATTAGAGACCAGCCTGGCCAATATGGTGAAACCCCATCTCTACTAAAAATACAAAAATTAGCCGGGCATGGTCGTGCACACCTGTAGCCCCAGCTACGCTACCTGGGAGGTGGAGGCAGAAGAATCACTTGAACCCGGGAGGCAGAGGTTGCAGTGAGCTGAGATCACGCCACTGCACTCCAGCCTGGCAACAGAGTGATACTCCGTCTCAAAAAAAAAAAAAAAAAAAAAAAAGAATTAAAATAGATTCCAGTTTTCCTTTCTTCAGAACTTTGCCTCTTTTCCTTTTTTTTTTAAAAAAAAAAAATCTTCTCCCCTGCCTTTGCTGTCTTTTCATTTCTTTTCTTTCTTACTTTTCTTTTCTTTTTTTTTTTTTTTTTTGAGGAAGTCTCATTCTTGTCACTCAGGTGGAGTGCAGTGGTGCGATTTTGGCTCACTGCAACCTCCGTCTACTGGGTTCAAGTGATTCTCCCGCCTCAGCCTCCCGAGTAGCTGAGATTACAGGTGCTAATTTTTGTATTTTAGCAGAGACAGAGTTTCACCATGTTGGTCAGGCTGATCTCGAACTCCTGACCTCAAATGATCCACCCATCTATCCCCCCACTCCCCTGAACCTTAACTAGCATTAGTTTATAACAGACGACCTGCAAAACTTACAAAGATAGCTCTCCAAAGAAGTGTCCTGAGAGTTGCCAAAAAGAAATTGCACCAAGGATCCAGAGAAACAGGCATTAATAATCGAACACATGCTTCCATTCCAACCCTAAGCTTCACAGCAGTTACACATAAAGAAAACTGTAGCCAGAAGCAAGAGCACAATCTGTAGCCTTCTCTTCTCACCTTACAAAAACTCCAATGTTTCTTTGGCTCAGAGATTTGCCTCATTTCGAGGTGCTCACTGATACACACATAAGCTGAATACAGCCTTTACCGACTATTTTATTCACTTTAGTTTGCTTTCTTTTTTTTTTCTTTTTTTTTTGAGACAGAGTCTCACTTTGTCACCCAGGCTGGAGTGCAGTGGCCACGGTCTTGGCTCACTGCAACCTCTGCCTCCCGGATCCAAGCAGTTCTCTGCCGCAGCCCCCCGAGTAGCTGGGATTACAGGCGCCCACCACCATGCCTGGCTAATTCTTGTATTTTCAGTAGAGGCAGGGTTTCACCATCTTGGCTAGGCTGTCTTGAACTCCTGACCTCGTGATCCATCCGCCTCGGCCTCCCAAAGTGCTGGGATTACAGGCGTGAGCCACCGCGCCTGGCCAGTTTGCTTTCTTGACAGTAACATTAGACTTGGTGCCAGAAGGAACTTGGAACATAAGTCTGTTCAACATTCTTTGGAGAACAAGAATCTCAATATAGTTCCCTGCATCCCAGGTAAACTATCGCCCTTTCATAACCTATAAATTGATAATAAAGGGGTATAACTGCAGCTGACACAGACAGAAATAGGGAGCTACCAGAAGCTGTAGGCAAGCAACACTGAGGTAATGAGTTCAGGGTTTTCCAGATAGCAGAAAAGGAAAACCAAGCCAGGGTACAGTAGTTTGTGCCTGTAATCCCAGCACTCAGGGAGATGGAGGCAGGAAGATCGCTTGAGCCCAGCTTGGGCCACATAGCGAGAACATTCCTGTTCTCCACAAAAGGAAAAAGAAAGAAAAGGAAAAACCAGCTTTGAACGAAGCAGTGACTGACAGTGCAATTTTATAGTACAAGTTAAATTTATATCATTGTAATTTTACCCTAAACATATCTTTAACAAATATGAAAAAGGTAGCTATTGGTATGTAAATGTAAGGTATTTTTATGACTAAATCACGTGCTCTTCTCACTTCTCTGCTCTGTA
This sequence comes from Homo sapiens, assembly GCF_000001405.40. NCBI lineage: Eukaryota > Metazoa > Chordata > Mammalia > Primates > Hominidae > Homo > Homo sapiens. Next base: position 44,518,976 of record NC_000003.12, on the reverse strand, counting down.
TGCAGAAAAAAGGTCACTTATAAAGGTCACACCTATGAAGAGCTGTTGGACTTATAATTGCCTCAGAGAACCATTGCTGTTTTTACTTTTGACAATGCTGAATTTTACCTGAGCCCTGTGATTCTGGTTAACAGTGAAGGTTAAGAAATCTCCTCACTCTCCTGTGTTCCAGAAAATGACTTTCTACACAGAACCACCCTTCCCCATGTGACTTACGTAAGACTCCCAGATACCTCCAGTTTACCGATGACAAGGCCAGACACAGACCCTCCAAATTCCCATTCTTTGCCCCATGAATGATTAGCTAAAATGCTTGTCCCCACTGATCAAGTGGAACAAAATACCTGAGAGCCAAACTTTCCTCAGGCTTCTCTCCTTCCTACGGGTCCCAGAATTCTGCCTGACTCCACACCTAAGTGAATACAAACAGTGGAATAAACCCCTTTATCAGCCTCTCCTGGGAACTGGCACACCACAGGAAGATACCGTCCTGTCAGACCTCACTGGTTATTTCCGTTTGCTTGTCCAACTTCCCCTCAAAGATTCTGCTTATCTCTATTTACCTCCTCCTTGCCCTATACGAGAGAAACTTCTTCCTTTTGATTTGGAGACACTTGCATATCTTATGGTCACAGTGTGGAGTGTGTTGGGGTGTGGACTTAATCAGATGCTCAAAAAGAGGAACTGATCAGCTTCTAGCCAGGATCTCAAACTGAATCAAAGCAGCATTTTAAAAAGCATTTGCAGCTGGGTGCGGTGGCTCACGCCTGTAATCTCAGCACTTTGGGAGGCCGATGTGGGTGGATCACCTGAGGTCGGGAGTTCAAGACCAGCCTGACCAACATGGAGAAACCCCGTCTCTACTAAAAATACAAAAAATTAGCCAGGTGTGGTGGCGAGTGCCTGTAATCCCAGCTACTTGGGAGACTGAGGCAGGAGAATCACTTGAACCCAGGAGGCAGCTGCAGTGAGCCGAGATCGTGCCATTGCACTCCAGCCTGGGCAACAAGAGTGAAACTCCTTCTCAAAAAAAAAAAAAAAAAAAAGAATTTGCTTGCCTGGCGTGGTGGCTCACGCCTGTAATCCCAGCACTTTGGGAGGCCGAGGTGGGCAGATCACAAGGGCAAGAGATCAAGACCATCCTGGCCAACATGGTGAAACCCTGTCTCTACTAAAAATACAAAAATTAGCTGGGCGTGGTGGCATGTGCCTGTAGTCTCAGCTACTCGGGAGGCTGAGGCAGGAGAATCGCTTGAACCTGCGAGGTGGAGGTTTCAGTGAGCCAAGATCACACCACTGCACTCCAGCCTGGCGACAGAGCAAGACTCTGTCTCAAAACAAAACAAAAAGCATTTGCTTTTTTATATTATATTTATGTTACAAGCAGTACCTTCAGCAGAACCAGCAGCACGCTTATGCTGGGAACATCGGTGATGTGTGTATTTGTTAATGGCTGCCAGTGTTGAAATGATACTTTGCTGTGACCCCCACTTCAGGAGTATGGACCGCTATGTCTGTTGGGGGAGGAATGGAACAATGAAGCAAGTAGCCTAATTATCAAACTATAACTGGGGATAGGTGCCTGTTTCTGGTCCCTGTCAATCTAAGAGGAATGTTGACAAAAGAAACTTTAACCAAAAGAGACTTATCAGGCCTGGACAGGATGCATGAGAAAAAACTTTGATATCTTGCAATTTCACTACAGTGTGTCTAGGTGCAGATTTATATTTATTTATCCTGTTTAGGATTTACTGGGCTTTCTGAATCTAAGGATTTTGGTTTTTCAATAATTTTGGAAAATTAACAGCTATTCTATCTTTGAATACATGTGGTTAATTTTTTTCTTTTCTGGAACTCCTAATAGCTGTAGGCGAAACCTTATAATTTCTTCCTCTATGTCTCTTAGACTCTTTCATATTTTCTTTTTGTGTGTGTGAACCTCTGGATTCTATTGAAACTTTCGTATTTTAAATCTCTACATCTCTGTGCAGGAGAGTTTTCAGGTCATCTAATATGCAAAATTACTTGAAACAGAAGTCCTGCCCACAACTGTTGATTGGTTTAGAAATGGGCATGCAACCAGCTGGGCACGGTGGCTCACGCCTGTAATCCCAGCACTTTGGGAGGCCGAGGCGGGCGGATCATGAGGTCAGGAGATTGAGACCATCCTGGCTAACACGGTGAAACCCCGTCTCTACTAAAAATACAAAAAATTAGCCGGGCGTGGTGGCGGGCGCCTGTAGTCCCAGCTACTCAGGAGGCTGAGGCAGGAGAATGGTGTGAACCTGGGAGGCAGAGCTTGCAGTGAGCCAAGATCGCGCCACTGCACTCCGGCCTGGGCGACAGAGCGAGACTCCATCTCAAAAAAAAAAAAAAAAAAATAGAAATGGGCATGCAACCTCAATTGACCAACCAAAGCCTTTTCCTGAGATTCTTTTGAATTAGAACTAAAGGCAAAGCTATTAGATGTGTTCTAACCAACTTTCTAGTCTCTGGTTTCAGGGATTTCTAAGATCCAGCTGCACCCCTGCTGCTCAAGTGTTTATGTAAGATACTTCCTCTTTTGCTCCAAGTAGTTTGATCTGTGGCTCTTACGTATGATGAAGAGAGTCCTAACTAATGCGTAGGATTATTTCAAAATTTCCAAGTACCATTTCAGAGAGGGAGTGAGGAACTGCAGATGAAGGATAGTGTGGGAAATTTAAGAGATTTTTAAAAACTTTGTATAGTCATTATCTATGTGTTGCTATATAACAGATTATCCCCAAACTTGTGGCTTAAACAACAAACACTGCCTGTATCACCGTTTCTGTGGGTCAGACATTCAGGAGTAGCTTAGCTGATTTGTTCTTGCTCAAAGTCTGTCCTGAGATTTTAGCTGTGATGTTGACCGGGGCTGTCATCATCTTAAGGCTCAACTGGCTCTGGAGGAGCCACTTCCAAGATGGTTCACTAATGTGACCGTTGAAGAGGGGCCTGAGTTATTCGCTAGCACTTGGCAGGAGTCCTCAGTCTCTTGCCACGTGGGCCTTCCATGATGCTGCTTAAGTGTTCTCAAGGCATGGCAGCTAGCACCCTTTAATGTGAGTGATCTCAGAAACAGAGGACAAAGGAAGCCATAGACATTTTATAACCTAGTCTTGGAAGTGAGCCATCATCACTTCTGCCTTATTCTATTTGTTAGAAGCAAGTCACTAAGTCCAGCTCCATCTCTTGAAGGGAGAAGTAGCAAAAAATTGTGGACATATAGTTGACCCTTGAATAACTTAGGGGTTAGGAATACTGACCCACCATGAAGTAGAAAATCTGCATATAACTTTTGCCTCCCCCCAAATTTAACTACTAATCATCTACTGTTGACCAGAAGCCTTAGAGATAACATAAACTGTTAATTAACACATATTTTGTATGTAACATGTATTATAGACAGTATTCTTACAATACAGTAAATTATGAAAAGAAAATGTTAATGAGAAAACTGGGCAGGTGTAGTGGCTCATTCCTGTAATCCCAGCACTTTGAGAGGCCCAGGCAGGATTGTATGAGGACTGGAGTTCAAGACCAGCCTTGGCAACATAGTGAGACTCCATCTCTACAAAAAATTTTTAAAAAAATTAGCTGGGCATGGTGGCATGCACCTGTGGTCCTAGCTACTTGGGAGGTTGAGACAAGAGGAACCCTTGAGCCCAGGAGTTTGAGGCTGCAGTGAGCTGTGATCATGCCACAGCCTCAGCAACAGAGTGAGATCCTATCTCAATTAAAAAAAAAAATCTTCTCACACCTGTAATCCCAGCACTTTGGGAGGCCAAGGTGGGAGGATGACTTGAGCCCAGGAGTTCGAGAGCAGCCTGGGCAATATGAAGAGATCCCATTCCTACAAAAATTTTGCAAATTAGGCATGTGTGGTGGTGTACACTTGCGGCCCTGGCTACTCCAAAGGCTGAGATGGAAGGATTGCTTGAGCTAGGGAAGGTGAGGCTGAAGTGAACTATGATTGCGCCACTGCACTCTAGCCTGGGTGACAGAGCAAGATCCTGTCTTAAAAAAAAAAAAGTCATAAGGAAGAGAAAATATATTTACTATTTATTAAGGGGAAGTGGATCATCATATAAGCCTTCATCCTCACTGTCTTCACATTGAGTAGGTTGAGGAGGAAGATAAAGAGTAGGGGCTGGTCTTGCTGTCTCAGAGGTGGCAGAGGCAGAAGAAAATTCATGTATAAGTTGACCCAGGCCATTCAAATCCATGTTGTTCAAGGGTCAACTGTATTTGAAAAACACAATGTCATTCCTCCATGGGTTATAAAGGTCACGTTAGCCCCGGTACTCCATCCAGACCACCATTCCACCTGAATTTACAACCTTCCTTCTTGGGAGGATCCTAATGTCAGTCTTTATGCACTCACTACTCCTCATGTCAGGAATTACACCCATGTTTGCCAGTCACGAAACCTGCATGTTGGTCATGGCCAAGGCTGGAAGGCCTGATGAATTGTAACATTTCCTCCAGATCCCAGACAAACCTCAGATGGGTTGCCCCAGACCTCATCACTGACCCATATCCTTCACATGATGGCAGCAGATACTATGCGCACACTTCACAGGAGTCCCTCGTTTACACCAGTCATGGTGTTCAGCAGGGAGATGCCTCACCCCTGTGACTACCCAGCCATTTGATTTCTGTCTATTGTCTGCAGTCTGTCTCCTGATTTGGAAGGAACAGTTGAGGCATTCTGACTCTGTATTTAACTGTTCTCTGCCACCGTCCGCTGATTGATGACTATACATAAAGTGTCAACTGGATACTCAATGGTACACATCTTCCTACTAACAACTCCCCTAGTGCTTTCATCTTGCCTTTTATAAGTCTGCATCCAACTTGTTACACTCTAACACCCCAACAGAACAACTATGGTTTCTGTATCTCCCTGCTTCTCTGCACCCACTTCCTCCACTAACATCCTAGCGGCCAGGCCATACAAGACAAACTATTTTCTGCTGGTCTTGACATTAAGGTAACCAGAGCCAGGCCATGTGGGAGATCATAAGCACAGGACACATCCAGCTCTCCTTTTAGCAAGCAACCCATTCATCTCCAACCCACTCAGAGAACAATGACATAGGCTTGTTGAGAATAAAAGAGGCCCTTAACCCCATGGCCCTCTGACACCAGCTGTCCCCACCTTGTCAATCCACCTCATCTTTCTGACAGCAAGGCCAATCCTGAATCGTTCATATGGTCCAGCAACTAAAGGGTTAATTGGGTGATTGGGGGAGGGGCTAAAGGAGCTGTTTTTCCACCTTGTCTCCTTCTACCTATGAGGAGGGGCTGCAGGAAGGGAAAGAAATTGACCTCCTCAACGACTTCCTTCCAGTTCACAGACAGAACTGTTTCAGTTCTGTTACCTAGGTCTCTTTTCTTCTCAGGGATGATATTTAAAAGATTAACAACCAGTGGCTGGGCGCCATGGCTCACTCCTGTAATCCCAGCACTTTGGGAGTCCTAGGCAGGTGGATCACCTGAGGTCAAGAGTTCAAGACCAGCCTGGGCAACATGGCAAAACCCCATCTCTACCAAAAAAAAAAAAAAAAAACTTATCCGGGTGTGGTGGTGTGCGCCTGTAGTCCCAGCTACTCAGGAGGCTGAGGTGGGATGATGGCCTGAGCCCAGCAGGTGGAGGTTGCAGTGAGCTGAGATCCTACCACTCACTGCACTCCTGCCTGGGCGATAGAGCCAGACTTTGTCTCAAAAATAAATAAATAAGCCGGGCACAGTGGCTCATCTTGTAATCCCAGCACTTCGGGAGGCAGAGGCAGGCGGATCACCTGAGGTCAGGAGTTCAACACAAGCCTGGTCAAGATGGTGAAACCCCATCTCTACTAAAAATACAAAAATTAGCCAGGCATGGTGGCACATGCCTGTAATCCCTGCTACTCAGGAGGCTGAGGCAGGAGAATCGCTTGAACCCGGGAGGCGGAGGCTGCAGTGAGCCAAGATCGCGCCACTGCACTACAGCCTGGGTGACAGAGTGAGACTCCATCTCAAAATAAATAAATAAATAAATAATTATAAATAAGGCTGGGCGCTGTGGCTCACACCTGTAATCCTAGCACTTGTGGGAGGCCGAGGTGGGCAGATCACCTGAGGTCAGGAGTTCGAGATCAGCCTGGCAGACATGACAAATCCTGGCTCTACTAAAAATGCAAAAATTAGCTGGGGATGGTGGCCTGTGTCTGTGGTCCCAATTACTGGGTGGCTGAGGCAGGAGAATCACTTGAACCCAGGAGGGGAGGCGGAGGTTGCAGTGAGCCGAGATCACACCACTGCCCTCCAGCCTGGGTGACAGAGGGAGGCTCCGTCTCAAAATAAATAAATAAATAAATGAAGGAATTCCTAATGCTAAATGCCACATAATCAAACTGAAATTTTATAGAAGTATGTGAATCCCCTAACAGACCAGTTTTTCCTGCAAACAGGAGATTCATAGCAACCATTCAGAAAGGGCCCAGTTAACCCCAGTCAGCATAAGGAAGGCCCCCTCTGCTTTAATCCTTAAAAGAAAAGTAACCTGATGTTAATCAATCTATTTTTGCTATTGTTTGGTTCTCTTGTTCCCACCTTTAAAAACCCACTGTTCTGCCACATGCTGTTAGTCTACTTTATAGAAGTTTTTACTATTTTGTACCTGCTTCTCCAACTCATAATGTTACACAGCCTCTCCAGGTTGTAGCCCAAGAAGCAGCCTGCTCTTTCTCGTTCTCTCTCTTTCTTCCTTCTCTCTTTCATTCCTTTTCTCTCTTTCTCACTTCCCTCCCTCCCTTCCTCCCTTCCTTCCTTGGGTCTCGCTCTGTCGCCCAAGCTGGAGTACACTGCCCCAATCATAGCTCACTGCAGCCTCGACCTCCCCGGCCCAAGCGATCCTTCCGCCTCTGCCTCCACAGTAGCTAGGACTACAGGCGTGCACCACCAAGCTCAGCTAATGCTCTTTCTGGTCTGAGTTTTGACCCTCATCCTAACCTGTTGTTCTTTGAGTACACTCTGGGCCTTGATGCGTTGGGTCATTCCTGCTTTCCCAGGTGGTAACCGTTCCTGGGCAGGGATTTTAGTTTTCCTTGGAATCTTGCCCTCCTCACTATCCTGCCCACAACCTTCTACCCCTAGCTTCTGGGATCTCAGCTAGGAGCCATGCTATCCCCAACTCTCCCTCTACAGGGACGTGGGACGGGAGAGCTTTTATGAAGCACAGTAGTGAAAAGACCAAAAGATTTGGATTCAGTGGCTATTCCAGTTACTGACTCTATTTCCTTGGGCAACTCAAATCAATGCATGGCAGCCAGTGTGTTATGAGCTACCGGAAGTATACAGAAAAGTACCAGAAAAAATACAAGCATTATCATCAGTCGCTGTCAATTAAATAACTCTGTTACATTTCAACAGTGTTCGTAACCACTTGACATTGATGTATTTGTGTAATTTCTATTATCTGTTTTTCCCACAAAGCTGTAGCTCCATCCAAAGTGGGCAACTGAGTGTCTTGGTCAGTCATGTGCAGCCTGATGACCCTTGAACAGTTGCAAAAGTGCGCCTAGGGCTTGTAGCATTTACTTAAAAGGGGATAATAAACTCTCACGGCCAGTGCTGGGCTTATTGCCTTGTTTGGGAATTTCTCCATTCAAGGGTTTTATGTTTGGGGATGTGCTGGCCCTATTTTTTTGTTTGTTTGTTTTTTGAGACGGAGTCTGGCTCTGTCTCCCAGGCTGGAGTGCAGTGGCACGATCTCGGCTCACTGCAACCTCCGCCTCCCAGGTTCAAACGATTCTCCTGCCTCAGCCGCCGAAGTAGCTGCGATTACAGGCGCCGCGCCACCACACCCAGCTACTTTTTTTTTATTTTTAGTAGACACGGGGTTTCACCGTGTTAGCCACCGATCTCCTGACCTCGTGATCCGCCCACCTCGGCTTCCCAAAGTTCTGGGATTACAGGCGTGAGCCACCGCGCCAGGCCGCTGGCTCTATTTTCACCGCTAGCTTTGGATCCCTTTCTTCCCTGAAGGAAAAGAGGCCTCCAGGGCAGCCGTGCAGAACCGATGGGAGGGATGTAGGATAATACGCCAAAGCCGATAGAGTTCTGGAGCGCGCCTGGGCATCAGAGCGTGGAAGACAAGTGTCCGCGGAAGGAGGCGAAGGATGCTGGACAAGCCCCGCCGCCCGCCGCCCGCCGCCCGCCGCCCGCCGCCCGCCGCCCGCCGCCAGCGGCCCTGGGCCCAGGGAGAAGCAGAGATGTTGGCCCTCCCAGTTTCCTAGAGAGGCCGCAGAGGGCCCGGGGAGGCGACGCGCGTGCGCAACTGGGGAAGCTGGGAGGTAGGCGCGGGGCGGTCGGCTGCGGTGGCGGCGTTTGGATGATTGTCTCTCGGCGGCGGAGTCGGTGAGCGGCCCGGCGGGGCGCGGGGTGCGGAGCGGGGGCGGCTGTGCGTGCGAGAGTGGCAGGTGAGGCCGGGCCTGGAGGCTGCACCCGGGGCGGGGGTCTGGCCGTGGATCCCGCCCGGCCGCGCCGAGGGCATACCTCTTCGCCCCCCGGGCGTCTGGGGCAGAGAATCTGGAAAATTCCCGGTTTCTTCTGGCTTTATCTTTTCACCCAATTATGCGAATAAAGCGTACTTATTAGAGACAATTAGATAAGTGGAAGAAAAGTGAAAGTAGCCACCGTCCGGAAATCTTAGTCTCCAGGTCTCCTGACATTGAAAACATCTGGCATAGACTTCTCCCTTTTTCTTGTCTTATTTCACTTCCTGGCACCTGTCGCCGTCTAACATAGCATGTATTTGTTTATTGGTTATCTTCCCATAAGCCCCTTGCCAGGGCAGTGCTTTCTGTTTGCTTTATTAACTGCTGTTACCTTAGTGTATGGGAAATAGTAGGTGCTCCTAGAAGGTGTTTGTTAAATTAATGAAAGAAGGAATATCTAAACTGGGAGACAAGAAGAATTGACAGTTTTTAATGTCTTTTTTTTTTTTTTAAATAGCCCATTGCCAAGTTAAGAATGTAAGAGTGACCTTGAGCCTGGAACATTTCCTTGCAGAGTTAGAGCCCTCACAGCCTGTGCTGCTGCATTTAATGCCTTGTGTCTTTCAGTGTTTCAGGCTTCATGTGTACTCCTTTGTTGTGTTTAATCTCTTAAGTCAGTGGCCTTCATTCATTCTCTCAGCCTTCTGTATTTCACACCCCATAGGAGTGGGGAGGGTGGATTGAGATCTTTCTTCCTTACTAAGTGGGGTGTGTGCATCACACCAGCCCTATAGCTGTGGAGTGGATCTGCTGGGTGTGGGGGCTCTTTGCATTGCAGGAGGCTGGATCTTGTTCCCTGTTTCTCCTTTTGCTGTAAGTATACGCTGTACCTCTTGGGGCCTGATGTGGTTGGTATCTGTCCTCAGCGACCTCAAATCATGTGCTATCCCTTCCTTGGATGGCCTTTTAATCTTGGCAGCACAGCCTGGCCACCTGGTGAATAGTGGAACAGTCATGGTGATGCATAAGGATCTAGTATGTTCCTTTTAGGTGCTGTATGGTATTTCATCCTATAAAAATGCTACTTTTATTTAGCCATATTGATGGACAAGTAGGTTAAATCCAGTATTATGTTATTACAGAGAATATTTTAGTAAATACCTGTGTAAATGTCTGAATACCCGTGCAAGTGTTTTTCAGGGCAGATTCTTACAAGTTAAATTCCTGTAGCGTAAGGAATATGTCTTTTTAGTTTTACTGTGGACTTTCAAACTATCCTTCCTGTTGGCTATTACATTTCCACATCTATTAGTGGTTTGTGTTTGGTGTTTTTTTCTTTTGCTTTTCTTTTGGACAGAGATTTTTTTCATATTGATGTATTCAAATATATTCACTCTTTTCATTTTGTTGTCTTAAGAAATTCTTGGTTACACCAGGGTTCTTAGAGTCTTTATGGTTTTTTTCTTTTTTTTTTTTGAGACAGAGTCTCACTCTGTGTCACCCAGGCTGGAGTGCAGTGGCACAATCTTGGATCACTGCAGCCTCTGCCTCCTGGGTTCAAGCAATTCTCTGCCTCAGCCTCCCGAGTATCTGAGATTACAGGCGCCTGCCACCACATCTGGCTTTTTTTTTTTTTAAAGTAGAGATGGGATTTCACCATCTTGGTTAGGTTGGTCTTGAACTCCTGACCTTGTGATCCACCCACCTTGGCCTCCCAAAGAGCTGGGATTACAGGCGTGAGCCACCGCACCCAGCCTTTTAGCTTTGTTTTTTAAGTTTCTTTATTTTTTGTGTGATTTTACTTACTATTTTTATTTGCCTAGCCAATTGTCCCAACACAATTCATTGACTAGTTTAATTTTTCCCACTGACTTGTAATGCTACTGTTACCAACTCTCAAGGGAAGTCGTTTGACTTCAGTGGGTCCTTTACCTGCCTGGTGGTGTTCATGCCAATAAAATGAGACCAAGTTTCGTTAAGCAGTGCAGAAACTTTATTTGTTGATGAAGGAATGGAGAAGGAAAAGCTCATGCTCAAAGTACCCTCCTCTGGGTGTGGTGAAGAGGGATTTTTAAGGTCTCTTAGGGCATGTAGTGGGGCAGAGATCCTGGAAAGAGGTGGGGCCCTATGGGAAGAACTGGAGTGTGCTCAGTCTCATTCTTTTTTCTTTCTTTCTTTCTTTTTTTTTCTTTTGCGATGGAGTTTTGCTCTTGTTGCCCAGGCTGGAGTGCAATGGCTTGATCTTGGCTCACCGCAACCTCCGCCTCCCAGGTTCAAGCAGTTCTCCTGTCTCAGCCCCCCAAATAGCTGGGATTACAGGCATGTACCACATGCCTGGCTAATTTAGTATTTTTAATAGAGACGGGGTTTCTCCATGTTGGTCAGGAGGGTCTTGAACTCCTGACCTCAGGTGATCCACCCGCCTTGGCCTCCCAAAGTGCTGGGATTACAGACGTGAGCCACCGCGCCTGGCCAGTCTCATTGTTTCTTTTGTACCCAGCACTATATGTGCCTAGCAAGTGTATTTCTCCCTTCTAGGTGGAGATTTTAATATGGTAATGAAGCAAGGATTCAGGCCTGGGTAGCACTGCTGAGCTAAGTTCTCCTTTGTGGTTACTGATATTTAGCCTTTTTCTCTCTAAGCAAGCACAGCTGCTGGCACAGGTTAATTTTACAGGTTCTGGGGCTCTTTTTAAAAGAAGGTCTTGCTGCTATAAGTAGACAGAGAGGGCCTCCAGGGATCATAGGAATTTAATCAACTTGAGCAGTCAGCCAGTTTTACAGCCTTCTGCCCTGCAGCCTGTTTCTTCCTAAACCCTGTGTGGATTGCAGTCACCTAGTTAGTTAAAACCAGCCCCAGGCCGGGCGTGGTGGCTCACACCTGTAATCCCAGCACTTTGGGAGGCTGAGGCGGGTGGATCACAAGGTCAGGAGATTGAGACCATCCTTGCTAACACGGTGAAACCCTGTCTCTACTAAAAATACAAAAAAATTAGCCGGGCGTGGTGGCAGGCGCCTGTAGTCTCAGCTACTCAGGAGGCTGAGGCAGGAGAATAGTGTGAACCTGGGAGGCAGAGCTTGCAGTGAGCCGAGATTGCGCCACTGCACTCCAGCCTGGGCGACAGAGTGAGACTCTCTCTCAAAAAAACAAAAACAAAAACAAAAAAAAACCCCAGCTCCTGACAGACCCCAGCAACTTATAGATGAACCTGAGTGAACTTTTCTCATTACCATGCTAAAGTCTCCACCCGGGGAGTAGCTATAGCTTCATTACCATAACACATGACTTATGTGCTGGCATAATGACTCACTGCGTCTGTACCACTGGGACCCCTCCTATACATGGGATGATGTAGCCTCTCGCCTCTCCATTGCTCCATAAAATTCTCCTATTACTTTCCCTTGGAGAGATGCTGCTTTGGAAAATACTCCCAGTGTCCTCCTTACTTACACCAAGTAATAAAACTCCTATTGATCTAAACTTGCATTCTCACAAACAGTCGTTTGTTACTCGCCAGGTGAATGAACCTCATTTTTTTTTTTTAGGTAACACTGTGGTGACACTATCTCTGTCATGCATCAAACTTATAAAATTGGCTGGGCATGGTGGTGCATGCCTGTAATCCCAGCTACTTGGAAGGCTGAGGCTGGAGAATCACTTGAATCCAGGAGACGGAGGTTGCAGTGAGCAGAGATTGCACCACTGCACTCCAGACTGGGCAACACGGCAAGACTCCGTCTCCATAGAAACAAAAAAACAAAACTTACATATGTGTATAAGCCTGTGTCAGGATTCTGTACTTTTCCTTTTATCTACAGTTTGCATATTTATATTTCTTCAGTAATATATGCTGTTTCAAGTACTACAGCTTTATATTAAGCCTTATTGTCTGGTAGAACAAAACTTTCCACATCTAAAAAGTTTTCTTAACTATTATTTTTCTCATTCATTTGAATTTTAGAGTATGCTTATCAAGCTCTATGAAAAATTACATTGTAGTTGGCTGGGATTTTGTTGACTTTGCATGTTAATTTAGAAAAAACTGACATCTTGAAGGAGTGTTTTCCCATACAAAATGTATTTATATCTGTTATGTCTTTAGGCAGAGTTTTCTATTTATCCACTAAGGTCTTGTACATTTTTTATTGGCTTTATTTCTGAGTACTTTATATTTTTGTTGCTATTGTTTTAATTCATTTTCTGATTGGTTGCTATTGTGTTGGAAAGTTATTGAGTATATATTGATTATATATTCAATCTCCTGAATGTCTTATGACGTTCTGTTTTTTTGGTTCATTCTGTTTAATTTTTTAGGTGATGTTTCATATCATTCATGCGTATATTTGCTTTGCATCTTTCTTGTCTATTTTCTGCATTTTTTTTTCTGGTCTAATTACATTGTCTAGGATTACAATGTTTGTTCCTATTTTTAATTGCAAAGGTTTTTATGTCTTTACCATTTAGTGTCACGTCTGTTGGAGATTTCTTTCGTCTATTCTGCATGTCAGTTTAAGGATGTCTCTATTCCTGGATTGTTAAGAGTGTGCACAAAAAGAAGATATAGTTATTTAATTTTAAGAGAATACCAATACTGTAAATAGCTTTATGCCAATAAATATGAAAAGCTGGATGAATACTTGGATTGTTTCTTCCTTTTTACTATTATGTGTAATGCTGCTATGAACATTTGTGTATGAGTTTTTGTATGGACATCTATTTTCTTTTATCTTGGGTGTATATATATATAGGAGTAGAATTGCTAGGTCAATTAGTAAATGTATGTTTAACTTCGTGAGGAACTGTCAGACTGTTTTCATAAGTGTATGCATCAATTTACATTTCCACCAGCAGTGGATAAAGTTTCAATATCTCCACATTCTCACTGATTTTTTATTTATTTTTTTGAGACAGAGTCTTGCTCTGTCCCCCAGGCTGGAATGCAGTGGTGTGATCTTGGCTTACTGTAGCCTCGACCTTCCAGGCCCAGGCCATCTTCCCACATCAGCCTCCTGGGTAGCTGGGACCACAGGTGCATGCCACCAGGCCCAGTTAATTTTTTGTATTTTTTGTAGAGAGAGGATTTTGCCATGTTGCCCAGGCTGGCCTTGAACTCCTGGACTCAAGCAATCCACTCACCTTGGCCTCCCATGATTGCTTGTTATTATCGGATTTTTGTTCTAGCCACCTTACTGGGTGTGAAGTACTATCTTATTGTTCGGTTAATCTGCATTCCCTGATGACTATCCTGTGTACTTATTAGACATTTTAATATTTTCTTTGGAGAAATGTCAATTCAGACCCTTTGGCCATTTTCATTTTTATTTTTGAGATGGAGTCTCATTCTGTCACTCAGGCTGGAGTGTAGTGGCGCAATCTCAGCTCCCTGCAACCTCTGCCTCCTGGGTTCAAATAATTCTACTGCCTCAGCCTCCTGAGTAGCTGGGATTACAGGTGCCTGCCACCATGCCCAGCTAATTTTTGTATTTTTAGTAGAGACGAGGTTTCGCCATGTTGGCCTGGCTGGTCTCAAACTCCTGACCTCAGGTGATCTGCCTGCCTCAGCCTCCCAAAGTGCTGGGATTATAGGCGTGAACCACTGTGCCCTGGCCCTATTTTAAAATTTGTTATTTTTTTCTTTTTATTATTGAGTTGTAATATATAAAGAATATAAATATATATTCTCTCTATATAAAGAATATATATATATTAAAGAATATAAATATATTATTTATATATTCCAGATACAAGTCTTTATCAGATACATGATTTGCCAGTGTTTTCTTCCAGTCTGTGGATGGCTTTTCACTTTCTTCTTCTTTTCTTTTATGCACAAGAGGTTTTCCTTTTGGTAAAGTCCAATTTATTTATTTTTTATTATTTTTTCCTTGTTTTAATATGATTTTGGTGTTTACAAATCCGTTGTCATAAAGGTATAAGTCACAAAGACTTCTACACAGGTTTCTTGTAAGAGTTTTAGAGTTTTAGTTCTTTTTTTTTTTTTTTTTTTTTTTTTTTTTGGACTTAGAGTCTCGCTTTCTTACCCAGGCTGGAGTTCAATGGCGCGATCTCGGCTCACTGCAATCTCTGCCTCCCACATTCAAGCAATTTTCCTGCTTCAGCCTCCCAAGTAGCTGGGATTACAAGAGCCCACCACCATGCCCAGCTAATTTTTTCTATTTTTAATAGAGACGGGGCTTTGCCATGTTGGCCAGGCTGGTCTCAAATTCCTGACCACAGGTGATTCACCCACCTCGGCCTTCCAGAGTGCTGGGATTACAGGCATGAGCCACTGCACCCAGCAAGTTTTAGTTCTTATATGTAGGTCTTTGATTTTTTAGAAGTTATTTTTATAGATGGAGTGAGGTAGAGCACCATCTTCATTATTTTGCAGGTGCATATCCAGTTGTCTCAGCACCATTCATTGAAAAGATCATTCTTTCCACTTTGAATGATCTTGGCACCATTGTAAAATAATGACTAAAGATATATAGTTTATTTCTGGACTCTTAATTCTAATCCATTGAACTGTATGTCTATTCTTATGACAGGAATACAATAAATTGAAGACTGTTGTTCTGTAGGAAGTTTTGAAATTGAGAAGTTTGAGTCCTTCAACTTTATTCCTCTTTTTCAAGAAGAATTGTGACTGTATGGTTCTCTTGAGTTTCCACATAAATTTTAGGATCAACTTTCGACTTCTAAAAAGATGCCCCCTGGGAATCTGATAGGGATTGTGTTGAACCTGTAGATAAGTTTTGGGAGTATCCATGGGACTTGTGTTTGAAGAAAAGAGAGGAATTAAAATGTTTTGGCCAGTGTGTGAATTCATTGACATAACTTGGGAAATCCAGAGAGGAAGGTAGTAAGAACATGCATTTTAGACACTGAACTTGAGGTGTTGCAGGACACCCAAGTGCAATGTCCCATAGGCAACAGGAGGCATGTGGTAGGGGTCTAGGAGAGAAGTAAGAACTGTGAGAGCAGTATTAAAGCAATGAGAGTTGGTCAGATTGCTGACGGAAAAAACAAGGAAGCACTGGGGCCTGAGTTGCAAGGAGTGTCCATAATGAGAGGGCAGGAGCAGACATGAGGAACCACAACTGTGTGGGGAAAATCAGGGCTGGCTGGTGCTAGGGAAGCCATGGGAGAGAGAGTGGCCAGAATAGCTTCCTTGAAAAAGGTTGAAGAGAGTGAGGGCTTGGAGGAACACCCAGTTCTCAGCTTGATCCGGGACCTTGTACTGTACCCTCCAGGGAAAATTCACACCACTCTTGGGATAATGCCTTATGGAAGAGGTTAAGAGTCAGTGTGTGTGGAGGTGCCTGGGTTCTCTTGAATCCACTTATTGGGAATATAGATCTTATGGGAGCCAGAAGCAGGGCTTGTCCCACTCATAGCTTTCTTTCCTCCCTCAGCTCAATGTACTTCTCCAGTTCCTACCCTTCCTCAAGTGGGGAACTCAGGAGACCAAGCAGGGGCAACTGTACTTCGGATGGTCAGGCCCCAGGTGAGCTTGGTTCTTTGTGTTTTTACCAAGTCCCCATGAGTCTGGTCCAAGAATGGCTAGAGGTCTCACCCCCAGGACTCTGCCCCATCTAAGACTATTCCTGTGGCTCTCCTGCCTCATTGCTTCCCCTGGAGGTAATGGACTCTATCTTGCACTGGACTTTCGAGGTGTTATCTCAGCTCCTCTCTCCCATACTTTTGCCCACGAAGAGGCCATACCCTGTGCCCTCTGTACCCTTGATGACTCTGCCCTTCAGGGTGTGAATGTTCCTGAGCAATCGGAGCTTGTCATTCCAGGATACTGTGGCGTATGAGGACCTGTCTGAGGACTATACTCAGAAGAAATGGAAAGGTCTCGCACTCAGTCAGAGAGCCCTGCACTGGAACATGATGCTGGAAAATGACCGTAGCATGGCTTCTTTGGGTAATGATTCTGTTTCCTAGTCACTTAGAGTCTGCATGCTGCCATTCTCTTTTTTATATTCCTTTTCTTTTTAAACTTTTTACTACGAAAATTTCCAAACGGAGATAAGCTAGAGTGAATAAGAGTCAGTGTGTATGGAGCTGCCTGGGTCCTCTTGAATAGGACCTTCTCTGCATTCAGCTTGAACAATGATCAGCATTCTCTTCACCTCATTATTGATTGACATAAGGTGGTTTAGGTAGAGTTTTTTTAGTTGTAAGGAATAGAGAGCCACTCAAGTTATTGTAAGTAAGGAGCTGTGAGTCATAGGCTTAAAGGAATGAGAACCCAGAAGAAACTGATCGCTAGACCAGACTGTGGGAAGTAGGGCCTTGACTCAGGGCAGCCTGGGAGCCTGAACAGCAAAAGCAAATGCATGTTGATGCCTGTGTTCTGGTGTGAATGTAATGCAGCTGCTCGCAGTGTATCTGTTTTCTCTCTGCTTGTACTCCTCCTGCTGCCCATTTTCTTCACTGTGAATCTTTTGTCCTTTTCGTAGCTCTTTCCTAATTGTACTTCCTGTTCCCTTATATTTGTTGCTTGCTGTGTCTCCTAATGGCTTGGCTTCTCTCCATGTATCACTTCAGATTCCATTACCACTCGTAATTTTGCCCTACTTCCAGTTCCGAATTTCCTTAGAGACAGATTCCCATTGCTATAGCCATTACTCATCATCTCGGTTGGGCAGAGCTTTGGCCCAGGCCATGGCAGAGGCTGAAGACTAACCTACAGATAAGCTGCCCTTGGGTCTGGTACCTGGTACTGGTCCAATCACTTGCAGTCCATCATGGGATGATGTTCAGGATCACTTGCCACAGAGCATGGTTGCCTAAGTGTTGCTCTCTGCAAAGACTGGGGCAGTGCAGTTTCCTGGAAGGGCTTCTTGGCAGTGCAGGTGCTATGATTGATGCATATAGGGCAGTAGCCAACTCTGGAAAGGGTGGGCTTAGGAATCTTTCACCCAGACATCTTAAACTTTCCATAGGCTAACTGACATGATGGCTGTAGCCCCAATTCAGATGTGATTGAAAGGAACCCACATTTTGGTGTTTTTCCATGGCCATGATTACTCTGCCTTCTCCCAGATTTTGTATTCAGAATTCCAAAAGGCAAATATTTACCTGATCATTTCCTTTATATTCTAGATAATCAAAGGCATTTTAATTTATATTTCAAATGATTGATGTCCCTGTTATCTTTTCTGGGAGTGCACAACTGGCTCCTACCGGGCCAGTGCTCTGAGGGCCAGTGGCATCCCCACTTTTAGAACTCTGCTGTCTCCTTCAATACTGCTGTCCAGCTTTTCTCAACTGATAGCTTCTCCAAATCTTGTTACTGTCCTGTCATACAACATCTCTCCTTTTTGTACGCTTTCCTAATCATACACTCATAGTAGAAATTTCTCAACTCATTCCCATCTTTTCCTTGTCTCTTTCTTATATTTGACTTGAGGTATTTGCCAGCCTTCCCTCTCCCAACATCTTTTCTGAGAACCATGGAACCATATAATGTCATGGTTGGAAGGGAACTCAAAGTTTACCATTTTGCTAAAGAGACATAGTGTGAGAGTGACTTATATAAGATCACAGCATGCTTTGCAATCCAGTCTCTTGCTTTCCAGTGACCCTTCTGACTTGGCTGTGCTGGCTCAATATCTTTTTTCCACCCTCCTCCACTGACCGTCTTCTTCTTCCTTGTTTTTCTATCCCTAAGATACAATTGAGCATTTTGCTCTTGTTCTCAATGTGTCATCTCATTTCTTAACCATAATGTGACTTTTTTTCAGGTACATTAGCTCTTTATGATTCTGTTTCTTCAACAGGAAAAGAAATGAGTAAAAGTTGTTGTCTTATTTTTTTTGGCAGCAGGTAGGAACATGATGGAGAGTTCAGAGCTGACTCCGAAGCAGGAAATTTTTAAAGGATCAGAGTCATCTAATAGCACATCAGGGGGACTCTTTGGGGTGGTTCCTGGGGGAACAGAGACTGGAGATGTTTGTGAAGATACCTTCAAAGAGTTAGAAGGACAACCCTCAAATGAAGAAGGGAGCAGACTAGAAAGTGATTTCTTGGAAATAATAGATGAGGATAAGAAAAAATCCACAAAAGACAGATATGAGGAATATAAGGAAGTTGAGGAACATCCACCTCTGTCTTCCAGTCCTGTTGAACATGAAGGAGTTTTAAAGGGACAGAAATCCTATCGATGTGATGAATGTGGCAAAGCTTTTTATTGGAGTTCGCACCTCATTGGTCATCGGAGAATCCACACTGGAGAGAAACCCTATGAGTGTAATGAGTGTGGGAAGACCTTCAGGCAAACCTCCCAGCTCATTGTTCATCTCAGAACCCACACAGGGGAAAAGCCCTATGAATGCAGTGAGTGTGGAAAGGCCTATAGGCACAGCTCCCATCTCATTCAACACCAGAGACTCCATAATGGGGAGAAACCCTATAAATGTAATGAATGTGCAAAAGCTTTTAATCAGAGCTCCAAACTCTTCGACCACCAGAGAACCCATACTGGGGAGAAACCTTATGAATGTAAGGAGTGTGGGGCGGCCTTTAGTCGGAGTAAAAATCTTGTTCGACATCAGTTTCTGCACACTGGTAAGAAACCTTATAAGTGTAATGAATGTGGGAGAGCATTCTGTTCCAATAGAAATCTCATTGACCATCAGAGAACCCACACTGGGGAGAAGCCTTATAAATGTAATGAATGTGGCAAAGCCTTCAGTCGGAGTAAATGTCTTATTCGACATCAGAGCCTCCACACTGGGGAAAAGCCATACAAATGTAGTGAATGTGGGAAAGCCTTCAATCAGATCTCTCAACTTGTTGAACATGAGCGAATTCATACTGGAGAAAAACCATTTAAGTGTAGTGAGTGTGGTAAGGCATTCGGTCTGAGTAAATGTCTTATTCGGCACCAGAGGCTTCACACAAGTGAAAAGCCCTATAAATGCAATGAGTGTGGAAAATCCTTCAATCAAAACTCATACCTCATTATACACCAGAGAATTCACACTGGTGAGAAACCCTATGAATGTAATGAGTGTGGGAAGGTCTTCAGTTATAATTCTAGTCTTATGGTACATCAGAGAACCCATACTGGGGAAAAACCCTATAAATGCAATAGTTGTGGGAAAGCCTTTAGTGACAGCTCACAGCTTACTGTGCACCAGAGAGTCCACACTGGAGAGAAAAACCTTATGAATGTATTGAGTGTGGGAAAGCCTTTAGTCAGCGTTCCACTTTTAATCACCACCAGCGAACTCATGCTGGAGAGAAGCCCTCAGGTCTGGCTCGGTCATCTTCTTAAGGCATGGTTTTCTGAGACAGACAGCAAAGACCTTTGAGTTAAGCTGTCTTTATAAGAAGGATGTTCATCATGGTCTCCTTGGAGACCACTAATCACAGTGGAGACCATACCTACTTGCTTTTCCTTGGGTCACTAAGGTGGGAGAGTAGGTGCAACTTAGTCTGATCCTTACTTAGTAGGAAATTGGGGATTACATCTGTCATTAACTTGTAGGTTCCCTTCTTTCTCTTAAAAAACTATTTAAAACTCTATCTTGTTAGTATGCATTCCATAATCAGATTCTGCATTTCTCAAGAACAGCAGTTATATTACCTTTATTCTATTGCAGTTCCTCCACTGAACCATTTACGTGAAGTCACTTTTTAAGTCATTCTGCAAGATTATTCTTCCCTGCTCCTTGGCTATCTCCTTCCACAGCTACTTTAAAAATTTGTACTGTAAGCTACATCCTCTCATCATTTTTGTGTTTTCTAGCTAGAAAACTTTTTCTTCCTGTTTGCTAATCACTTCCTTCACAATGTTCAAGATTTATGCCATTTCTGAAAGACTTTCTTCTTCAAATAGTTTTTCGTTTCTTTTATACCTCTATTGATTTGGCCTTAATGCTTTAAATTAGCTGGTGCTACGATGTGTAACTGTTAAATGTTTTTGTAAATTGTTCTTAACTTACAAGGTGATATGTGTATCACATATGTACAAAGTATACACATATATAGTTGTGTATGTGTATACTTTCTTTTTTTTTTTTTTTTTTTTTGAGACAGAGTCTCAGTCTCCCTCTTGTTGCCCAGGCTAGAGTGCAATGGTGCAATCTTGGCTCACCACAACCTCTGCTTCTCGGGTTCAAGCGATTCTCCTGCCTCAGCCTCCCGAGTAGCTGGGATTACAGGCATGTGCCACCATGCCTGGCTAATTTTTTTTTTTGTATTTTTAGTAGAGATGGGGTTTCTCTATGTTGGTCAGGCTGGTCTTGAACTCCCAATCTCAGGTGATCCGCCCGCCTCAGCCTCCCAAAGTGCTGGGATTACAGGTGTGAGCCACTGCACCCAGCCTCAAATGTGTATACTTTCATACCAGCTTGTAAGCTTCTGAGATCAGGTATGGTATCTATTTCTTTATATGCATAATAGTTTGAATATGCTAGTTCTTAAGTTTTAAAATTCAAATTGAGCCATCATAAACGTGGGCACAGGCTCCCGTCTCCCTCCCATTACACTGGACTAGAAGCTTCTAAAGAAGGAAGTGGCATCGTAATATATCACATATAAAGGCTCACTGATATCTTCTACTTGTAGCCCTGGAAGTCTTACTACTGGTACTTCAGCCTTGAAGAGCTAATGGATTTGTGTGTGAATGAGTGTCTGTTTATCTAGGTATTGGGTTGGGCAGTCATATCCTACTGATAACATGCTTTGAGCTGCACACTTACTCCATTTCTGAACTATTTGACTGCATCCTGCTTCCTAAATAAAAGTTATAGTCGGCCAGGCTCAGTGGCTCACGCCTGTAATCCCAGCACTTTGGGAGGCCGAGGTGGGCAGATCACTTGATGTCAGGAGTTCGAGACCAGCCTGGCCAACATGGTGAAACCCCATCTCTACTAAAATACAAAAATTAGCCGAGTATGGTGGTGTGCACCTGTAATCCCAGCTACTTGGGAGGCTGAGGCAGGAGAATTGCTTGCACCTGGGCAGAGGTTGTAATGAGCTGAGATTGTGCCACTGCACCCCAGCCTGGGTGACAGAGTGAGACTACATCTCAAAAACAACAAACAAAAAAAACCTTACAGTCAAAATTTACTGCAAGAAGACTTGACTTTCATGGCTGTAATATAGATGATTGAAAATTTCAGCTAGCAGCATTCCTGGATGATTGGAATTCAGAGTGATGAGGTTTTTGGTAAAATAGTAGTATCAAACTAATCTGTTTTCCTTATCAGCTAGTCCTTTCTCACTACAACTGCTGTCTTAATTTCAAGATGAGAACTGTGCCTTAATTATCTTCCAGACCACCTTTCCTTCTGCAGTCATATGTCAGTCCATGAGCTTGAACCACCTTTCCTTCCACCCTTGCAATAATGGCCCAGTGCCGGTGGACCTTTTACTCTAATGTTCACCCTGTTCTCTTTCCATCCCCAGACTTTTTTTTTTTTTTTTTGAGACGGAGTCTTGCTCTGTCGCCCAGGCTGGAGTGCAGTGGTACGATCTCAGCTCACTGCAAGCTCTGCCTCCCAGGTTCATGCCATTCTCCTGCCTCAGCCTCCCGAGTAGCTGGGAGTACAGGCGCCCGCCACCAGGCCCGGCTAATTTTTTTTGTATTTTTAGTAGAGATGGGGTTTCACCGTGTTAGCCAGGATGGTCTCGATCTCCTGACCTCGTGATCTGCCTGCCTCGGCCTCCCAAAGTGCTGGGATTACAGGCATGAGCCACCACGCCTGGCCTCCATCCCCCAGATTTCTTAACAGGCTGACAGGATCCGCAGTATGACAAAGGTGGAGGAGGAGGCTAGAGGGGCAATGTCAGTCATGTAACCTGGAGGGGTGATTTTGTGCACTGTGGTGTATGTTTCAGACAATGCAGGAGAAAGGAAAGAGAGTTGAGGATCAAGAAAATTAGAATTAAATGTGATTGTTGGGGAGATGTCTCAGACAAAGTTAGAAAGGATTACTGGGGGCCTAAAGTTTTTCAGGGCCTTTTGAAATTTCTAAACTTGTCTGGGCACAGTGGCTCATGCCTGTAATCCCAGCACTTTGGGAGGCTGAGGCGGTCAGATCACCTGAGTCCAGGAGTTTGAGACCAGCCTGGCCAACATTGTAAAACCCCGTTTCTACTAAAAATACAAAAATTAGCTGGGTGTGGTGGTGCACGCCTGTAATCCCAGCTATTCAGGAGTCTGAGGCAAGAGAATCACTTGAACCTGGAGGGCAGAGATTGCAGTGAGCCAAGATCACACCACTGTACTGCAGCCTGGGCAACAGAGCGAGACTCTGTCTCAATAACAACAACAAAACAACAAACCGGAGCTCATGACACGGCTGGAATTTTACCATTTGTGAATATGTATTTTAAATGTTTTCAGCTTGTTTTTTTGTATTTTTTTCCATTTTCTTTTAAAAGATATGCAGATAGGACTTTTTCCTCTTTAACTGTCTTATTTTGGGAGCCCCCAGATTTCAGGGAAGAGCCCCACACTATATGAGCACATGAGTTGGACATTTCTGGTTCCCCGCCCTGAGTTGGACATTGCCAGTCATGTCTGCAGAAGAACCATCCTGCCTGTTGGAAGCTGCAGTTTTACCTTCTGGTTCTTGCCTGCTCATCCCCTACCATACTAAGCCTCCAGAGTGTGGGAATGTGCACCATTTCCTAACTATATTAACTCACTGCCACCAGTCTGGTGTGGGTGCTCAGTACAAGTGAATCCTGAAAAAGCCTCAGGCTCTTGGATGGAGGAAAACTGGCTGCATTTGAAAGCCATACTTCAATTTCTATTGGTCACTGCTAGTATAAACTTTAATTATTGATTTAAACAAATTTTATCTGGATCCAATTATGTTGATAAATTATTTTTAGGTTTAATAATTTGTTAGATTCATTTCCTAGCTTTTCTAGGTTTAGAATAAATAATGATTTATTTGTCTTTTGATGTCACTTATGTTGTGCATTAGCAAGAACTTCAGAAAACATGGAACAGTAGATGTCTTTCTCTTAACGCTTGGGGGAATGTTTTTAGTATTCTGCAGTTTCATATCGTGTTCATTGTTGGATTCTGATGTTCTGTTAGATTTAGGAAGTTTCCTTCTAATCTTATTTCTAGAAGAAGCAGTGTAGTTTAGTGGTTAAGAGCACAGATTTTGTTCCCAGTGCCCTAGGTTCAAATCCTGAGTCCACCACTTTGTTAGGTGTGTGATCCTGGGCAAATCACTTACCTTCCTTGTATCTTATTCCTCCATCTATAAAATGGAGCTACCTCATAGGGTTGTGAAGAATACATTATTGTAACAATACTGGGCACACAGTGCACAGTTTCCCAATTATTATTATACTTACAGTTTTGTTTTCTGTTTTTTTTTTTGACAAGGTCTCCCTCTGTTGCTCAGGCTGGAGTGTAGTGATGTGACCATAGGTCACCTCAGCCTTGAACTCCTGGGCTCAAGAGATGCTCCTGCCTCAACCTCCCCTATAGTTAGGAATACAGGCATGTGCCACCATGCCCGACTAAGTTTTTATTTTTATTTTTTGTAAACATGGGGTTTCACTATTTTGCTCAGGCTGGTCTTGCGGTCCTGGCCTCAAGCGATCATCCTGCCTCAGCTTCTCTAAGTGCTGGGAATACAGGTGTGAGCCACCATGCCTGGCCTATACTTAAAAAGTTTTTATTAGGATTGGTTGCTATATTATATCAAGTTTAAAAACTCCATCATTGTAATTTTATGAGTTATGGTTTTTTCTTTTTGTAATTCATTTTCTTGACAAGTTTGCAAATATTTGCAATTTCCTTGTACTTTTCAAGTAAAATCTATTTGTTCATAGTGAATTTTTATTAAGTACAGAAGTAGATTCAATTTGGTAATGCTTTGCTAGCTTTGCAAAAGAATTTGGAAAAAATTTTGTTTATCTTATTGCTATGGAGAGTTTGTATAACATGGGAATTGTTCCTTGAAGGCTTGCTAAAAGTAACTGGGCCTGGTTCTTTGGGTGAGGGGATTGGGAGGGATATATCTTTAGCAACTGTTTTAGTCAGTTTGAGCTATTATAACAAAATACCATAGAGGATGGCTTAAACAACAGACATTTATTTCTCACAGTTCTGTAGTCTTCATAATTCAACATCAAGATGCCAGAATGGTTGAGTGCTGGTGAGGGCTCTCTTCCTGGTTTGCAGATGGCCCCCTTTTTCCTGTGTCCTCAAATTTCAGAGAGCAAGAGCACTGGTGCCTCTTCCAAGTCTTTTAAGGGCGTTAGTGAGAGTGACAGCCCCATTCTCATGACCTACTCCAATCCTAGTTATTTTCCAAAGGCCCCCCACCCCCAAATATAACATTTGGGGTTAGGGCTTCAACATAAATATTCATTCTATAACATTCCACTCCTAGCCACTCTATTCATATCCTTACATACAAAATAAGTTCATTCCATCCTAACAGCCTCCAAAGTTTTAACTCATTCTAGTATCAACTAACATTTAAAGTCCAAAGTCTCATCTAAATATCTAAATATCTAAATAAAGGCCGGGCATGGTGGCTCACGCCTGTAATCCCAGCACTTTGGGAGGCCGAGGCGGGTGGATCACTACGTCAGGAGTTCGAGACCAGCCTGACCAACATGGTGAAACCCCATCTCTACTAAAAATACAAAAATTAGCTGGGCGTGATGGTGTGCACCTGTAATCCCAGCTACACGGGGAGGCTGAGGCAGGAGAATCGCTTGAACCCGAGAGACAGAGGTTGCAGTGAGCCGAGATCGCACCATTGCACTCCAGCCTGGGCGACAGTGAGACTTTGTCTCAAAAATATCTAAATCAGATATGGGTGAGACCCAAGGTTTAGCTTATCCTGAGGCAAAATTCCCCTCCAGCTGTGAACCTATGAAACCAGACAAGTTATGTGCTTCCAAAATACAGTGATGGGATAGGCAGGATTAGGTATTCCAATTCCAAAAGTGAGAAATTGGAAGGAAGAAAGGGATGATGAGGCTGGGTGTGATAGCTCATGCCTTTAATCCTAGCACTTTGGGAGGCTGAGGTGGGAGGATTGCTTGAGTCCAGGAGTTCGAGACCAGCCTGGGCAACATAGGGAGACCTTATTTCTACAAAAATAATAAAAATAATTAGTTGGGCATGGTGGCTTGAGCATGGGAGTTCGAGGCTACAGTGAGTTGTGATCGTACTGCACTCCAGCCTGGATGACAGAGTGAAACCCTATCAATAAAAAATAAAAAAGGATGGGGGAGCAGGGGGATGATGGTCCTATGCAAGTCTAAAACTTAGCAAGGCACGTTTCATGAGATCTTAGGCTCATGAATAATCCTCTTTGGTCCTATACTGTCCTCTCCAGGACCCCCTGGGCGGTGGTCCTGACCCGATAGATCTGCCAGGCAGGGGTGACTCCCCCGTGGCTTTTGTTGGAGACCATCTGGCCTGTGGAAACTGGGGCAGTATCCCTCATGATCTCTAAATAGCCAAGAGAAGAGTCATTCTTGTATGGAACAATGGACATTCACAGCCTTCCTCATTCCTGGCTTTAGGACTTCAGATACAATCATGTCAGAGCTCAGGGCTTCAACATATGAATTTTGGGGGCACAGTTCAGTCCATAGCAATACTTCCATTCCCCTGACCTGCAACATGTCCAGTTACTTCGAAAAGTACTTGTCATCCACTATATTAATAACATGCTCATTGCCAGCCTATGAAACAAGTTGACCACTCCATACATAAGGTCATAGATAATATGACACATGCAGGTTGAGTTGTCAGCCCTGATAAGATCCCAAGACTTGCCCAACAAGTGCAGTCCCTGGAGCTACCTGGTCCAGTAATTAGAGGAGTATTCCTGATAAAGTCAAATATTGTCCTTGGCAGCCCCCACCTAAAAGAAGCTCAATAGCTGGTATGCCTGTTTGTCTATTGGAGATAACATGTATCACATCTGAGTATTATTTTGCCTCCTTTAGTTAAAATTACCCACAACACAGCCACCTCTGAATGGGGCCCTCAACAACAGCAGACTCGAGAGGCCTACTATGCATTAACATGGGCCTGACATTAATGTAGGCCCATGGAACTACAGGTCTCATTGACTCTTACCCATACAGATTGGATACTGCGGCAACAAGAGACTGCTATCAGGATGCACCAGGCCCTTAGGTTTTGGACATATAAATTACCCAAGATGGTTGCCATATACATTCCCTTTGAATGGCAGCTACTAGCCTGCTATTGGACTCTAATTTAAACAGAACACTTGACCACTGAAGCACTGTATGTGACCTTAAGACCTGAGCTGCCCATCTCATGCAGGTATTATTAACGAAAAATAAAAATGGAAGCCCCAGTTTAGAAATACCCTAAGGCTGACTACCCGCAACCGTGTAACCAAAACTAATCATTCTGATTTTCCTGAAATGCTGTCTCTGATCATAAATGAAATGCAAAATGTAAGCTTTACATCCTTGCCAGCATGATTCACTGAAATTAAACCAATCAGCTATAGACCAACAAGCTTAAACAGCTCAACTTGCCCTAAAAAGAATGTATAACAGCCAATTATAAAAAAGGTCAAAATATTCCCCCCCTTTATGCATTATAAACTGTGTTGTAACTGCTGTAAGATTAATTTCTTACCACTTGATTTGAGTCTTCTAGATTGTGGTCTGTACTTCTTGTTTGAACAATAAACTTTTAAATTTTTCTTTATCTGATTTTATTTTTTTCACAGTGCTCACTAATCCTAATAAAACACGACAGGTTCAGCCAAGTACCATCATTAAATGGAAATGTTACATATAAGATGGAGCCTGATTGGGATCCCAGGGGGTCTGCCAACTCCATGAAGTAACTGTCTTGCCAGAGGACGCCGAACAGCCCATAGGGGATGTTCCCTTAGCTAGGTGCAGCCCATGGTTCAAAGATGTTCCAGCTGATGGTATGAGTTGGCTCACTGAGGGAGCTGTGAAACTCAAAGCTGATAAACTCTAATGGTCTGCTGTAGCCGTCCATCTTGCTGTGGATTGAATGGTTTTGTCGCCTCCAAAATGTTAAAACTTAATCCCCAGCTGGGTGCAGTGCTGCATGCTTGTAGTCCCAGCCACTCAGGAGGCTGAGGTGGGAGAATTGCTTGAGCTCAGGAGTTCAAGACCAGCTTGGGAAACATAACAAGACCTTGTGTCTAAAAAACAAAAAATCCCCAATACAACAGTGTTGGGAGATGGGGCCTAAGGGAGGTGTTTAGGTCATGAAGGCTTACCCTCAGGAATGGATTAATGTCCCTATAAAAAGGGCTTATGAGAGTGGGTTTGCTTTCCTCTGCTGTTGTGCCATGTGAGGAACAGTGTGCTCTTTCCCCCTGGAGAGTGCAATGTTTAAGGCACCATTGTGGAAATGGAGACTTTGATTTTGGACTTCCCACCTCCAGAACTGTGAGAAATTAAATTTCTATTTATAAAATTACCCAGTCTCAGGCATTCTGCTATAGCAGCACAAGTAGACTAAGACACATCCTAAGGATAGTCATCTTTTGACTGAGACCAGACAAGGATACTCTGCCCAGTACTCTGGGTGAACTCTGTGCTGTGGTGATGGCTGTTCAGGAAAATATAACAGCAATTATCTGCTACACATTTACAGACTTATGGGCCATTACAAATGGACTAGCCATATGTCCAGTGACTGGCAGATTAATGATTGGACCATTAAGGGCTCCTCTATGTAGAGACAAGGACTATGACAGCAGTTTGTGAACTAGGAAAGAGACCTACTTGTCACGGCATAGGACCATTCAAAAGAGAACATGAACTCACAAGCTGATCTAGTATGTGCTCAGAAAATGGCCAAAATTATCCATGGGATCTACCACAGAATGGGACATGGAAGTCCACCTCAGATGCAAGAACGGGCCACATCACGAGGACTTGCCCTAAAAGAGATGGAAGCCAAAGATCCAGTACAGTAATGTGAGGCCTGCCTTTAGCCCAGGCCGTACAATGTGGTGAACTGGGACACATCATCTGGACAGAGGGCCCATGCCAGTGTGATATTGACCACATTGGACAGCTAGCTCCCAGACGTGGATTCTGGTGAAGCCTCACTGCCATGGGTACACGTTCTGGAGATGAGACCACCATTCCAGTATGCCATGTAGATGTGGAAACCACTATTATGGCTTTAGAGAAACACCTCTGTTGTATTCTGATATCTAGCAGGATTCCAAGCCAATCAAGGCCACCACATTTGCTGCCGCACAAGCTACACAGTAATGGGCATTTTCCCATGACATATGATGGGACCTTTTGTACTCCCTAACATTACCTGGTGAATGGGTTGATAGAATGATGGAATGGTAGAACTTGAAAAAAAAATTAGGAAGAAAAAAAGATGATGGAATGGGTGGCTCAAACAACAACTATGCAAAAGCCATTAGGGAGAACAACTTAGTGGGTGGTACCCCTACCTCACAAAAGCCATCTGAACACTAGACACTGCAGTGGAAGAGAAACACATCACTGCAATGCATGTTGGGAAATACTGAACTTGCAACAGGTGGAGGACCAGGCAATCCCTTGATTAGGCTGAGCCTATGAAATCCCAATTTGAGTATACCCAGCCATTCTTTTTTTTTTTTTTTTTTGACAGAGTCTCACTCTGTCACCCAGGCTGGAGTGCAGTGGCACGATCTCGGCTCACTGCAAACTCCACCTCCTGGGTTCAAGCAATTCTCCTGCCTCAGCTTCTGGAGTAGCTGGGATTACAGGTGCATCCCACCATGCCTGACTAATTTTTGTATTTTTAGTAGAGACGGGGTTTTGCCATGTTGGCCAGGCTGGTCTCGAACTCCTGACCTCAGGTGATTTGCCCACCTCAGCCTCCCAAAGTGCTGAGATTACAGGCGTGAGCCACCACGTCCAGCTCCCAGGCATTCTTTTTCTTCTTTCTTCCTGCTGGAAATCACTACCCACTAGAGCCACCAGTGAGCCTCCTGATTTAAATCTGGAGGCAATGGTACCTTTGGGCATTTCTTTCTTGTGGGACCCCATGGGGACAGGGAAAGCATTGACAGAATATTGAGGAACTAATGTTCCTCCAGTTGTAACCAGGACTTCTGATCCCAAAGTGGGCAATATTATAAGATATGCCAAATTTCTTCAGAATGTGATCTCTCTCCCCAGGTTGGATGACCAAGGCTGAAAGTTTAGGTCAAGTAACAGGCGTGATGGATCCCTGCATAAGTTACAGCCTCAGAAATCAGAATACTCTCCCCACGCCACTGGACAAGAGCATCTGGCTGGGGAGTTTCATGGGGTGGGGCATGTGGGATCATCAATTTTTACCTTGCTCAGTCTCACAGAAGACTCTGCCATGCCCGGCATGACAACATCTGGATAAGAAGCAGTACAGCTGTGGTGAGAAGGAAGCAAGCAAACAATGCTGGAGTTGTTACTGAAGTCTCTCCTATCCTATAATTCCATTGTAATGGCCTGGCTGTTACCCAGTGTCTCGGACTTTCCTCAAGCTATCACGCCTGGCCCAGTTCACATTCTAAGCTATCGGTGGCTCAAACTGCTGAGTGACTCCCTTGAAACAAGTCCGCATGCAGGCGTACGCTAGAGTATCCTGCTTTAATATTATGATATGACAAAAGGACTCCCATGTTGGCGTGGGCATCACTGACTTATATTGGCACTTCAGATGTGGATGTACCACATGTAGTTTTTCTCACCCTGCAACTATGGGGCAAAAACAGGCTGAGACTGTATATAAATGGACTGACCAGGACTATAATAACAAATGCCTGACAGGTGTCACTTGTGCCCTTCTAGGTTATGAATTCTTCTGTGGGCCTCAATGTCTATCTCCAGAAGGATCTTGTTGCCTTGGAATCCTAGGGCCCACTGTCCATGTCAACAACTGTACAGAGAGCTAGAAGGGACCTGCTCTGCTAACCTGCCACAGAATGACTTGTAGCACTCTCCCAGGAGAACAAACCAACAGCTGGTTTAATTCTGCAGTTCACATTCTTTTTTTTTTTTTGAAATGGAGTTTCACTTTTGTTGCCCGGGCTGGAGTGCAATGGCGTGATCTTGGCTCACCGCAACTTCCACCTCCTAGGTTCAAGCGATTCTCCTGCCTCAGCCTCCCTAGTAATTGGGATTACAGGCATGTGCTACCACGCCTGGCTAATTTTGTATTTTTAGTAGAGACGGGGTTTCTCCATGTTGGTCAGGCTGGTCTCAAACTCCTGACCTCAGGTGATCTGCCCGCCTTGGCCTCCCAAAGTGCTGGGATTACAGGCGTGAGCCACCGTGCCCAGCCATTCTTTTTTTTCTGAGACAGAGTTTTGCTCTTGTTGCCCAGGCTGGAGTGCAATGGTGCGATCTCATCTCACTGCAACCTCCGCCTCCCAGGTTCAAGCGATTCTCCTGTCTCAGACTCCCGAGTAGCTGGGATCACCACGAGTGTGGTGCGTGGCACCACACCTGGCTAATTTTTTGTATTTTTAGTAGAGACGGGTTTCGCAATGTTGGGCAGGCTGGTCTCAAACTCCTGACCTCAGGTGATCCACTTCGGCCTCCCAAATTGCTGGGATTACAGGCGTGAGCCACCATGCCTGGCCCAGTTCACATTCTAATACCAGGCATCAGTATATAGACTCTTGAAAAAATAGTGCACAACCTGTCCTTAACCATGGTAGAAATAACTAATGCTGCTGCCCAAGCTATCCAAGACCAATGAGGCTCACTAAACTAGCTAGCAAGGTGGTAATGGACAATTAAACAGCTTTTGATTATCTGCTAGTGGAATCATGCTATTGCTAAAACCTATTGTTCTGTGTATATTAATTCAGAGAAAGTAGAAACTGAGCTACAGAAGATCTATGCTCAGGCAGGATAGTTATCTGCTCTATACCTGCAGTCCCCTTTAGACTCATTTGTTGAATTCTTCAATTTCAATTGCCTTATTCTGGGCACTTGGGTTACTGGCTGAGCACCATCCTCTAGGGAGGCCTGAGTATCCTCCTAGCCCAGGTTCTCCCAGTGATCTTGTGAAGTGCTGTATCAAAGTGGCAGGGATTCTCAGCAAACTAGGAATAGAGAGTAACTTTCTCAACTCGACAGAGAACATCTACAAAAAACCTACAGCTAACATTATACTTGATGAGAACCTAGAAGCCTTTCTGCTAAGAACAGGAGCAAGATAGGGATGTCACCTCTCACCAGTGCTTTTCAGCATAGTACTGGAAGTCCTAGCTAGTGCAGTAAGACAAGAAACAGTAATAAAAGGTGTACAGATTAGGAAGAAAGAAATAAAACTGTCTTTTTTTCACAGATAAATGATTGTCTATGTAGAAAATCCAAAAAACAAAAAAATCCTGAAACTATTAAGTGATCATAGCAAGGTTGCAGGATACAAGGTTAATGTACAAAAGTCAGTCAATTCCTTATATATCAGCAATGAACAAGTAGAATTTGAAATTTAAAACACAAAACTCCGTCTCAAAAAAGAAAATTATACAAAATTAGCCAGGCGTGGTGGTGCATGCCTGTAATCCCAGCTACTCCGGGGGCTGAGGCAGGAGAATTGCTTGAACCCAGGAGGCGGAGGTTGTGGTGAGCCAAGATCGCGCCATTGCACTCCAGCCTGGGCAACAAGAGTGAAACTGTGTCTCAAAAACAACAACAAAAAATTACCATTAACATTAGCACCCCCCAAAATGAAACACGTAGGTATAAATCTAACAAAATATGTACAAGATCTATATGAGGAAAACTATAAAACTCCGATGAAAGAAGTCAAAGAACTAAATAAGTGGAGAGATTTATATTTAGATGTTCATGAATAGGAAGCCTAAATGTTGTCAAGATGTCACTTCCTCACAACTTGATCTATAGATTCAATGCAATCCTGATCAAAATCTAAGCAAGTTATTTTATGGATATCAATAAACTGATACCAAAGTTTACATGGAGAGCAGACCCAGAGTAATCAACTTTATTGACATAGAAGAACAAAGTTAGAGGACTGACCCTACTTGACATCAAGACTTACTATAAAGCTATAGTAATCAAGGTCACGTGGTATTGGTGAAAGAATAAACAACTGGAC
This sequence comes from Homo sapiens, assembly GCF_000001405.40. Lineage (NCBI taxonomy): Eukaryota > Metazoa > Chordata > Mammalia > Primates > Hominidae > Homo > Homo sapiens. Next base: position 44,486,362 of record NC_000003.12, on the reverse strand, counting down.
TAATGGAATAGAATAGAGGGTGTAGAAATAGGTGCACATAAATATAGCCAACTTATTTATGGCAAAGTTAGAGTAAAGGCAATACAATGCAACAAAGTTGTCTTTTCACAGATGGTGCTAGAACATATGGACATCCACATGCCAAAAACAATTTGAATCTAAGGCCGGGCGTGGTAGCTCATGCCTGTAATCCCAGCACTTTGGGAGGCTGAGGCCAGCAGATCACGAGGTCAAGAGATCAAGACCATCCTGGCCAACATGGTGAAACCCCATCTCTACTAAAAATAAAAAAATTAGCTGGGCGTAGTGGCGCACACCTGTAGTTCCAGCTACTCAGGAGGCTGAGGCAGGAGAATCACTTGAACCTGGGAGGCGGAGGGTGCAGTGAGCCAAGATTGCGCCACTGCACTCCAGCCTGGTGACAGAGCGAGACTTCGTCTCGAAAAATTAAAAAAAAAAAATTTGAATCTAGGAACAGATCTTACACTCTTCACAAAAATCAAGATGAACCATACACCTAAATGTAAAACACAAAACTAGAACACTCCTAGAACATAGGAAAATATCTAGATGACCTTGGATAGGTCTAATGACTTTTCAGATACAACACCAAAAGCACAATAATGAAAGAAATAATTGATGAGCTAGATTTTGTTAAAATTAAAAACTCTGCTCTGCAAAAGTTACTGTCAAGAGAATGAGAAGGCAGGCCCCAGACTGGGAGAAGATGTTTGCAAAAGACATAAAAAGAACTGTTATCCAAAAAATATGGAGAACTCTTAAAACTCAACAATAAGAAAATGAACAACTCAACTTAAAAGATCAACAAGGCCAGGCATGGTGGCTCATGCCTGCAATCCCAGTACTTTGGGAGGCTGAGGCAGAAGGATCACTTGAGCCCAGGAGTTCAAGACCAGCCTGGGCAACATAGTGAAATCTCCCATCTCTAAAATAAATAATTTTAAAAATCACCAAAACCTGAACACACACCTTGCCAAGAAGGTATGAAGATGGCAAGTATGCATATGAAAAGATCTTCAGCATCATATGTTGTTAGGTAATTGCAAATTAAAATCACAGTGAGAGGAGACACTGTGACACACCTATTCTGGATCTAAACACTGACAATACCAAATGCTGGTGAGGATACTAGCAAATAGAAGCTCTCACTCATTGGTGGTGGGAATGTAAAATGGTACCGTAACTTTGGAAGACAGTTTGGCTGCTTTCTTATAAAACCAAAAATACTTCACCATCTGATCCAGCAATTGTACTCCTTGGTATTTACCCAAATGAATTGAAAATTTATGTCCACACAGAAACTTGCACACAGATGTTTATAGCAGCTTTATTCATAACTGACAAAAGTTGGAAGCAACCAAGGTATCTTTCAGAGGCTAAGTGGTTAAATAAACTGTGGTATATCAGGCAATGGAATATTATTCACTGCTAAAAAGAAATGAGTTATCAAGTAATGAAAAGACATGGAGCCCAGCCTGGGCAACATAGTGAGATCTCGTCTCTATTAAAAATAAAAAAATAAAATTAGCTGGGTGTGGTGGCATATGCCTGTAGTCCTAGCTACTCAGGAGGCCAAGACAGGAGGATTGCTTGAGTCCAGAAGATTGAGGTGGCAGTGAGCTATGATTGTGCTACTGCACTCCAGCCTGGACAACAGAACAAGACTCTGTCTCTCAAAAAAAAAAAAAAAAAAAAAAAAGAAAGAAAAGACACAGGAAAGGTCAATCTGAAAAGACTGCATACTGTATGATTTCAACTGTATTACCTTCTGGAAAAGGCAAAACTATGGTAAAAAGATCAGTGGTTGCCACAGGGAGGAGGGAGGGATGAATAAGGAGAGCACAGAGGATTTTTAGGGCAGTGAAACTATTCTGTATAATACTATTTTATGGTTATCAGTAAACTGATTCCAAAGTTTACATGGAGGGCAAAAGACCCAGAGTAGTCAACTCAGTGTTGAAGTAGAAGAACAAAGTCAGAGGACTGACTTTACTGGACTTTAAGCCTTACTATAAAGTTATAATGATCAAGACCATCCTCCTGCCTCAGCCTCCCAAGTAGCTGAGACTACAGGTGTGCACCACCACACTATTCTGGAAACTATTCCATATGACACAGAATACATGTATGTGGATACATGTATTTATACATTTGTCAAAAACCATAGAATGTATAACACCAAAAGTGAACCTCAATATAAAGTCTTGGCCTGGCGTGGTGGCTCATGCCTGTAATCCCAGTATTTTGGGAGGCTGAGGCAGGTGGATTGTTGAGTCCAGCAGTTTGAGACCAGCCAGGGCAATATAGCAAAACCTTGTGTCTACAAAAATACAAAAAAATTAGCCGGGTGTAGTGGCTTGCACCGGTAGTCCCGGCTACTCAGGGGCTGAGGTGGGAGGATCGCTTGAGCCTGGGAGGTCAAGGCTGCAGTGAGCTGTGTGATTGTACCACTGCACTCCAACCTGGGCAACAGAGTGGGACCCTGAAAAACCAAAAACAAAACCAAACAAACACACAACAACAACAAATATATATATGTGTGTATATATATAACATATATATCTGTGTGTATATATTATATATATAATATATAGTATATATATAATATATATTACATATTATTATATATAATATATTATATATATACTATATATTATATATATAATATATAATTATTATATATTATATATTTATATATAATATAAAATTTATTATATAATTATATAAAATATATAATAATATAAAATATATATTTTATATATATATATATATATATACACACACACACACACACATATATACATATTTGGCTGTAACTAATGTACCACTGTGGTTTGGGATGTCTATAGGGGGAGGTTATGTGTGTATGGAAACAGAGTGAATTGGGAACTCTCTGTTCTTTCTGTTCAATTTTGCTGTGAACCTAAAACTGCTCTAAAAAATCAGGGTTGTCCAGGTGCGGTTGTTCATGCCTGTAATCCCAGCACTTGTGGAGGCTGAGGAGAGTGGATTGCTTGAGCCCAGGAGTTTGAGACCAGCCTTGGCAACATGGTGAAACCCCATCTCTACCAAAAATACAAAAATTAGCCAGTCTCATAACCTGGTCTCAAAATAAATAAATAGATTTTAAAAATAAGGGTTATTAATTTTAAAAAGTGACAGGAAGATTCTGTGAGCAAACCTAATCCATAGGGGTTGTTCAGGCCCCATCAGACCCAGCTTTGCCTCCAAATTCAGGGCAGATGGTGGTCTGCTAGATTCAGTATGTTTTATCTGCTATTTCAGCAGCCAAGCAAGGGTCAGTGGGTAAACTGCTGGGAAAGACACTCCTGCACAGCCTGTCAAACCTTGCAGTTTCAAAGAATGTGCCTCGGGCTTGGAACTTTTACTTACATGGTGATAAAGAGCCTCCACACCCTGTGCTGGGCTCACTGCCCTGTTTGGGAATATCTTTTCCTGTTCCAGGTTTGACATGTACTTCTTTGTTCTGCTTAAACATGTGCATCATATGGTACCAGCCCAACCCCACTGCTATATCTGTTCTCAGTGGGATGGGAATGGGGTCCCTCCCAGGCAACACACAAAGAGTGTATGCAGACCATCTGTCTGTCCTGGTTGCAGGGCAAGTCCCACTGGCCATGGGGAACCAATGCTCCCTATTGAAGCTGATCTTACTCTGTCTCTTCTCTGTTGAGTAAAATGTTCCATCCAGTGCTTGTGTAAGTCTTGTCTTTCTTGACAACCCCCAAACCTTCAAACCCTGCAGTGGCTTAACATCGTAGGACTGCTGGTTTTGGTGGTACTCATTTTTATGCTCTGCTGTCCTCTACCCAGTGGGACTTCTCTGTTGGAGGTGGAAACAGGTGTCAGTTGCTTGACACCTGGTAACTGATATACCCCAGGTCGGGAACAGTATCTAGCACATAGTGCATAATCAATAAATTCTTTGTGAATGAAAGAATTAATGAGTATAGATAGATGTGGCTTCTAGTACCCATACTGACACTTCCTATTTCTTTCTTCAGATAGAGAATAAGGAAAGCAGGAGGAGCAGGTTTGCCTGGGGCACAGGTGGTGAGTGAGTTGTTGGTGCCATTGGAATGATAACACATCATGAACTAATTCTATTAGTTGTGTCAAGTCTCGGAACTTCCACCTCCAGACTTTCTTTTTTTTCTTTTCTTTTTTTTTTTTTTTTTGAGACGGAGTCTTGCTCTGCCGCCCAGGCTGGAGTGCAGTGGCGTGATCTCAGCTCACTGCAAGCTCCGCCTCCCGGGTTCACGCCATTCTCCTGCTTCAGCCTCCCGAGTAGCTGGGACTACAGGCGCCCGCCACCACGCCCAGCTAATTTTTTTGTATTTTTAGTAGAGACGGGGTTTCACCGTGTTAGCCAGGATGGTCTCGATCTCCTGACCTCGTGATCCGCCCGCCTCGGCCTCCCAAATTGCTGGGATTACAGATGTGAGCCACTGTGCCTGGCCTCAGACTTTCTATAAGAGAGCTTTGCTCCCTCATGGGCTCTTGTAATGCCAAAGCTTTGCTTTCTAAGCCTGTCTGTGATACAGACTTATTACAGAAATCAAAGCTAACATGATTGTTTTCTTTCCCCTTACATTCTTTCTCTAATAAGGCCAGCACCCTCTCCTCTCTTCCTGCTTCTCTCTCTCTCTCTTTTTCTCTCTCTCTCTTGGCAACGGGTGTCAGTGAACAGGAGGAGGATCACTTCAGGGCCCTGAGGAAAAATAAAATTTTGAAGATTATTTAGTGATGTGATAAAAAACACTTGACATTAGAATGGCAAGTGAAAAAAAGGCAGGACAGAAGCAGTTGTCAAAAGATGAAATTACGACAAATTTAGTTTGAAGACTAAATTAGGCCAGGTGCAGCGGCTCACGCCTGTAATCCCAGCACTTTGGGAAGCTGAGGTGTGTGGATCACCTGAGATCAGGAGTTCAAGGCCAGCCTGGCCAACATGGTGAAACCCTGTCTCTACTAAAAATACAAAAATTAGCTGGGTGTGGTGGTGGGCGCCTGTAATCTCAGCTACTCAGGAGGCTGAGGCAAGAGAATCACTTGAACCCAGGAGGCAGAGGTTGCAGTGAGCTGAGATCGTGCCACTGCACTCCAGCCTGGTGACAGAGTGAGACTCCGTCTCAAAAATAAATAAATAAATAAATAAATAAATAATAAAGACCAAATTAGGTTTTGTTAGTGATTCTAGATTCGGGCAACATCTCATTCTATAAAATAGAACGGGTATTCTGATAAGCTGAACAGAGGAGATTGGCTTTATAAGCAGAAAAAGGCCAAAGAAAGCAAAAATAGGGAACCAAAGGCAGACTGGTTGGCATTAGTTATTTCAGATTACTTTCCTTGTAAGGATTAAAGCGGAGGGGCCTTCGTTATCATGCCAGCTAAATCTGGCCTGTTTGAGGATTTGGCTATTATCACAATAGAGACCTCCTAAGGGCCTGGGTTAGACATAGAGAAGATTGATTAGTCAACAAATGTTTATTGAGTACATACTATGTAGTCAGTGCTGTTCTAAGTACTTGAGGTATAGCAATGCATAAAAGCAAAGATTCCATAGTTTTTCTTCCTCATGGCTATGGTCTGACTCAAAGATTCTTTCACCCCCTCCACTACCAATAAAGTTTAAATTCGTGTATATTCTCTCCTGGCTTCCTGATCCTCTCTCTTTCTCTACTTTTATGTTCAGATGCAAGGAATATCCTCTGCAGAAAAAGATGGAGGGTGGAGGAGGGAGTTGAGTTCAATTTTTCATTTTAAGTCCTTCATTAGTACTAAATGCATCAGTATTTCTTTGATATAAATGATAATTTTAAAATTCATTTAAAGTTGGATCACCTTCTAAAATCTCATTAAAATGTATTTTTCAATATCTTAGAATTAGAGGCAGAAGGGGGAATTCAGAGAAGATTAATTATATGATATAATATGTAATATATTTCAAATGGCCACAATTACACATAATTTAACTGCTTAAACATTTGTTTTATGTTTTTCTTATAGAAGAGTACACTAATCCAATGGATCACAGTAATCACCATCCTCAGATACATTGCTCTATTTTATTTTCATCCTAATATTTCAACCTGCCTCCTTCAAACTACAGAGAAGGGGCTGAGTTTGAGGCCAGAAAAGGAGTGAAAATCCTACCAGGCCAATTTGTTTGCCCACAACTGATTCTTAGTTTTAACATCTTATCTCTTTTCTCAAGTCACATTCCAGATCCCCATCTCAACACCCCAATTTTTTCTTCCCCATTTCAAAATAAGAAGAAAAAAATTAAGGAGGAAATTTCCCCCTTCTGTTTGAAAGGCAGAATCCTGATACACTTTAAATTCCAAAACAAAGAAGCAAATGAACATGCAATCCTTTAGCATGTGGTTTTTACATGTAGCAAGGAATCAGGGTAAAAGGATAATTATCTACTTCCAGGTTCTCAAATGTTGGAATCATCTAGGGATTTTAAAATCTAGGCTTGTCAGTGTCTCACCCACAAAGATTTGGATTGAATTGATATGAGGTATGGACTTTTTAAAAGCTCTGAGGAGGATTCTAATCTGCAGCAAAGTTAAGAACCACTGATTTACATGCACAGTTCTTTGCTTCTCCAAGTGTGGTCCAAGAACTGCAATATGGGTACACCTGGAAGTTTGTTAAAAATATTCGTTGGTCCCTCCCCAGACCTCCTGAATTTGAATCTACAGTTTAACCAGATCCCAAGTGATTTGTATTCATATGCACATGAGAATTTGAGAATCTTACCTAGGGCTTTTACTAAGCAAACTGCCCCGATCTGAAAGAGTACAGTGCTCAGGAAGTACAGCTAGCAAGAATATGCCTCCTACCAGAAAAGTGAAGAAACCTCATGGTTATAGGCTCGAGTGCTGTGGCACTCGGAGAAATCAGGTATTAGCAGAACTTCGAGATTCAAGAAGCTGTATAGGTCTTAAAATCAGAGCTGCACTCCCAGTGGCTGCTTCCCGAACTTTGCAAGTGCTGGTGAAGCCAATTTGGTTGATCTGTTTGATCACACTAAATGTGGGTGCTATCCATGCTAACCACCTATCACGTTGAAAAACATCCAGTAAGTACATCCCAAACACAGAGAACCTGCTCAAACTCTTCTACGATGGGAAAATTTTGTTCTCAAACAAAACTTGAAAACTCTTCTCACCACTATGGGTGGTTCTGAGTCACTCAAGAACATTATATCGAGTGGAAATTAATGGACAAATTAGGCATTGACAAGCAGTTTCTATTTTCCTTTTTGTATGTGTTGGATATTTTCCAATTGCCCCTCCATATTCAGTCTCAGTCCTCAACCCTGCTGTGACACTTGGGAGACTGAGTTTCCTGGATTGCCCTCTGGCTTCCAGTTGAGTTGGGCCAATGGGAAGCCCTGGCAGGAGATCAGAAGAGAGCTGGGTTCAGGTTATTTATTACCTCAGCTTCCTTTGTGCTGGACTATGGCTTGGATGTAGCCCTCAACTGAAAGCCACAGTTTCTCTCAGATGGCCTGCTCCTAGGGGTGAGAATAGCTTCTAAATTTTGCTAGCCATGGGATTCTGCACCACTCCGTGTTGCATTTCCTTAACCCTGTCCACTTTGTGTAAATCGCCCCTTGTGAACTCTCCCCACTTACCTTGTTTGAATGTGCCATCTGTTTCTCTATCACCTTGTCACCATCTTCCTGGTGTTCAGGATCTATTCTCTGTTTCCATCTTTGGTGACTGGGGCATTAAAAAGGGGTGGATCAGATGAGTAAAGCAAAGCCTCAGGGCACAGATGGGCATCATCAATGCCCATCTGAAAGATCAATCGTCAACATGTTGCAGCCTGCCACTAGGAAGCACAAACCAGAGGACTACCAGGACAGCAGCTTGTAGCATGCCCTCCAATGGCAGCAGATGGCCTTATGGCTTTGGCTGTGCACCCTCAAGGTTCTCTGGCACTGGCAATAGATGACATTTGCTCCTACAGGGGGTGGGCAACCTCTCCAGGTTGCTTCACCTCCTCTTCAAGCAGCCCCTCCACCCCCTACCCCCAACCTACTCCTCCCAGATTCCACATATTATTGGGCAATGGCATCATTGTTCACTCACCAGGCGAGCCTAGTTAGAATTCACCCACAGGAGAAAACGAGTGAAGGCCGTGGGAAGCTAAAGTATGGTGCACCTCTGAGCTGGCTATGAACAAGTATTCCTGGGTATGGTGATGATGGGGATGAGCTCGTCTTGGAAAGGCAGGAGTTCTGGCACCTAGCTTCCCGTAGGATCTGGTTCCCCTCTTTGAAGTGTACCCAGGCGAAGAATGAGTGGCTCCCTTAACCCCTTCTCCTGGCCAGGACCAGTCTGCTAGATACTGCTGGCCCTATTTTCACCCCTAGCTTTGGATCCCTTTCTTCCCTGGAGGGAAAGAGGCCTTCAGGGCAGCCCCGCAGACACGACAGGAGGGATGCAAGAAAACAGGCGCGGCTGGGCATCCGAGCGTGGAAGGGAAATGTCCAACTGAGGGAGGTGAGGGATGTTGGACAAGCCCCGCCGCCCGCCGCACCGGAGCCGGAGAGAAGCAGAGACGTTGGGCCTCCCAGTTTCCTAGAGAGGCCGCGGAGGGCCCCGGGCGCCGACGCGCGTGCGCGACTGGAGCCGCCGGGAGGTAGGCGCGGGACGGGCGGCTGCGGTGGCGGCGGGTGGACCGATTGTCGCTCGGCGGCGGGAGTCGGTGAGAGGCCTGGCGGGGCGCGGGGGTGGGGGTGGCGGCATTGCGGGCGCGGGGCTCCCCGAAGTCCGCGGCATTCTCGGGCCTGCCCGGGCGGCGGACGGGGCCCGGCCTGGAGGCTGCGCCCGTGGCGGGGGTCTGGCGGTGGATCCCGCCCCCGCCACGCTGAGGGCGTATCTAGAACCTCTTTGCCTCCCAGGCGTCCGGGGTAGAGAATCTGGAGCCCGGGTTTCTCCGGGCTTTCTCGTTTCATCCAATTCTGCATATAAAGCGTATTTATCAGAGACAATTAGATAACACGGGAAAGTAGAAGAAAAGTAAAAGTAGCCGCAATCCTGAAATCTGTCTCCAGGCCTCCTGACATTTAAAATATCTGTGCATAATTCTGCACACTGACATCCATAAATATATATTACGAAATGAGAGCGTGCTCTTGCTTTTTAAAAAACCTGTTAGTATTATTGTGAGGAAACAATATTGTGCCAAAATAACACATAACATTTACCATACAATACATAAACGTTTACCATTTAACCATTTGGAAGTGTGTAATTCAGTGACATTAAGTATATCCATACTACTGCTTTTTAAAAATTATAATCTCCTGAATTTGTAGAATGCATTTGTTCTTATTTTGGCTAAAATTAGTGCTGGCATTATGACACCACTAAAACATTTTTTTTTTGGCGAGGATAATTAAGAAATCGTGTTTGCAGTTTATTTTCTGTAGGAGACACATTTGCATGAAGCTCTAAATGGTGAAGTGACATTTGTGCAGAAAAATAGCAAAATCTTGTTTGTCAGGGTGGTTATCTTTCACAATGAAGTAACTAGTATATAAAATGCAGTTTTTAAACAAAGGCAGAGCTCTAACCTGCAGCGATTGTAGCACACTCTGACTTGCACAGGCCTAAGAGATCAGAGTATTGTCTCCTTCCGAATTTAAAAGTGGTGGCCAGGAAAGAATGTTATTCTGTTTCAAACGGCTTGTAGTGCAAAACTAAAAACTCAGTATTAGGTTGGTTGTTTTGCAAGGAAGTGCCAGGGAGTGGTTTGAGCAGTAATTTGATTAAGCAGTTTCAGAGAGCCTCCATGTGTTGTGTGTGTGTCTGCGTGTGTGTGTGTGCATGCATGTGTGTGCATATTCAGGGACCAAAGAATTAGGCTGCTCTTTTATGTTATCTTAATGAAAGGCAGACACATTTTGGTTAGAAAAAAAAAAAAGTCTTACTGTAAGCCGAAAAGATGAGAATGTTTTGAAGATAAACCTCAGTATGCACTTAAAAAGGAAACTGACAAAAAGCATGAAAAATGGCAAGTATTCCACCGCTAGGTTTTCTCTGGCTTCCGGTATCCAGGAAGAATTAGTGCATAAGCAGTCTACGATGTCAGAGAGTAAACTATAGTAAAACATAACACTGTATTTTGCAATTTTCAAGATTTTGTATTAGAAACAATGTGAAAGAGTACATTTCTGTGACTCTCAGGCGAATTGTTAGGTGTTCTGTAAGATTGAATTTATGAATTTCTTTTTTTCCTTCCTATTCTTAAATTTATTTTCTTTTTCCTTGTTTATTTTATTTATTTTATTTTTGAGACGGAGTTTCACTCTTGTTGCCCAGGCTGGAGTGCAGTGGTGCAAACTCGGCTCACTGCAGCCTCCGCCTCCTGGGTTCAAGTGATTCTCCTGCCTCAGCCTCCCAAGTAGCTGGGATTACAGGTGTGTGCCACCACGCCCAGCTAATTTTTGTATTTTAAGTAAAGACGGGGTTTCACCGTATTGGTCAGGCTGGTCTCGAACTCCCGACCTCAGGTGATCTGCCTGCCTCAGCCTCCCAAAATGCTGGGATTACAGGCGTGAGCCACCGTGCCCGCCTCTTGTTTTATATTACTATGTAGCAGCTGTCACTGTTTAGCATACCACGAATCTGTCTCCTCATAGACGCCTCAAGGCAGTACTGGAACATACAGTAGGTTCTCAATAAATATATGACAAATTAATGAAAGAAGGAATCCAAATTGGTAGATAAAAATTGACAGTATTAAATGTCCTCGATTTTTAAGAGCCACTTACCAAGTTAATCTTTAATACCTGGCTGAGCATGGTGGCTCATGCCTGTAATCCCAGCACTTTGGGAGGCTGAGGTGGGTGGGTCACCTGAGGTCAGGAGTTCAAGACCAGCCTGGCCAGCATGGTGAAACCCCATCTCTACTAAAAATACAAAAAATTAGCTGGGCATGGTGGCGGGCACCTGTAATCCCAGCTACTTGGGAGGCTGAGGCAGGAGAATTGCTTGAACCCAGGAGGCGGAGGTTGCAGTGAGTGGAGGTCACGCCATCGTACTCCAGCCTGGGCAACAAGAGTGAAACTCCGTCTCAAAAAAACAAAACAAAACCTGTAATACCTAAAATGGAAATAAATCAGATAAAAATGATGATGACTGAATGACTGGAACTTCTCAATGTAAGATAAGACAAACCTTTTTTTTGAGACAGAGTTAACGCTCTTTCACCCAGGCTGGAGTGAAGTGGCATGATCTCAGCTCACTGCAACCTCTGCCCCGCCCCATCCCCTTTGAACAATTATCCCTCCTTAGCCTCCTGAGTAGCTGGGATTACAGGCATGCGCCACCACGCCCAGCTAATTTTCATATTTTTAGTCTCAAACTCCTGACCTCAGGTGATCCACCTGCCTCGGCCGTCCAAAGTACTAGGATTACAGGTGTGAGCCACCGCGCCTGGCCAGCAAACTTTTTATTTGGAATAATTGTAGACTTTCAGAGTTCTCTTACACCTTTTACCTAGTTTGTCTCAAGTTGCTATCTTGGATTACCATAGTACGTTCATCAAAATTAAAAAATTTACGTTGGTACAGTACTATTAATTAAACTGCAGACTTTTAAAAGTTTATTTAAGCATTCTTTTTCTGTTGTAGGCTCCAATCTAGAATTCCTCATTACGTTTAGTTGTCATGTCTACTTGGTCTGCTTCAATCTGTGACAGTTACTTAGTCTTTCAAAACACTTCTGAAGAAGTGTTTTATATTTGTTTTTTTGTTTGTTCTGTTTTTTGTTTGTTTGAGACGGAATTTTGCTCTTGTTGCACTGGCTGGAGTGCAATGGCGTGATCTCGGCTCACCGCAACCTCCGCCTCCCAGGTTCAAGTGATTCTCCTGCCTCAGCCTCTCGAGTAGCTGGGATTACAGGCATGTGCCACCAGGCCTGGCTAATTTTGTATTTTTAGTAGAGGCAGGGTTTCACCATGTTGGTCAGGCTAGTCTCAAACTCCCGACCTCAGGTGATCTGCCCACCTCAGCCTCCCAGAGTGCGAGGATTACAGGCATGAGCCACCGTGCCGGCCTTATATTTGTATTTTTATAAAGTCCCTCAATTTGGTTGCATCTCAAGTTTTCTGTCAAGTTTTACCACTGGAACCTTACTGTCTTTCTCCTAGTCATCAGTAATTATTTGGGGGAAGATAGTTTACTACTTTGCATATGAGATGCTGTTTCTCTTTGAACTTTGGTCTAAGTAGCATTCATTGATTGATCTTGCCTGCAGCAATGACTACTGTGGTGTTGGGATTTGACTTTCTCTTTCCTTCATTCCTTCTAGGCATTCATTGGATACTTACATACAATTCTCATTCATTCAAAGTATTAATTGGAATCTTTGTGAGGAAGAGTTATCCCTTCTCCCCTGTTATTTATTTATTCAATCAGTTATATTATTGTGTGCTTTGGATACTTATTTTATTCTTTGCACTAGAATGCAGTACTGTTGTTATTTTATTGCTGAAATTATTGTAGCTCTTTGACTATTGGGAGCTGTGTCTGTTTGCCCCGATTTTTTTTTTTTTTTTTAGTCCTTCCTTAGTTTTTGTTTTCTGGCACCCAAAACCCTTATATTTTTCCCTCCCCAGCCTGGCATCAGTCACTTCTCCAAGGATCCCTGTTTGTTGTTGTTGTTGTTTGTTTTAATTGGAGAATAGTATAGTATTTAGAAATCAAATTTTGGGCACTCCCATTATTAGTTTATTTCTTAATTGGTAAATGAATATAAATATTATTTTAAGGCTTTAAATATATACTGAAAGCATTTTTTGTGTGTGTGTGTGTGTGTGTGTGTGTGTGTGTGTGTGAAGTGGAGTTTCACTCTCGTTGCCCAGGCTGGAGTGCAGTGGCATGATCTCGGCTCACTGCAACCTCCGCCTCCTGGGTTCAAGCGATTCTCCTGCCTCAGCCTCCCGAGTAGCTGGGATTACAGGCATGCAGCACCATGCCGGCTAATTTTTGTATTTTTAGTAGAGACGGGGTTTCTCCATGTTGGTCAGGCTGGTCTCGAACTCCCAACCTCAGATGATCTCGCCTCAGCCTCCCAAAGTGCTGGGATTACAGGTGTGAGCCACTGCGCCCGGCCTGCATTTTTTCTTAAGTGGTGATTATCTTGGAAACCTGTTTGCTTAATATCAGTTTATATACCTTCTATACACTTACACTGGTAGGAAAACACAAAAATAAGAGACTAGCTCATGGGGACATTAAAAGGAAAACAAAGAAATTACATTGGCCATGAGGTGAAGAAACAATGTAACAGAAGAAAATCTCCTTGAAAAATATCAAGATCTTGGTTGGAAGTTTCCCTGTTCTTTTCAAAGCCATTTTCTTTGTGGGAATGAAACTGGGTTAAGGTATAAAGCTCTGGGGGGAGAGTCCTGAGAATAAGATCCAGCTCATGTTCCTTCCCAGTTCTGAGTGTAATTGTGATATAATCTCAGCAAGAAGATAAATGAAGCTTTTCTTCTATGCTTAAAAGCTAGTTGGGACTTGGGAGAAGCCTGTGGCATTAAGATACCTGAATTTCATTGGCGGGCTCAGCTGTCTGCTGAGGTAGCTGTATGTTCACTATGCTCTGGGTCTTTCATTCAGAGTTTGAGAGGCCCGTGAGGTCTTTATTCATGTTCATGATTGCAGAGGCTGAGCTAACCTTTCTTTGACTCAAGGACTGGAATCCTCACTATATTCACAGGCATTCGCCCTGAATTTTCTGTCAGTCTTCTCATCACCTCTTTACAAATACATTACTGCCAGGCAAGGTGGCATGCGCCTGTAATCCCAGCTACTCAGAAGGCTGAGGCAGAAGAATTGTGTGAGCCCAGGAGTTCAAGACCAGCATGGGCAATATAGTGAAACCCTTGTTCCCCCGTCCTCCTCCAAAAATCTGGAAGTTAGCTGTTGTAGGGGGGAAAAAAAAGTCACTGACCCTTTTGGACATTTGTGCAGCAGCTGCTTCAGAACAGTCCTGCTTGGAGACTTATTTTTGGAGCTAATTTGACTGTAGGTGTCAATTTCCTGAGATTGGTCAGTGCCATTTATATTTTTCACTGGGTACATTTCTTAAAAGTGTTTCTCTCTGGCCTCAATTTCTTTCTCTTTAACTTAATTGCCAGATTTATCTTCATCTTTAGCAGCATTTTGGTTCTTTTCATACTTTGGTTTTCTTTCTCTTCTGTCTGTTCTGCAAGTTTGGCCATGAAAGTCTCTCTTCTTTTTCTGTTTTTCAGCTTTCTCCTGATCAGGTGTTTCTCCTTCCCTTTTGTGCTGCTGGCACGCACCGAGGCTGGAGCCTGCTCCTCTTGGTCCTGAAGCTCCCACTGCTTCTCAGTCTTCGAGTCTCCTTTTATAGGCCTTCATTTATTTACTTTATTTCTTCTTTCATTTTCCCTTTTTTTTTTCCTTTGAATACTTATTCTTACTCCACTCCCCTTTTTCACAGCAAGGCTTCAGTTCTCTGCCAGAACTGTAGCAGCTTCCTCAGCATGTGTGATCCCTAATGTAGCTCTTTTCTTGCCTCTTCTTGGCCCATAGAGTAGGGCTGTAGTTTCTTTTTTATCCCTGGATGATTGCATGCCTTCTAGTGTGAGTCTTCTTTACATCTTAGTTTACTGTCATTTCTTTTGACAGTATTAGCAGCACTTGCTGAGAGCAGAGGACATTGGATAGGTATTAGTTCAGAGCAAATGTAGAAGGTGGTGGCTCTTTTAATTTCATAAGTGTCACTCCTTTTACATTTGCTTCACAGTGGTGGGAGATGGAAGGGGTCAGCATTTTCAGGGGATATGACCTTCATCTGTGACTTTGTGCACAGGGTAGTGGGGCCACTTTGCAACAAGTTCTGAGACCTGTTGTCCATCTCACACTTTTTGTAGACACTCCAGTTCTTCTCTCATGAGTCTTTAGTTTGTCAGTTCAGTGGCTATTTATGGGCATATTTGGATCCTGGAGTAGATTGATGGCTGTTACTGATGGATCTTTTCCACCAATAATGTCTGGGTACTTTTACTTCTAGATAAAGAAGCTTTTAGGGACAAGAAGATACTGATGAGATTGCTCTCTAGACTGAACCAAGAGTCATATTAGAGAAATTCTGGATGCAGGTGATCTGTACAGAGTCAGCTGATCCTGTGTCTGTGGAACATTAATGGCAGCACTGCTTGTATTTCTCTTTTTCTTCAACTTTTATTTTTTTTCTTCCATTGTTGCTGGCTACTCCTTTTCTTTGTTTCTGTTTTCTTTCTGGATAGGTTTTTTATTTTTGTTTTGCATGTTGTGTTTTGGTAGCATTTTGCTCTTCTTGTTCTCTACCTCACTTGCCTGTTTTTTTTTCTCCTTACATCTGTTCAACTGGAGAACATCCTTTTGTAGTTGCTTGAGCTGAAGCCATGGTTTGTACTCAAGTCCCCCCTCAAGAATGTGCTGTCCCTTCTACTGTGCATCTGCCATCTTCAATCCTACGAGTTGCTACTCAATTGCTTTGCTTCTTAAGAGAATTATTGATCACTTTGCTGTTTATAAATGTAATGGGTAACAATTTAGGCAACATAGGCAAATAAGGAAGGAGAGCCCTTTCATCCCACCTCCCAGAGGAAATCATGGCTAAAAATACTTTGGTAGTGAGGCTTAGGAGCTTTTATGTGCATATGTAAACTGCTTTGCTTTTCATTTGCTTTAAGACATAAATGACAGTATAACTATGCTTTCTAATAATTGCTTTTCAATTTTCTTTTCTTTTAGGAAATAGAAGACAAAAAAAATATAAAGTTGCTTTTAAATGCAATTCTCTACCTTCCTACCCCCACCACCAGTAAGAGTTTTTGTGAATCCTTCCAGGCTTTTAAAATTTCTTTGAGTAGTTATAGGTACATTCACATACATGCGTATACAGTCACACACACACACGGTTGTACGTTTTGTTTTCACAATTCGTATTTAGGATGTGCTTTCAAACTTAGCACATATTTTTGTTATTGTTGGGAAAAGCAGTCGTGCACAGTTTCTCTCTCCTTACTTGGCTGTGTAGGAGTGTCCTTGGACGCCAGGCATTGTGGCTCATGCCTGTAATCCCAGTGCTTTGGGAGGCCAAGTCAGGAGGCTCTCTTGAAGCCAGGAGTTTGAGACTGGCCTGGGCAACATAGTGAGACCCTATCGCTAAAAAAAAGTCAGGCAGAGTGAGGGTGGCACATGTCTGTAGTCTCAGCTATTCAGGAGGTTGAGGTGGGAGGATCACTTGAACCCAGGAGTTTGAGGCTGCAGTGAGCTGTGATCGTGCTACTGCACTCCAGCCTGGATGACAGAGTGAGAAAAAAGAGTGGCCTCGGGCCTGAGACATTTCCTTACAAGAGCGAAAGAGTCCTCACAACCTTTGCTGGGTTTAACATCTTGTGACTGTAGGTGTCACATCTTGTGAGGGACTATCTTGTTTTTCTGCACTTGATGTACTCCTTTGTTTTGTTTGTTTTGTTTTGTTTTGTTTTTGTTTTTGTTTTTGAGATGGAGTTTTGCTTTGTCACCCAGGCTGGAGTGCAGTGGCACGATCTTGGCTCACTGCAACCTCTGCCTCCTGGGTTCAAGTGGTTCTCCTGCCTCAGCCTCCTGAGTAGCTGGGATTACAGCTGTACGTCTCCACGCCTGGCTAATTTTTGTATTTTTAATAGAGATGGGGTTTCGCCATGTTTGCCAGGCTGTTCTCAAACTCCTGACCTCAGGTAATGTGCCAGCCTTAGCCTCCCAAAGTGCTGGGATTACAGGTGCAAGCCACCATGCCAGGCCTCCTTTGTTCTGTTTCTGAGTGCATGAATCAGCAGCCGTCATGCATGTTCCTATCTTTCTTCATTTCAGACCCCACAGAGGAGGGGTTAAGGTCTTTCTACTGCAATATGAAGCGTGTATACACACACCACCTGTGTAGACTGTGGAGTGGTTCTGCTGGCCACGAGGGACCAACACATTGCAAGTGGCTGGATCTTGTGAACCCTCCATCTCCATAAGTAAACATTGTACCTCTTGAGCTTGGTGGGGGTGGTGTCTTTTCTCAGTGACCTCAAGTCATACACTGTCTCTTCCTTGGGTGACACCTAGTTGCCTTGTAACTTTGGCTACAGAGCCTTATCACCTGGTGTACAGTAAAGCAGTTATGTTGATGTATAACAATTCTAGTACATTCCTTTTAGGTGTGTGAGTATTTCATCCTATAAAATGCTTTTTTTTTTTTTTTTTGAGACAGACTCTCACTATCCTCCCAAAATACTGGAATTACAGGCATGAGTCACTGCACCTGGCCAAATGCTACACTTTTATAACCTCCCAAGAGGTTCACCTTGCCTGCTGCCTAGACAGAGCTGATTCAAGATGGGAATTGCAATAGAGAAAGAGTAATTCACGCAGAGCCGGCTGTGTGGGAGACTGGGGTTTTATTATTACTCAAAGCAGTCTCCCCCAGCATTTGCGGAGCAAAGTTTTTAAGGATAACTTGGTGGGTTGGGGGAAGCCAGTGAGCCAGGAGTGCTGATTGGTCAGAGATGAAATCATAGCGAGTCACAGCTGTCGTCTTGTGCTGAGTCAGCTCCTCGGGGGGAGGGGGTGGAGGGGTGGGGGCGGGCCACAAGATCAGATGAGCCAGTTTATTGATCTGGGTTGTGCCAGCTAATCCATCAAGTGCAGGGGCTGCAAAATACCTCAAGCACTGATCTTAGGAGCAGTTTAGGGAGGGTCAGAATCTTGTAACCTCCAGCTGCATGACTCCTAAACCATAATTTCTAATCTTGTGGCTAATGTTAGTCCCGCAAAGGCAATCTAGTCTCCAGGCAAGAAGGAGATCTGCTTTGGGAAAGATCTGTTACTGTCTTTATTTAAACTATAAACTGTAAGTTTCTCCCAAAGTTAGTTCAGCCTGTGCCCAGGAATGAACAAGGACAGCTTGGAGGTTAGAAGCAAGATGGAGTTAGTTAAGTTAGATCTCTTTCACTGTCTCAGTCATAATTTTGCAATGACAGTTTCAGTCCCTCCCTTTGGATTTTATAACACCTTAATAAGGTGTAAGTTATGAAGGTGGGAAAAGGCTGTTGATTGCTCTGGCTTCTTCCTCCTGACAGGGGACATAGTGGGAATGGGAGTGAACCCCAGCGTGAGAAGAGTGGAACTGCTTTGCAACTGTCTGAGTGTACTCACGCAGGCTTGGCCAGGCGTTCATGGCTTGCATGGCTAGAACATTAGTATTTTCATCTGTAATTTTACTGCAGTATTTAAGTGAAACAGCCTACTATAAGGTAAATAATGAGTCCTAGGATGAGGAGTACAATTCCCAATTTTAAAAGCAAAGATTTGAAAGTATTAGTTTGGGGACTTCTAACCCACAAAGAATTTAGAATTTTGTTTAAACTGCAGAAAAAAACCCTCAAGAACAGCTACAATATTGTACTATAGTTTTTCTTTTGAAGCATAATTTTCTCTCTCCAATCCCCATTTTTATTAAAAACAAATCATGATAGGACTGATTTGTTTACAAAATAAACTTTAGCCTTACTGTGCTTGGCCTGATTATTTGCATAAAGTGCAGCAAGAATAATTATTTTTCACTTAGGCTTTTTAAGTTGGTTTTGATAGAACTCTGTTCCATGAAGAATCTCAGATAAGACTTTTTAAAAGCTGAGCCCAGCTGTGGATTTGTACTCTCAAATACCTATGAGTTGGGCAAATTTCTCTCCTCTTGAGGTCCCAAGATAACTTGGGGTTCCTGGGCCTGTTAGCAAGTGACATTCTTTACTTACCACGGGTTGTCAGGAAGCTTGTACAGAGACTCTGTGTGGACAAGGTATGAGGCCAGATTCCCCAACAGGCTTTAATTGGCTCTATAAGTCAACTTTGATTCTTTAAAGGAAGCATGATTTCTCCAGCTGTGTCCTGTTACAAAAGAAAACAGATTCTTATTGCACTAAAGCAATGAACTATACTGCCATAAATTGAGAATATTCACATATAGTTTCCAAATTCTGGATAAATCAGGTAGAAAGGAACAAATATGCTCCAAATTTTGTTCACAGGATTATATTTTACTTGTTAAAAGTTGCAAATAGCTCTAAAGAAATAAGTTCTCTTAACTCTGAAAACAAAACGTTTAGCAATGTTTAACACATTAGCTTTCCGTGAGAGTCCTAGAAGCTTGTTTTATTCTCTATTCCAATAGCACAATTTTTAAAGTTATCTGAGACTGGCACTTAGAGTCCTATATCTGATTATAAACTGCCTTTTGAAAAGGACCAAAGCAAGACAAAATACCTGTGGATGACAAAAATGTATAGCCACTATGAAAGCTACAATTGACTAGGAATTTTGGTTACTTCTGTGGCATACAGCAATTTTACATAACAATTATAATAATGTACACTAAATTATGTCAACATTATAGAAGTTTCCCATAATTTTGGAACACATACTGATAACATATTTAAACAAATACAGTCCAAAGTAAACCAAACACCATTCATCTATTTGAAAGTGTTTATTCTAATGTTACAATCTCCAGAGTTAATTAATCAGAATCCTGCATTTAAGAGCACCTGTTAAATTTTATACCTGCTTATAAAACCATCTTTTAAAGAGGACCAAAATGAGACAATTGTCCGTGGATGACAAAAGCATTTTAGGGCAGCCACAGTTAAAGACACGATTGACAAGGAAATTTGCCACCTCCATGGCATACAGTGTGTTAACATAATTATAATTATTACTGATAACATATACTGAGTCATATTAGAATTATAAGGGTTTTACATAATTTCATAACATATACTAATAACACATTTACACAAATGTAGACCAAAGAAAGCCAAACACCATTTCATATTTGACAATGCTTCCTGTATGATTTTTGCACCAAATAAGCCAAATGTCATTTTTGGACTTTAGAGGACCTAATATCTAAAATATTAGGTTAGAAAGAGACATAATTTATAATTTGATTTTGGAAAGTTTGTCAAGTAGCAAAGGTTTAAAACACTGGATATCACAAAATAGAATCCCAGGTCACCATAAATCATTCTTTGGCCAAAATGATAACTCCAAAAAAAATTTTTTTTAAAAAAGAAAAACCTTTACTCTGATAGAGGAGACTTAGCTTTCCAAAGAAGACCCAGTGAAGATAGCTTGAGGCCAACTGAATCTCTCTTCTCTCCATTTTTTCCCTGCCATTTACCCAAAGGAGAAAACAAGACCCTTTTATTATCTTTTAACATTAATTAAAAATCATCTTCAAAAGAGAAAACCAAATTTCATGTTTGCATTAATGCATCTTTAATGTTAAAGCTAGTTTGTTTGTTTGTTTGTTTTGTTTTTTGGTTTTTTTTTGAGACGAAGTCTTACTCTGTAGCCCAGTCTGGAGTGCCATGGCATGATCTCGACTCACTGCAACCTCCGCCTCCCAGGTTCAAGCGATTTGCTTGCCTCAGCCTCCAGAGTAGTTGGGATTACAGGCGCGTGCCATTGCACCCGGCTAATTTTTTGTATTTTTAGTAGAGATGGGGTTTCACCATGTTGGCCAGGCTGGCCTTGAACTACCAACCTCAGGTAATCCTCCTGCCTCAGCCTCCCAAAGTGCTAGGATTACAGGTGTGAGCCACCACTCCCAGCCTAAAGCTAGTTTTTTAAATAAAAGTTTATATCTCTATCCAGTAGTTAGTTTAACCATAAGGTAAGATTTTCATAAACTTTTTAGACCCCTTTACAATTTTCCATCAAACAGCAGATCAGTTTTCTAAGAAAACCCTGTTATTCGGACACTTGGGCCCAGATTTTGGCCCCACATCAGTATCATTTTAATTTTTTAACCTGTGGAAAACTAAATAATTTCTTTTAAATCTTAGCCAACTTGTTTACACCCACATAATTTTTACAAGATCAACCCTTTACAAACCCTTTTGACTTTGCTTAAACCTTCAGTTTTGTTCCATTCCTCTTTTAGGTTAAGACAATCCTTAAAACCTTCTGAAATAGACAAAATTACATTCCCTTTAACAAAAGCCATATTCCCATGCCTTCTTATAATCTTTTAACAAAAACACATTTCCTACACACCTTGTATGTAAAACTATTTCTCCAGTGGTCTCAATTAAATGTTACAATGTTAGCTCTTAGCAAATTTTATTTTTAGTGAAAAACCTGATAAGTAAGCGATTTTTTTTTTTTTTTTTTTTTTTAGGCGGAGTCTCACTCTGTCGCCCAGGCTGGAATGCAGTGGTGTGATCTTGGCTCACTGCAACCTCCGCCTGCCGGGTTCAAGCAATTCTGCTGCCTCAGCCTACCGAGTAGCTGGGACTACAGGCGCATGCCACCATGCTCAGCTAATTTTTAGTAAGAGACGGGGTTTCACCATGCTGGCCAGGCTGGTCTGGAACTCCTGACATCGTGATCTGCCCACCTCGGCCTCCCAAAGTGCTGGTATTACAGCCGTGAGCCACTGTGCCCAGCTTGGGGTGGAGCCTAGGATATCAGACAGAAATGATGATAAGGTCTGACTCTTTTTAGCATAGCCAACGGGCATGGCTCTCCATATGTCCCAAGGCCTTATCTGTAATCTAATGCTCCAAAATAGGTAAATTGAACAATTCTCAGAAGTCAAAGAAACAATTTGACCTTAAAGCATTTGGCAAATCTGATATCTTAATTTAGACCAAATGTTTCCATTTTCAAGACATTTTATTTTATCAGTCTTTAAAACTGTCTTCTAAAAGAATACTAAAGCCACGTGAACGAAAAGGCATTAAAAGTTTCTATTTTTCTGACAAAATATTTGATTTAAACGTTTACTTTCCTAAGCCAATCAGAGCTCTTTTGTATATAAACATACAACATATAGAAATACACAGAAGATTCAGCCCTTGTAAGATTTTTCATTTGCCAGTTTCTTTATTGGATTACTGGCTTCAGAATTGAGCCCTTGGAGGAACAGGGCCAGGAAAGCATGTATTTCTAGGGCCACATAAGCAGCAAATAAGCAGCTGAAGGCAAAGACAGATCCCCAAAATTAAGGGTGCCTTTTTATACTGGATCCTGGATCCCCAAAATAAGGGAAATACTACAGGAGAAGACAGTGCAGTGCTGCTGCTGCTGTTTTTTTTGTTTGTTTGTTTGTTTTTTGAGATGGAGTCTCACTGCGACATCCAAGCTGCAGTGCAATGGTACGATGTCAGCTCACTGCAACCTCCACTTCCCAGGTTCAAGCGATTGTCCTGCCTAAGCCTTCCAAGTAGCTGCGACTACAGGCACGCACCACTACGCCTGGCTAATTTCTGCATTTTAGTAGAGACGAGGTTTCACCGTATTGGCCAGGCTGGTCTTGAACTCCTGACCTCAAGTGATCGCCCACCTCAGCCTCCCAAAGTGCTGGGCTTACAGGCATGAGCTACCATGACCAGTCGACAGTGCAGTGCTTCTACGCTGCATTTCATTGCAAGGCAACCCAAACCCAATTATCCCATTTTGTAATCAGCCCATCTCTTGTGGGAGTCTCATCTCCCAGTTCTGGGTGGGGATGTTTCCTTATCTTCCAGGTGGCCAAGAGCATGCTTTTCTGATCCAAGTGTGCAGAGTCAAGTATCCCTCCATAACTACTCTTAGCCATCCCTTAAAGTATATTTCCTACTTAGTTATTACACACCAAAGCTCTCTCATAATGCGAAGTAATTTCTGATACCCCAAAACTCAAAACCATCAGATAACACAACGCAAAACAGAACAGAGCGTTTGATTTTGAAAGGGATCTATCAGTTTTTAATTCCTGTGGTTTCATGAGGAAAACAGAGGTGGTTTGTTTGTTTGTTTCCCCCAAAACGGGGTCTGTGGTGCCTCCTCTGTTTTTCCCAATGAGTCCCAGGCTACCAGAAGTTATCTTAGGGCCTCTCATCTGTGCATTAAGAGTGGCAAGACAGGCTGGGCTCAGTGGCTCACACCTGTAATCCCAGCACTTTGGGAGGCTGAGTCAGGCAGATCACCTGAGGTCAGGAGTTCAAGACCAACCTAGCAACATGGTGAAACCCCATCTCTACTAAAAATACAAAAATTAGCTGGGTGTGGTGGCAGATGCCTGTAATTCCAGCTACTTGGGAGGCTGAGGCAGAAGAATCTCTTGAGCCTGGGAGGCAAAGGTTGCAGTGAACTGAGACCGTGCCATTGTACACCAGCCTGGGAAACAGATTGAGACTCTGTCTCATACACACACACACACACACACACACACACACACACACACACAAAGAAAAAAATAATTCAGTTGACTGAGAAGAAAAAATCTTTTTCCAGTAAAACAAGTTCCAAGAAGAAAAAAAAAAGGCCTTTTAAATATACCTACAGCTTGTTTATCCACTTTTAATTAAGCTTTTAACCATAGCACTCTTAAAAAAAATTCTTCAAAATTTTTTTATTACCCAACTTTAGCCATACCAAGTGGCCAATATTTTTGGCTTTTGAATTTTACCACAGGTAACTTCCCACATGAAATTAATCAGTTTTCACTAATGTTGTAACTTAGCCATGGACACACAGGTGTCTCAAAGAGATGGTAAGCAGTTTCTTTTTTTTTTCTTTTTTTTTCAAGATTTAGAATCTCCCCCAGGGTGGTTTAGAGAAAGGAAAATTCAAGATAGGAAATCAGAAACTATCCATGGGTGGGTGGGGAACCTCAATAAATGGCAAAGTTACATAAATAAAAAACCAGACAGGAATCATTCTGGAAGCCAAGAATAGAATCCAGGCTGCCATTGTCGAAAAGCAAAGCCTTAGCTACTGAGTTAGAGCAATGAGCGGTTTCTACTGTTCTTCCCAGAAGGAGGCTAGAGAAGCCAATTTCAAGCTTGCAAAGGTGTTTAACTACTCAAGATAATTTTTAGGGCTACCTATGACATGAGCCTCAAAATTCCTGTCCTCTGGATGGCGGAAACCAAGAGAAAGTATCCCTACATTGTCACAAGGTTAAGCTCTTGAGGACAGAAAACAAGACAAAGAAATTTCATACAATATTGGTTTCGGAGACCCGTAGCAAAGTAACTGTCCAGCCTGCTAGGCTGGCTTGAAAAGTGGACTTATAGGGGTCCTAAACCCACGTTCTATCTGTGATAGTCCTTTCGCCATTACAGAACACAGACAAATTCTTAGCACAAAGTACACCAGGTTTGCTACCGCCAAAGACTAGTTTCTATTAAACAAACCCTTGCAGAGAGACAAATAGTGACATTTACCATTTACCCAGACAGAGAGAGAGAGAGAGACCAGAAACTTGGCTGGTAAGCATTTCTTACCCCTTTTTGCCGGTATACCAGGTTTCTGGGCTCCCTTTCTCTGCATCTTCCAGAAGAATGGAGCAGGTTCTGATGACCCTGCTCACTGCGCCATAGCTGTGGGGTTCAAGCCGCTTTACAAGAGAAAGTCACTCTTTCCTGTTTTATGAAACATAGGCAATATTCTTAATTTGCCCAACAGGCTGCATGGGGAACCGAATTAACATTTTCTATCCCAGCAAAACACACATAACAAAACAAACATTAGTCACCTTGTTCAGCACCCAAAGTCAACCTGACGAAGCTCAAACTTTTTCCCATTGGTCCCTGTTGTCTTTGATCCATACCAGGTGGGAAAGGACAACCTATGAATGTTAATTCACAATGGGGTCTCTGGGCAAGGGGAAGAGCAGATAGTCACCCCAAGAGACAGACCTGTTGAGCGTTGAGTCTTCTTTAGAGCTCATCGAATGTCACCAGACAAATAAGGAAGGTTCTTTGAGTTAGGCCTGCTGGACTTCCATCAGCAACCCCTCTGAGATCCCTTCCACATAAACACATGCAAAGATGAGACAGACAGCCTTCTAAATCAGATCCCTAACCAAGCTATCCTCCTATTCTCGGTCTGAGAAACCTCCTCGAAATCTTCCTGATTGAGTAGAAGTCTTCCAAACCAGGACTCTTCCTCCTGGTTAGAAGGAGCACTTCAGGAGCCAAACAGACACCCAGCAGTGGTGCTACAGACACAGACACCCCATGGTAGAGCTACAAACAGACACCCCGTAATGGGGCTACAGACACCACACCATAGGGCTACAGAAGCTGCTGGGAGAAGGAAGGAGGCATTGGCAGCGCCTAGGATACTCACCAATGCAGACACTCTGCAGTGGGGCTACAGACAGACACCCTGTGGTAGGGCTACAGTTAAGGGATGTCCCCCCAGGACTATTTCTCCATTGCTATTAAATCTGTGCACATGGGGTCAGCAGTGCCCCGCCAGTAGAGAGAGTACCAGAATCAGCCCCCAGTTCCAAAAGAACTAGGTGGCTGCTTGGGCTGGCTTCTGGATCCATCGCTGGAGGGGGGCCACTGAACCATGGGCAGGTAGCTACAAGGGCAGTCCTGGACAAGCCCCCAAATTTGTAACCGCCCAAGGAGTAAACTTTGCCTGCTGCTTAGACAGAGCTGATTCATCAAGACAGGGGAATTGCAATAGAGAAAGTAATTCACACAGAACTGGCTGTGCGGGAGACCAGAGTTGTATTACTCAAATCAGTCTCCCCAGGCATTCAGGGAGCAGAGTTTTTAAGGATAACTTGGTGGATGGGGGGAAGCCAGTGAGCCAGGAGTGCTGATTGGTCAGAGATGAAATCATAGGGAGTTGCAGCTGTCTTGTGCTAAGTCAGTTCCTGGGTGGGGGGCCACAAGCTCAGATGAGCCAGTTTATTGATCTGGGTTGTGCCAGCTAATCCATCAAGTGCAGGGTCTGCAAAATATCTCAGGCATTGATCTTAGGAGCAGTTAGGGAGGGTCAGAATCTTGTAGCTTCCAGCTACATGACTCCTAAACCATAATTTCTAATCTTATGGCTAATGTTAGTCCTACAAAGGCAATCTAGTCCCCAGGCAAGAAGGAGATCTGCTTTGGGAAAGGGTTGTTAATCTCTATGTTTAAACTATTAGTTTCTCCCAAAGTTAGTTCCATCCGTACCCAGGAATGAACAAAGACAGCTTGGAGGCTAGAAGCAAGATGGAGTCAGTTAAGTTAGATCTCTTTCGCTGTCTAAGTCATAATTTTGCAAAGGCGGTTTCACTTTTCTTTAGGCCTATTGTTGGGCAAGTAGGTTGTTTTCAATGTTATGTTACAGAGTGCTCTAGTGTACACTCATGTAAATGTCTATATACCGTGCATCTATTTTTCCAGGGTAGATTCTTACTTTATTTCATTTTTCAATAGAAACGGAGTCTTGCTGTGTTGCCCAAGCTGGTCTTGAATTCCTGGGCTCAAGTGATCCTCCCATATTGGCCTCCTAAAGTGCTAGAATTACAGGTGTGAGCCACCACACCTAGCTCTCACAGTAGATTCTTAGAAGGAAAGTTCCTGGGGCATGAAGAATGTGCCTTTTTATTGTAAATCTTTAACTAGAATTCATTTTTTTAGTGTGTGGTTTTATTTGTTATTTAAATTTGGCTAGCCAGTTGTCCCAATGCAATTCATTGAATAGTCTAATCTTTCCCACTGATTTCTAATGCTGCCTCTATCATAGACCAAATATATATGTATGCATAAGCCCATGTCAGGATTCTGTATGTACTGTTTCTTCCATCTACTATTTGCGTATTCCTTCAGTAATACTCAGTGTTTTCATTAATGTAGCTTTATAGTAAGCCTTAATATCAGGTAGAA
Source organism: Homo sapiens (assembly GCF_000001405.40). Lineage (NCBI taxonomy): Eukaryota > Metazoa > Chordata > Mammalia > Primates > Hominidae > Homo > Homo sapiens. Next base: position 44,459,584 of record NC_000003.12, on the reverse strand, counting down.
CAAATATTTTCACCGCTAAAAAGTTATCTTGGCTATTCTTGGCCTTTTAGTCATTTGCTTGAATTTTAGAATATGCTTATCAAGCCCTAAGAAGAGATGGTGGAATTTGGTTGGGATTTTATTAACCACACATTACCTTAGGAAGAATTGTCATCATGAAAAGATTTGTCTTTCCATACTTAAGATTTATTCAGGTCTATTATGTCTTATGTTTATCTTTTAAGATCTTGTACATTTTTTATTAGCTTTATTTCTGGGTGTTTTATTTTGTTGATTAATTTTCTGATTGTATTGCTCAATTTATTTGGCAGAGCAGCTCACAAAACTCAGGGAAACACATTTATCAATTTATTATAAAGGATGTTGTAAACGATACAATAAACAACTAGATGAAGAGATACACAGGGGGAGGTCTGGCAGTGTTCTGGGTGCAGGAGCTTTTCTTCCTGTGGAGATGGGATGTGCCACTATCCTGGCACATGGATGAGTTCTTGTTCACTTTCCTGCAAGCCTCCACAAGTGCAGTTGTCCATAGCTCTCTTTACCCCATCCTCTTGGACCTTTTATGGAGACTTCATTGGATAAGCATGATTGAAGCATGGACAACCATGTAAAACGTGACTGGACAAAAAGAGTTTGATCTCATATTAATAGACTGAGTGGGGACATTCAGGCTGTCAGTTCAAATTCTTCTTGGCCTCTCCGCAGCATTTCTGCTTACTGAGTATGAGGCAGGACTCCTGAAATGGGCATCTTATGACCTACAATCCGATACAATAGGTCAGAGAATTTACGGCCAGCAGAAAGACAGAAAAGGGGGAAGATGACTATATATTTTTAGTTTCTGTGGCCTGCCTTGGGGAGAAAAAGGAGCAGGTGAAAGGAGGGGAAGAAAAGGTCAGAGAGAGGTGTTCTATTTTCTGAGCCCTGCTTCTGAGGCCTAAAACGCACCAATATTATAACAAAAGGCTGTCTTACCTTTATCACTCTGAAGTTCCAAAGCTGCTTTGGGAATCAAGGACAAAGCCCAAATAATTTAACAGAAGATATGCTTATTGTTTTAGTCACTTGGGAAATAAGGGCTATGGGAGTTAGGAGCCATGAACCATGGATAAAAACCAATGTGTATATATATATTATAATATCACAGGTATCAGGCGTAAGAACTATTTGCCTCATCCTAGATCCTAAAGGTTTTCTCCTATGTTCTTTTTTTTGAGGTGGAGTCTCGCTCTTTCGCAAGGCTGGAGTGCAATGGCATGATCTCGGCTCACTGCAGCCTCCGCCTCCTGGGTTCAAGTGATTCTTCTGCCTCAGCCTCCCGAGTAGCTGGGACTACAGGTGCGTGCCACCATGCCCAGCTAAGTTTTGTATTTTTAGTGGAAATGGGGTTTCATCATGTTGACCAGGATGGTCTTGATCTCTTGACCTCGTGATCCGCCTGCCTTGGCCTCCCAAAGTGCTGGAATTACAGGTGTGAACCACTGCGCCCAGCCTCCTGGATTGTTTTCTAAAAGTTGTATAGTTTTATGGCTTACGTTTAAGTCTGATCCTTTTTTTTTTTTTTTTTTTGAGACGGAGTCTTATTCTGTCGCCCAGGCTGGAGTGCAGTAGTGTGATCTTGGCTCACTGTAACCTCTACCGCCCAGCTTCAAGCAATTCTCCTGCCTCAGCCTCCTGAGTAGCTGGGATTACAGGCGCATGCCATCACGCCCAGCTAATTTTTTTTGTATTTTTTGTATTTTTAGTAGAGATGGCGTTTCACTGTGTTGGTCAGGCTGGTCCCAAACTTCTGACCTCGTGATCCACGCGCCTAGGCCTCCCAAAGTGCTAGGATTACAGGTGTAAGCCACCACACCCGGCCAAGTCTGATCCATTCTGAATTCAAGTGTACAAGAGGTGAGGTTTTGGTCAGTTTTCCTTATTTTGCTTTTAGATGTCCAATTGCTCCAGCAACATTTGGTGAGAAGACTACCCTTCCTCTTTTGAACTGCTTTTGCATCTTTATCAAAAATCGATTGGAGATCAGGCTTAGTGGCTCATGCCTGTAATCCCAGCTACTTAGGAGGCCGATGTGGGAGGATTGATCACCTGAGGCCAGGAGTTTGAGGTAACATAGGCCTCATCTCTAAAAATAATTTTTAAATTATCTGAGTGTGGTGTCACATGCCTGTAGTCTCACCTCCTCTGGAGGCTGAAGCAAGAGGATCGCTTGAGCCCAGGAGTTTGAGTCTGCAGTGAGCCATGATCACACCACTGCACTCCAGCCTGGGCAGCAGAAAGAGACCCTGTCTTTAAAAAAAAGAAAAAAAAAATCAGTTGGGTGTATCACAGGTGTGGACTCCTCTACATAGTGATGTGATTCGTATAGCACAAGCTCCTTCCCCAGGTATGAAGAAACAAACATTCCTTCAGAGCCCGAAATATACTCCAGATAGTCCCTTTTTTGAGATGGAGTCTCGCTCTGTTACCCAGGCTGGAGTGTAGAGTGCAGTGCCACGATCTTGTCTCACTGCAAACCTCTGCTTCCCAGGCGCAAGCAATTCTTGTGCCTCAGCCTCCCGAGTAGCTGGGATTATAGGCACATGCCACCATGCCCAGCTAATTTTTTGTATTTTTTGTAGACCTGGAGTTTTGCCATGTTGGCCAGGCTGTTCTCAAACTCCTGACCTCAAGCAGTCCGCCCACTTCGGCCTCCCAAAGTATTACCTCCTGAAAGTGACTTGAACCCTTGGACACCACATTTTATGATGAATTATAAAAAGAAATACAAGAGTTGAGTGGGAAGCTGGATTAGTAGTTTTCAAATTATAATTTGTAACCCATTGTTGGGTCGTAAAATCAACTAGGGGATTGGATTCTCAGGATTTTTTTGTTTTTGTTTTTGAATTGCTCATTTGAGATATTTTAAAATATTATAATAGCAAAATCACATTTGATATTTAAAAAGTCAGTTGGGCATTCTTGTGTGGTTCTGTTTCTGGTTTTTCTATTTTATTCCATTGACCTATGTGTCTCTTCCTCCACCAGTACTACACAGAATTGATTAATATAGCTATAAGTCTTGAAATCAGGTAGACTGTTTTCAGACTGATCCCTCCCAATTTATTCTTCCTTGTCATAATTGTTTTTTGGTTTTGTTTGTTTGCTTGCTTGCTTGCTTGTTTTGAGACAGACCCTTGCTCTGTTGCCCAGGCTGGAGTGCAGTGGCACGATCTTGGTTCACTGCAACCTCTGCCTCCCGGGTTCAAGTGATTCTTGTGCCTCAGCTTCCTGAGTAGCTGGGATTACAGGCACGCACCACCATGCCTGGCTCATTTTTTGTACTTTTAGTAGAGACGGGGTCTTGCCATGTTGCCCAGGCTGGTCTCGAACTCCTGAGCTCAGGCAATCCTCCCACCTCCGCTTTCCAAAGTGCTAGGATTACAGGTGTGAGCCACCATGCCTGACCTGTCATAATTTTAGCTATTCTAATCCCATTGCCTTTCCACATAAATTTATCTATGTCTACAAAAAATCTTGTTGAGATTTTGGTAGGATTTGCATTAGACCTGTAGATAAATGTGGAGAGAATTTACATCTTTACTGTGTCACATCTTCCAGTACATGCATACGGTATGTCTGTTCATTTATTTAGATCTTCTCTGACTTTTTTCATCATCCCTTTGTGTTTTTTACGAAGTTTTAATGTATAAGTTCAGTATATGTTTTATTGTGGGGTATTTTCTTAGCTTACTCCAATAGGGGACAGCCTAGCTCTGGTCTACTTGATACTGGCATATACCTTTGTGCAAACGCTCTTCTTATATATACAAAGATGATCCCAACCAGCAGAATCCAACTGCACCATGTATAATGGACATTATTCTCTCATCCCCTCCTGCACAGAAATGCTGGTAATTTCAGTCACTTGCTGATGACTTCTGATGTCCCAGCAAATGTTGGCATTGTTGACTGCTGAGAAGATACTTCTGAGGACCCACGTCTAAGGTGGACTTGGTTCGCACTCTTCTGGTTAGTCCCTGAACAGGAGTGATGCCTCCAGGCAGGTGGCATGCTGCCTATCCAGCTCAGGCCCAGTCTTCGAGGGAGCGAGGGCGGCTTCAGACAGTAAAGAAGGAAGAAGAGGATGAAAGCTATACTCCAGTGCAGGCTGCCAGGCCACAGACTCTCAACCGCCCTGGCCAGGAGCTGTTCCGCCAGCTCTTCAGACAGCTTCGCTACCATGAGTCTTCAGGGCCCCTAGAAACTCTGAGCCGGCTCCGGGAACTCTGTCGCTGGTGGCTGAGGCCTGACGTTCTCTCCAAGGCACAGATCCTAGAGCTGCTGGTGCTGGAACAGTTCCTGAGCATCCTGCCTGGGGAGCTCCGGGTTTGGGTGCAGCTTCATAACCCTGAGAGTGGCGAGGAGGCTGTGGCCTTGCTGGAGGAGCTGCAGAGGGACCTTGATGGGACATCCTGGAGGGTGAGTGTGAGCAAGTGTGTGGTGCCCAGGGAACTCTGCCTGCTAGTGAGCCAGCTTGTCTGGGGATGGGGGTGGCCCTCTAAACTGTCAATATAGAGGAGTGCAGGGGAAGCCTTCCTTTCTTCCCATGGTACCTGAGCAGCTGAGAACGGGACCCTGAGCCACGGACCCTTTAGCAGGTATCCTTTCCTACCTTCCCAGAGGAATATCAGCTCCAGATAGGGTCAGCAAGTCTCCATAAATAACAGCAACTTCTGGGCACAGTGGCTCACACATGTAATCCCAGCACTTTAGGAGGCTGAGGTGGGAGGATTGCTTGAGGCCAGGAGTTCAAGCCAGCCTGGACAACATAGGAGGACCCCCCCACACTGTCTCTATACATAATTTAAAAATTAGGCCAGGCATAGTGGCTCACACCTGTAATCTAAGCACTTTAGAGTCCAAGGTGGGCGGATTGCTTGAGTGCAGGAATTCGTGACCAGCCTGGGCAACATGGCAAAACCCTGTTTCTACAAAAATTAGCTGAATGTGGTAGCATGTGACTGTAGTCCCAGCTACTTGGGGGACTGAGGTGGGAGGATCACTTGAACCCAGGTTAGGTCAAGGCTGCAGTGAGCCGTGATTGCACCACTGCGCTCCAGCCTGGGTGACACAGCAAGACCCTATCTCTAAACAAAAAAGCCCAGTAACTAGTCTTTGGACACAGTGGCTTACAGTATACAAAGTCCATCTCCACATATTATCTAATTTGACTTGAGACTAACCATAGCCCTGTAAAGTGGTGGGTGTTGGGACAGCATTTAGGGTTAGGGCTCTTGGCTTCTCAGTGGGAGAGTACATGTTAAAACTCAGAAGAGCGCTCTGCAGGCACCATGTAGCTTCCTTCTCAGTAAGCTTTTTTTTTTCTTTTCTTTTCTTTTTTTTTTTGAGGCATACCCCACCACTCCCAGCTAATTTTGTTTGTATTTTTAGTAGAGATGAGGTTTTACCATTTTGGCCAGGCTGGTCTCAAACTCCTGACCTCAGGTGATCCATCCGCCTTGGCCTCCCAAAATGCTGGGATTACAGGTATGAACCACTGTGCCCAGCCCTTCTCACTAAGCTTTTGAGGACCTTTTCTATGTGTGTGAGATGGGAGGCAGGGAAGATGGTCATGAGTGCTGAGGGGCAGAGCTGGGCTGAGAAATAGGAAGACCTCGATTTTAGACTTCATTCCACAACCTCAACATCTGTGGCCACATAGTTGTACCTTTCAGAGCCTCTGTTCGTTGAGAAGAAAATGCAGAAATGGTTTAATCGTGAGAATTTGTTCGGTAAATATTCAAGTGCTTATCATGTGCCTGGCCCTGGCAGAGTTGGCAGTCCCAGGCCTGGCAGGAGAGCAGCAGCTGGTCAGTTCAAGTGCGTTCGTTCTTCCTGCCCTTCTCCTGCACACAGGGGAGCTGATGCTTCCTGTATTGTTACAGTTTTTTAAAAAAGCATTTATCACTTTTTTAAGGCTTCTTTATATAAAAATACATGATTCTGGCCAGGCGTGGTGGCTCACTCCTGTAGTGCTAGCACTTTGGGAGGCCAAGGCGGGCAGATCAGTTGAGGTCAGGAGTTCGAGACTAGCCTGGCCAACATGGTGAAACTCCATTTCTACTAAAAGGGCAGAAATTAGCCGGGTGTGGTGGTGTGCACCTGTAGACCCAGCTACTCAGGAGGCTGAGGCAGGAGAATTGCTTGAACCTGGAAGGTGGAGGCTGCAGTGAGCTGAGATTTCACCAGTGCAGTCTAGACTGGGCAACAGAACAAGACGCTGTCTAAAAAAAAAATTAAAAAAAAAAAACATATATAGACATACACTTTCATACATATACATATATATATGATTCTGCACACATAATTCATGTATAAATGAAAGTTGTAGCTTGGCGCGGTGGCTCACGCCTGTAATCCCAGCACTTTGGGAGGCCGAGGTGGCAGATCACAAGGTCAAGAGATCGAGACCATCCAGGCCAACATGATGAAAACCCATCTCTACTAAAAATACAAAAATTAGCTGGGCGTGGTGGTGTTCGCCTGTAGTCTCAGCTACTTGGGAGGCTGAGGCAGGAGAATTGCTTGAACCCAGGAGGTGGAGGTTTCAGTGAGCCGAGATCACGCCACTGCACACCATCCTGGCGAAAGAGCAAGACTATGTCCGAAAAAAAAAAAAAAAAGATTTCTGAAACAAATTTGACATACTTGTCCCTAAAACTTTATTATAAAAATTAAATCAAGTAAGACATCAGGACATGGTCTACCAGCAGTAAATGGTAATAAATAGACACAGGGTATAACTAATAGAAAATATTTTTGCACAACATGGGGTACTATTTTAAAAAATTTAAAAGAGCATTTGTTATTTTTACCAAAACAATGAAATGTTCAAAAGGACCTGATAATAATTTATAAAAGGAAATGAGGTACACAGTAGTTACAAAATCATGGCTTGGTTATATTCAGCTCATTTACAGCTAGATGTAATTTTAAAAATCCATGAAAACATTGCCACATGAGCAGAAAGGGCCTACCTGGTTGAAAGCTACTTAAAAGACAGTGGGGGCTGGGAGAAGCCCCTCAAATTTGGAAAATGAAGAGAAATGCTTTAAGATATATGTAAAGTCACAGAATCGTTCTGTGGTTCAGCAAAATTATCACAGTGTGAAAAACCAGGGCCCGAGAAAGTTTGTCCTTAAACTTGTTTTGCTGTGCTTCCATATTCTTTTTTTTTTTTTTAATTCTTCCTTTATTAGAAGAATAAAAAACGGGAGATAAATTATTGTGGTCAGTTCATCATCTTTAGTGTGTATCTCTGTATCAGATGATTAATGGCCTCAGGCTGAGATTTGTCCATATTGGTATAAAGACTGTCTCGGCCACAGGACCAGAAAATCTCAAATTGTAGTTTCCTGTACTCATCTCTATGTGAGGGACAGCCTTGCCTCAGAGACCAGAGTTATTTGAAGTCTTAGGGCAAATGCTTCCTCTTTGTTGGTCTCTACTTAGATGGACACTGCCATTTTTTACACTGGAGACTTTCTTCTATGGTTCCATGGCTGACTCTCATGATTAGCATTGCCTCTCTATCAGTGTTATTATTAAAAACAAGTTTACAATTTGGGAGCTAGCCTGCCTCTTTGAGTTCACTTTGTACATCAGTGCCTAGAGCAGCACTTGACAGTAGATATTACTTGACTGTATCTCCACTGTGAACCATTATGAGTTTAATTCTCAGGAACTAGTTCCTTCTCTCTCATTTCTAAGTTACAGGCCTGGGGTGGGAGCTGAGGGGTAGTGGGAAGGTGGCACTGTGTCATCTGAGGCCTGACAAGAGTGCTGTACTGAGTTACCATGTGCTTCCTTGTGTTGAGCTGGAGTCTGTCTCTACCTGGACTCTCCCATGACCCTCATTAGAGCCCAAGGAGGCTGAGGTGGTTGGAGGTACCTCCCTGGGCGTTCTTCTTGCCCTTTCCTCCTGCCTGGAAGTAATAAAGGACCTGGCTTACCTATCCCTCGGCCTTTGTCCTTCAGAGATTGGTCATGTGGTCTCTTCTCTGAGTTTGCTTTCTGATTCCCAGAAAGATCCTCTCACAACATTTTCTTCTTGCCAGGACCCGGGCCCTGCCCAGAGCCCAGATGTGCATTGGATGGGTACAGGAGCCCTGCGATCTGCACAGATATGGTCCCTTGCTTCACCTCTCAGGAGCAGCTCTGCTCTGGGGGACCACCTGGAGCCTCCCTATGAAATAGAAGCACGTGACTTCCTGGCTGGGCAATCCGGTACTTGCTGCCTGGCCTTAAGACCCCAGCCTTATGCCACACTTCTTGCATTTCCTGTAGTGTTGTCTTTCCACATCTGTCCTCTCATGAGAATCTCCTTCTGTCCTGGCCCTTAGCTCTCTGTCCTCTCCATCCATTCTATAACCTATATGTGGCTTGCTCCTCCCCCATTACACCCCCCATCCCACTACCCCTTTCCTGGCCCCAGTAGACTGAGGACATGTGAGATGGGTATTTAACAACATTATGTACCTGCTCATGGGTCCAGGAGTCCTCTACTGGGGGGAAGAGTGGGCTTCTCACTGGGCTGTCCAGAGCTGAGCCGCTCTCTCATGGCTTTTTCTCCTTCAGATACTCCTGCTGCCCAGATGCCTGCCCTTTTCCCGAGAGAGGGGTGCCCGGGAGACCAGGTAACACCAACCAGGTCCCTGACAGCCCAGCTCCAGGTGAGCCACAGAACATTTGGTCCTTCCTGATGTCCCCACGTCGCTGCCTAATGGGATAGTGCAGCTTCCCCATCCTGGGTTTCTCTGTCTAGTAATCTCACATCCAAAGACCCGTGTTCCAGAGACCAGATTATCCCCCTCAAGCCCAGAGGTCTTCTGCTGGGTGATGGTCTTCCCTTTCACCTTTGCCAGGTCCATCCTGCACTCACACAGAGCCAGTTTATTCCCCTTCTCTCCCTTTCCACCTCAAAGCTGGGAGCTGTGGACCAGCTCTAGGGCACAGTGTTTTTTCAGGAGACCATGACTTTCAAGGATGTGGAGGTGACCTTCTCCCAGGACGAGTGGGGGTGGCTGGACTCTGCTCAGAGGAACCTGTACAGGGATGTGATGCTGGAGAATTATAGGAACATGGCTTCCCTGGGTAAGTAATCGATATCCTCATGCTTCTATCCATCTTTATTTCTGCCTTCTTGGGTTGTTCTGTGCTGCATAGAAAGGTACCTGACCTGGTTTTAGATCCTGGCTCTGTAACTGCTGACCAGATCACTTAATCTAGCACCTTGGTAGCCTCTTTTGAAAAATGGGGAGAATAATGCCTGCCATTCTGGATTATTGTAAAGATTAAAGGTGGCTGGGTGTGGTAGCTCACACCTGTAATCCCACCACTTCGGGAGGCCCAGGTGGGAAGATTGCTTGAGCTCAGGAGTTTGAGACCAGTCTGGGCAACATAGTGAAACCCCATCTCTACAAAAAATACAAAAATACAAGCATGTGGTACGCACGCCTGTAATCCCAGCTACTTGGGAAGCCGAGGCTGGAGAATTGCTTGAGCCCAGGAGGATGAGGCTGCAGTGAGCCAAGATCGCACCACTGCACTCCAGCTTGGGTAACAGAGTGAGACCCTGTTTCAAAACAGACAAATAAAAACAACGGATTAAAGGTAATATGTTTTAAGTTCCTAGTCTGTTTAGACATTCAAAAAATGTTGGCTGATGTAACCAATTAAGTAGACGTGTGGTTCTCACCTCTGGAAAATTCTAGTAATCCTTTTGTGGGCAACTTCTATCAGTCTCTCTTATCTCTGCTCAGGGCTATTTGAAATGACTGGGCCTCCTTCGCTAGCTTCTGCTGCCTGCCTTCCTGGTCTTTCCCACCTTCCCACCAGGACTTCAGGCCCAGAGGTCCTGAAGAGTAGTTCTGTGTCATCCATCTCCCTTCTCATGCCATTCTCTTCTCTTCTGCAGTGGGACCATTCACCAAACCTGCTCTGATCTCCTGGTTGGAAGCAAGGGAGCCATGGGGCCTGAACATGCAGGCAGCTCAGCCTAAGGGGAATCCAGTTGCTGCTCCTACAGGTGAGTTCCAGAGAACCTGCCAGGTCCTGCTCCTCCTGCTTTTACTTTTCTCTTTCTTAAGGTCAGTTACATCACTGGGAATTTACTCCATTGTTTGCTGGAAGGAAGATCTTTAACAGTGTTGGTAAGGGTGCTTGGGCCACTGGGTCTCTTCCATCCTGGCTGGCCTCCGAGAGGTCATTCATTTCCGGCCATGTCTATTCTCCTGTCCCCTTCTCACAGCAGCCCTCTCAATAATAGTTCTTGCCTGCTGGAGGGCTTCACTGTTCCTGTCTTTCACTCACTGATGCTCCTCCTCACTCCTGGCCTGCACTCCTGCTGAACTCCTGTACTCACCCCTTTCTGCTCTTAGGAGCCCTCATCCCACTCCTGTTCTTTCTTTTCTTGGTCCTTCTTTTTGTAATAGGCTGATCTCCAGCCCTTTCAGCCAAGTGCTCCTTGGAGCCCCACCCCTTGGCTTTTGGGTACCTTTCTATAATGCCATGATTTTTCTCCCACTCTGGCTGTTTAACACTTTCTTCTTAATCCTTTTTATTTCCCTGCTGGATGTGACGTCTGCATATCTCTAGCTGCCCTGCCCATCTTGCTTTTCTTCTCCCTTCCCTGTAATCTGGGATAATCTTCCATGTTTTGCCTTATGTTTGACTATTTTATAAAGGTATTGGCAGTCAGGCAAAAGCCTCACCACCCAGACATTTTATTGCCCTTTGGTGCTTTCTGCAGTTCCAAGTATGGGAAAAGAGTACATTCTCTTGTGTTATATTTTTTGTCAGGAGATGACCTCCAGAGTAAAACAAACAAATTCATCTTAAATCAGGAACCTTTGGAAGAAGCAGAAACCTTAGCTGTGTCATCAGGATGTCCTGCGACAAGTGTTTCTGAGGGAATTGGGCTCAGAGAATCTTTTCAACAGAAGAGCAGGCAGAAGGATCAATGTGAAAATCCCATACAAGTAAGAGTTAAGAAAGAAGAGACCAATTTCAGTCACAGGACAGGAAAAGACTCTGAAGTATCAGGAAGTAATAGTCTTGACTTAAAACATGTTACATATTTGAGAGTTTCTGGAAGAAAGGAATCCCTTAAACATGGCTGTGGCAAACACTTCAGAATGAGTTCACACCACTATGACTACAAGAAATATGGGAAGGGGCTCAGACACATGATTGGGGGCTTCAGCCTACATCAGAGAATTCATAGTGGACTGAAAGGGAACAAAAAGGACGTGTGTGGAAAAGACTTCAGCCTTAGCTCTCATCACCAACGTGGGCAGAGTCTTCACACAGTGGGAGTGTCATTTAAGTGCAGTGACTGTGGAAGGACTTTCAGTCATAGCTCCCATCTTGCGTATCATCAGAGACTTCACACTCAAGAGAAAGCATTTAAATGTAGGGTGTGTGGGAAAGCCTTCCGGTGGAGTTCCAACTGTGCGCGGCATGAGAAAATTCACACTGGAGTGAAGCCTTATAAATGCGATTTATGTGAGAAAGCTTTCCGACGCCTGTCAGCCTACCGTCTGCACCGAGAAACCCATGCTAAGAAGAAATTTCTTGAATTGAATCAGTATAGGGCAGCTCTCACCTACAGCTCAGGGTTTGATCATCATTTGGGAGACCAAAGTGGGGAGAAACTCTTTGACTGCAGCCAGTGCAGGAAATCCTTCCACTGTAAGTCATATGTTCTTGAACATCAAAGGATTCACACCCAGGAGAAGCCCTATAAATGTACCAAATGTAGGAAAACCTTTAGATGGAGATCAAACTTTACTCGTCATATGAGGTTGCATGAGGAGGAAAAATTCTACAAACAAGATGAATGTCGTGAAGGCTTCAGGCAATCTCCTGACTGCAGTCAGCCCCAGGGTGCTCCCGCTGTGGAGAAAACATTTCTGTGTCAGCAGTGTGGGAAAACTTTTACTAGAAAGAAAACTCTCGTTGACCACCAGAGAATTCACACAGGTGAGAAACCTTACCAGTGTAGCGATTGTGGGAAGGACTTTGCCTATAGGTCAGCCTTTATTGTTCATAAGAAGAAGCATGCCATGAAAAGAAAACCTGAGGGCGGGCCATCTTTTAGTCAGGACACAGTGTTCCAGGTTCCTCAGAGCAGTCACTCCAAAGAGGAGCCCTACAAATGCAGCCAGTGTGGCAAGGCCTTCCGCAATCACTCATTCCTCCTCATCCATCAGAGAGTTCACACTGGAGAGAAGCCATATAAGTGCAGGGAGTGTGGGAAAGCCTTCAGATGGAGTTCCAATCTCTACCGACATCAGAGGATTCACTCTCTTCAAAAACAGTATGATTGCCATGAAAGTGAAAAGACTCCAAATGTGGAGCCAAAAATCCTCACTGGTGAGAAACGTTTTTGGTGTCAAGAATGTGGGAAAACCTTTACACGTAAAAGAACCCTTTTAGATCATAAGGGAATACACAGTGGAGAGAAGCGCTATAAATGTAATCTATGTGGGAAATCTTATGATAGAAACTATCGCCTTGTTAACCATCAGAGGATCCACTCTACAGAGAGACCTTTCAAATGTCAGTGGTGTGGGAAAGAGTTCATTGGGAGACATACCCTTTCCAGTCACCAGAGGAAACACACCAGAGCAGCACAGGCTGAACGTAGCCCGCCTGCACGGTCTTCCTCTCAGGACACAAAGTTGAGATTACAGAAGCTAAAACCAAGTGAAGAGATGCCCCTCGAAGACTGCAAAGAAGCTTGCAGCCAGAGCTCCAGGCTCACTGGACTCCAGGACATAAGCATTGGGAAAAAGTGCCACAAATGCAGCATATGTGGGAAAACTTTTAACAAGAGTTCACAACTCATTAGCCACAAGAGATTTCATACTCGAGAGAGGCCCTTCAAATGCAGCAAGTGTGGAAAGACCTTCAGGTGGTCTTCGAACCTGGCTCGGCATATGAAAAACCATATTAGAGATTAGCCTGGGACCTGACAGTGACAGTGGGGGTGGGTTCTCAGTCCCCTGCTAGAGAACCCTTAATTATAGGCATTGTGGAGTAACTTTGATAAAGGGCCCAGCCCTTTCTGTTTTGGAAGCTAGTGACAGAATCCCAAGGATTTGAAAGCTCGGGGAGTCCCCAGCCTGCCTGCTAGGATGTGACGCTGGGGAAGTGCAGCACCATGTCCTTTGGAGCCCTTCTGGAGACTCCGGCCCCTAGGAGTGGCCTCTGCACCATAGCCTGCGGCTCCCCTATTCAGGTCTCCTTCCACAACTCTGAAGAGAGAGACCACTGCCCTTTGTGGTTGGACAGAATATCTGTGGCATCATGGGCTATGGCTGCTGGAAAGGGGCCAGTGGGATCCTAGATTTGTCTTCAAGTTTGGCCTGTGGCCATGCCTATTCTGTTGACTTTAAAAGCAGCAGCATCAAGAACTCCTAGCCTTCCCAAATGCCCCCTGGGGAGTTCTGGCTGGGGCTTCAGCCTTCCTGGCTGGCTTTTGGATATCTGCTAGGGGGTTAGAGTGGTCTCAGCGGCAGGTGGAGGAGAGCAGGATGCTGGGCTCAAGCGCTTGGCGTGTGGATCTCTACCAGTACCCTGTTGCCATCCCCATCCCACAGGCCTGCATAGGCAGCAGCGGTCCATCTGTTTAACAGAAATGTGCTGAGCACTCCCATACACCAGGCGCTGGTGTGTTTGCCAGAGACCCAGCAGGGACCAGAACAGATGAAAATCCTGCCATCTTGGATCTTTACAGATGACAAACAAATGGGATACGCAGTATTCTGGATGGTGATGTGTGTAGTGGACAAAGTGAATCAGAGAAGAGCAGAGGGAGTGCTGGATTGGGAGATCAGTCGTGATTTTAGATAGTCTGGTCAGGGAGGGCCTCAACTGAGAAGGTGAAATGTGAGCAAAGACGTGAAGGAAGCCAGGGAGGTAGCAGGTAGCTCTCTAGGGAGAGTTGCAGGCAGAGGAGATTGGGTCTTGACTGGTGTCCTCAGGAAGGAAGCCCCTGGGATGGAGTGCAGGGAGCCAGCTGGAAGGGAAGGAGAGGGGCCAGGGAGGCCACAGGCCCGGCCATATGAGCATCATGGGTCATTACGGGGGCTTGAGCTGGCTCAGAGGGAGGCAGGGAGCTTTTGGACAATTTTGAGTTGAGGAGTGATGTGGTTTGAATCTGAATTATATTTTATAAGGGTTAACCACAGATCCAAGGACTCAGTAAAAGGGTGAAAGGCTTCTCATGCAGTTAGCCTTGCTGCCAGTTCCCATAAATCAGACTCCTCCCCACTCCGTTTCTGAATTTTCTATAGGATCCTCGGCCTCAGCAGATATAAACGCTTACCATTGTTGTGTTCATGTCTCTAGCCCCTGCACACTGCAGGCCCCTCTCAGCTTCACATACCCCTCTCCATGTATGAGATCTGGTGCTAGCAATCAGATTCAACCCGAAGGAACAAGTGCATGTGCCTGCTGCTCTCAGGAGAAAAGGCAGCCTGTTCTGGGAGGAGCTCCCTCACTGGCCCACCCACTTGTGTTGAAGCAAAAAGCAAGAATCAATTACTTAAAGGCAAAGGAGTGATATTGCTAAAGCATGTGAGTAATCATTGCTTCTGATTATTGAAGAGGTCAGATTATGAATGAAAGGATAAAATGTTTTAATAGTAGAGCAGTGTCCTGACTATAGGGGCCCGTTCATGGAGCTGGTCATTTCTTGAAATGAGAAGAAACCAACCTGGAAGATGTCTTTTTCAGTAGAGTATGGAATAATCTTACCTGCTCTGGATTGCCATGAGCAGGTGAAAATGAAGGCTCTGATATTGTGTGGTGGTGTCACAGGATGGTGGGGGCGGGGCAGAAGTCTCCTGTTGGTGTTCTGATGCCTGTTCAGCTTTGTCCTCAGGAAGGTTTGGTCATCTTGGTTCTGCCATCCTCTTGCCTTCCTACGGCAGCAGCTGTTCATGGCACTGAAGATGTCCCTTCACTGTCCCAAAACTGGCACTAGAAGTGGCTGGGCAGGGGGGCCAGAGTCATAGGAAGGGTCTTGGAGTCATCAGATCTGGGTTCCAGGCATGGTGTGCCTTTTCTTGGCAGGATTGATCTTGAGCAAGTCAATGAACCTCTGCATCAATTTCCTTATGTGTGAAGTTAGAGTGCTTGGCTGTGCTACCTGATTCCTGAGATTGGTGAAAGAGGGCTTGGTTTACCAAGGCTCTCCATCAGGTGGTTGACCTCTAGGACCAGGGCCCTCTCAGAGGTGCAGCTTCCATGTCAGTTGGTGTTGTAACCATGGAAAAGTCCCTTTCCAATCAAACTTTTAGCACCCCTTTCCCCCCATCTCTGCTCCCTTTGCCACAGGATACCTTGTAAAGTTCCTGCCCCAGTATAGGGATATTTTTACTGTCTTTTTTATTTTTTGAGACAGGGTTGCCCAGGGTGGAGTGCAGTGGCAGGATCACAGCTTACTGCAGCCTTGACCTCCCAGGCTCAGGTCCCATCTGAGCCTCCCGAGTAGCTGGGGCTACAGGTGTGTGCCACCCTGCCAGCTAATTTTTTATATTTTTTTGTAGAGACAAAACTTTTATTTTTTTTTCCCATGTTGCTCATGCTGGTCTCAAACTCCTGGGCTCAAGCAATCCACCCACCTCTGCCTCCCAAAGTGCTGGGATTACAGGCGTGAGCCACTGTGCCTGACCTGTCATTTTTATAGAATGAAATGTGCTTATTTCTAAACATTCTAATCAAATTTTAAAATGTGCAAAGAATGAAGTGAAAAACTGAATTTTTTTTTTTTTTTGATACGGAGTCTCACTCTGTTACCCAGGCTAGAGTGCAGTGGCGCGATCTCCGCTCACTGCAAGCTCTGCCTCCTGGGCTCACACCATTCTCCTGCCTCAGCCTCCTCAGTAGCTGGGACTACAAGTGCCTGCCACCACGCCTGGGTTATTTTTTATATTTTTAGTAGAGACGGGGTTTCACTGTGTTAGCCAGGATGGTCTCGATCTCCAGGATGGTCTCGATCTCCAGGATGGTCTCGATCTCCTGACGTCGTGATCCACCCGCCTCGGCCTCCCAAAATGCTGGGATTACAGGTGTGAGCCACTGTGCCCGGCCAAAAGAACAGAAATTATTTTATCCTGAAGTAAGCTGTTTATATTTGGGATTATACTGAACCTATTTGTCCAATAACCTGAGTTTTCAAATAATTTTAGTTCTATAAGTACTATAATTATATAAATATTAATGAATTCAGATTAGCTGAAAGGAAAAAAAGTAGAAGCCTGACTACTTGGTGCTAACTACTAAAGATTTTGGCAGAATCAATGTTGGATTTGGCTTTCCTGTCCCTTCCCCATGCCAGCCCCCCAGAGTGTTCTGCCTTGTGCTGCCTCCCTTCACCTGGAGTGCCACACCCCTCTCTCTGCCAGTTCAGCTCTTCATTCTTCAAGGCCTGACCTTGTCTGACCCTTGTGCCTCTAAACCCGTGGCCCCACCTCTCTTGGTTCCTATGTCAGGTGATGTTTGTGTTTTTGGTTATGCCCATCTCCATAGCCAGACCAAGCACTCTGGAAGCCAGGGTTGGGTGCTTATTTATCTGTTTGCCATGCAGAAAATATCTTGCACAAAATTACCTCTGTTAAGGAATCTGAAGCTGAATTTAGTTTGGCTGAGTCAGGGTTGGGTTTTTTTTAAGGGGCTGTGGGGTGAAATGTTGACTGGAAGCCACCCACAAACACACACCTGCTGGTTAGGAACCCGGCTGTGGGTGGTTCTGAGCTGTTTGGCTTCAGTTGACAGTTTCTGATTGCCCTGAGCACCAGGTCTCATCTTGCATCTCATCCTGGCCTGGAGAACATTCAGTTTCCTTCCAACCCTTCCCACCTTTCCCCCACTCCCTTGGAGGAACTGAAGTTGGGGTTGAGGAGAGCCAGATGGCTGGAGTGGGTATTTGAAGGTCTTTCTGTCACCTGTTCAGTGTGGTCTGCCCCACCCCTGCTGACCAAGACTGACTGAAATGTAAAATAATACAGACCATCTCACACTCAGAAAGCTGGCACATTTTTGAAAGCCCAAGTGTGGGTAAGTGCGTGGAACAACGATAATTCACACTGCTTTATGAGTAGAAATTGTGAGAAATATTGTGCCAGGCAATTTGCAAAATCTTGGAAGGTTGTGTGCACTTAACCACCCAGCAACTACTCCTGGATGCATCCTAGAGAAGTGCCATGTGAACAGAGAATGATTTTAAGACTTCACTGAAGTATTGTTTAGGTAGCAAGATTGGGAAAAGCCTGCATTTCATCAGCAGAAGAATGGATAAATAAATGGGTTGTTTTTGGTCCTTGGAAAGTGAATATGAAAGAGTTACGTCTCAACACAGATAGATGAAAAATTATGCTGAGAAAGTTGGTGAAGCTACATACAAGGTACCCTTAGTGTAAAGTTAAGCATACTGTGTACCTGTGGGCACGTTACTTCAACTTGTTTTTCACTTTTTCTGTAAAATGGGATAGTAGTGGCAATCTCACAGGGTGATTGTGGGTGGGGGGGTGGTCAATGAAGTAATGCATGTAAAATGCTTAGAATAGTGTCTAGCATGTAAGCCTTGTGGACATATAGAAAGTGTTATTGTTTTGCACAGTAATCTATTTTCTGTGGATTCAAATAATATGAAATGAGTATAAAATCATGTATTGGAACGATGTGTGCAAGTCACCATTCTGCCTTCCTAAGGCAGGAGACCTGATGGATTTGGGGAGGGTACATGGGGCCTTCAGTTGTGTTTTCTTTGTTTTTTTCTAAAAATTGATGCAGAGGCATCACAATGTTAAGATTTTTACAGGGTAGTGTGGTGGGTACTTTTTAACTGTTTGCTTAAAGTGTTTCAAAGTAAAAATATTTCTTAAGCATAGTCTCTGACATCTTATGACTTTATAGAAATCCCTGCCAGGTACATGATGTTACTTAGAGTGAGCCACCTAATCTTTCAAGGCTTCCATTTCCTCACCTGCAAAAATTGGGAGTGTCAGAGGCGTTTGAACCAGAGTGACTCCATCTTGAATAGGGAACTGGGTAAAATAAGGCTGAGACCTACTGGGCTGCATTCCCAGGAGGTTAGGCATTCCAAGTCATGGGATGAGATAGGAGGTCAGCACAAGATACAGTCATAAAGACCTTGCCAATAAAACAGCATGTGGTAAAGAAGCCGGTCAAAACCAAGATGGCAATGAAAGTGACCTCTGGTTGTCCTCACTGCTGTAATTATACTGTAATTATAATGCATTAGCATGCTAACAGACACTCCCACCAGTGCCATGACAGTTTACAAACGCCATGGCAGGCCTGGCACGATGGCTCATGCCTGTAATCCCAGCACTTTGGGAGGCCAAGGCGGGCGGATTATGAGGTCAGGAGATTGAGACCAGCCTGGCCAACATGGTGAAACCCTGTCTCTACTAAAAAATACAAAAATTAGCTGGGCATGGTGGCACGTGCCTGTAATCCCAGCTACTTGAGAGGCTGAGGCAGGAGAATCTCTAGATCCCGGGAGTTGGAGGTTGCAGTGAGCCAAGATGGTGCCACTGCACTCCAGCCTGGGTGACAGAGCAAGACTCTGTCTCAAAAAAAAAAAAAAAAAATGCCATGGCAACATCAGGAAGTAACACTATATGGTCTAAAAAGGAGAGGAACCCTCAGTTCTGGTAATTGCTCACACCTTTCCCGGGAAACTTATGAATAATCTACCCCTTGTTTAGCATATAATCAATAAATAACCATAAAAATAGGCAACCAGCAGCCCTTGGGGCTACTCTTCCTATGGAGTAGCCATTCTGTATTTCTTTACTTTCTTAATATTAACTACTTTCACTTTGTGGACTCGCCCGAATTCTTTTCTTGAGCAAGGTCCAAGAACTCTCTCTTGGGGACTGGATCACGACCGCTTTCTGGTAACAGGAGCAATACAAATGGCTATTAGTAAACGAACGCTTAAGTAACTCTAGTACATCTATGATGAAATACCAGGCCACAGTTTTTTTAAAAATGAGGATGTTCTCTATATACTGACGCACAGTCACCAAGACATGCACTTTATAGGAAATTATAAGCTCCTCCTTGCCTAAATCTCCTTAATTTTGCTTAATAAATAACAAGTGAAGCCAGAAGCTGTAAACTCATAATTTTAATGAAGAAATGGGATCCAGAAGATGGAGATGTTTTTCATTCTACTTTATTAGATGAGGAAAAGGAGAGTAAATACTTGTATGCCAGCTACCACACCTTTTAAAGTTAATGTTAACCCTGCTAAGAACAGCAAGGAGATTTTATATCAGCCAGGTTTTAGTTGCCAGAAACCACACCAGTTATTTTAGCAAAGACCTTATAAAGAAGTGTACTATATTTAAGTAGCTAAAAAGGCAAGAAGAAAATGCCAAGGTGTCTTGGAGGTAGCAACTGCTAAGCAGCTGCCACCCCAGGACTGGGGGAGCTAGAATAGAGTCTCCCCATGTTTGACGTTTGTCTGCTAATAGCATTCAAGCTCTCCCCCTCAGTTTGCCTGGATCTGGACAAGCTGATAAGAAAGCCCAGCCACTTCCTCTTTGCGTCAGAGGGGAAGTTCAAACTGTGCAAACCCTGACTGTCAAATGCACTGAGCTCTCATAACCACAACAAAAACCAGAGCCACTTGTTCGTCCTTTCACTGAAGCCCAACAGACTGGCGTGGGTGCCCGCTTTGCTTTCCCTAGAAGGCCTCATGTGAGTAGTAAACTTTTTCATAACCTCTTGGTGTCTGCAGTGTCATCAGTTTCAACATCCGAACCAGTTTTGAGTGATGGTAGTTTATTGATCCCACCTCATGTGGAGCAAAGTGCAAAGCAGGAACAAAGAGACGTGGCTAGAATTGTTGAAAGGTGGGAGATTGGAAGAGGGACCTTGTGGAGCTGAACTCAGACCTATGGTGGAGGAGTGGACTGCTGGGCTGACATAGTGTCTGTGCTCAGGGAGGGGCCCTGTGGCCTTTGGATCTGTGCTTCTGTGGAGAGGTCCCAGCTACTAATGCTGGGGCAGGGAGCAGAAGGGAGGGTCACAATGAGACTTTGAGTGTTAGTTAACCACCTTTTGCCTGAAGAACATGTAATGGCCTTCCCTGAGGTATATGTCTTCCAAAAGTCCGCTGACGTTGCTCATGACCTATGGTCACCACTGCTTTTTGCGTTTTGCTTTTTTTTTTTTTTTTTTTTTGAGACAAGGTCTCACCCTGTCACCCAGGCTGGAGTGCAGTGGCACGATCTCAGCTCACTGCAACCTCCACTTTCCCAGGCTCAAGCGATTCTCCAGCCTCAGCCTCCTGACTAGCTGGGACTACAAGCGTGCACCACCACACCCAGCTAATTTTTGTATTTTTGTAGAGACAAGGTTTGGCCATGTTGCCCAAGCTGGTCTTGAACTCCTGACCTCAAGTGACCCACCTGCCTCAGCTTGCCAAAGTGCTGGGATTACAGGTGTGAGCCACCATGCCTGGAGTCCTTGTTTTTTTTTTTTTTATACTTTTAGGGTACATGTGCACAATGTGCAGGTTAGTTACATATGTATACATGTGCCATGCTGGTGCGCTGCACCCACTAACTCATCATCTAGCATTAGGTATATCTCCCAATGCTATCCCTCCCCCCCTCCCCCCACCCCACAACAGTCCCCAGAGTGTGATGTTCCCCTTCCTGTGTCCATGTTTTCTCATTGTTCAATTCCCACCTATGAGTGAGAATATGCGGTGTTTGGTTTTTTGTTCTTGCGATAGTTTACTGAGAATGATTATTTCCACCTTCATCCATGTCCCTACAAAGGACATGAACTCATCATTTTTTATGGCTGCATAGTATTCCATGGTGTATGTGTGCCACATTTTCTTAATCCAGTCTATCATTGCCTGGAGTCCTTTTAAAAAAATTATTTTTTTGGCCAGGCACGGTGGCTCACACCTGTAATCCCAGCACTTTGGGAGGCTGAGGCGGGCAGATCACGAGGTCAAGAGATCGAGACCATGCTGGCTAACGCGGTGAAACCCCGTCTCTAGTAAAAATACAAAAAATTAACCGGGCGTGGCAGCGGGCGCCTGTAGTCCCAGCTACTCGGGAGGCTGAGGCGGGCAGATCACGAGATCAGGAGATTGAGACCAGCCAGCCTGGCCAATATGGTGAAACCCCATCTCTATTAAAAATACAAAAATTAGCCGGGTGTGGTGGTGTGTGCCTGTAATCCTAGCTACTGGGGAGGCTGAGGCAGGAGAATCACTTGAACCCAGGAGGTGGAAGTTGCAGTGAGCCGAGATCGCACAACTGCACTCCAGCCTGGGCGACAGAGTGAAACTTTGTCTCAATTAAAAAAAAAAAAAAGTGAAGTGCAAAATGTGACTGAGGAGATACAGTACTCTCCAAATTGCATAATTTTGCCAATTTTTATAGAAACCTGGGGAATCTGTAGAGATAGCGTCAGAAGCATTGGAACGAGAGCAACTCCATGTTGAATAGGGGCTGGGTAAAAGTGTCAGAGGTATTTGAACCAGAGCGACTCCATTTTGAGTGAGGGCTGGGAAAATGAGGCTGAGACTTACTGGCCTGCATTCTCAGAAAGTTAGGCATTCCTACCCTCTAGGATTGAATTGGGACCCCTTTCCTGTAACATATTTCTGGTGACCACAGAAGGGACTATAGTGCAGAAACGTTGACCCAACGGCTACCTTTGCGTAAGTGTTGGGGTCCTGTAACATATTTCTGGCAAACCACAGAAAGGATGATACTGAAGAAATCCCCCCAACCCCAAAGAAATAGACTGCAGCACTGATTGGACGACTTTGGGTAAGTGATGGGGTACCCGAGTAACAAATGGGATTGGGTTAGAGGCCCAACTTAGGGGAGTTGGAGTTTCTCCTAAGACAGAGTGAGTTAGAGGCCCCTCTTAATAAAAGGCAAGGACACTTGACTGACCTCAGGTTAGAGGTTACTCCATCCTACTCTATGGAGTAGCTGTCCTTTCACCACTTTACTTTCTTAATAAACTTGTTTTTGCTTTGCACTGCGGACTTGCCCTGAATCCTTTCTTGCACGAGATCCAAGAACTCTCTTAAGAGTCTGGATCGGGACCCCTTTCCTGTAACAAAATGAGGCTGAGACCTACTGGGCTGCATTCCCAGACGGTTAAGGCATTCTAAGTCACGGGATGAGATAGGAGATTGGCACAAGATCCAGGCCACAAAGACCTTGCTGATAAAGCAGGTTGCAGTAAAGAAGCCAGCTAAAACCCACCAAAACCAAGACGGTGATGAGAATGACCTCTGGTCATCCTCACTGCTACCCTCCCACCAGTGCCATGACAGTTTACAGTTGCCATGGCAACATCAGGAAGTTACCCTATATGGCCTGGAGAGGGGAGGCATGAATAATCCACCCCTTGTTTAGCATATCATCAAGAAACCATAAAATAGACAACCAGCAGCCCTCGGGGCTGCTCTGTCTATGGAGTAGCCATTCTTTTATTCCTTTACTTAATAAACTTGCTTTCTCTTTACGGACTCGCCCTGAATTCTTTCTTGTGCGAGATCCAAGAACCCTCTCTTGGGGTCTGGATTGGGAACCTTTTGCGGTAACAAGGGTGCAGGATCATCGTGGAAGGAATATAAAGTCAGATCAAGCTGAATTATTCGATATGGGATAATTAAGCAGAGATTTGTGGTTCATTGTTTTAACTTGAGAAGCTGAGAATGGCTGTCTTCATTTGCTTTGAGTTGTTGAGATATGGACTCACTGTAATCCCAGCTTGGGAGGCTGAGGTGGGAGGATTGCTTGAGGCCAGGAGTTTGAGACTGGCTTGGGCAATATAGTGAGAACTCATCTCCAAAAGAAAAAAAAAACACGAATGCAAACATAACCTGCACTGAATGAGTTGAAATGCGAGAACTTCGTTGGTATACTGTAGAGGAAGATATGTAAATGCTTAAGGAGATAAAAATGCTTGAGTATTTATCATGTAAATACCTGCTCACCCACCCAGGGAGGGTCCAGAGGACACTTCATTATGAGAAATAAATTCATGTAGAGAGTGCCAGATATTCTATACAGGCCACATTACAGTGGGAAATGCTCCCTGAAGTGCAGTGGGGCTGATGGAATCCTGAGGAGGCAGGGACCATATGGTAACACTTAGTCACCAAAAACACAATTGGTGTGGTGACTGCCATGGACAGTGCAGCCAAAGCAGGATCCTGAATGGTCTGACCCACAGAGATCTGTGATGTCTGCCTGCTGATCATAGTGTCCTGAGAACTGAAATGGATGGGCTGCCTACTAAAGTTTTACTTGATCCGAGTAAGTAGGAAAGCTCCAGATCTGGTGAATAAAGTCTGACCTAAATTACCAACACAGAGTTACAATCACTCAGTCAATTCCAAGTCTTGATCTAGTTCACAAACCCACAGCTTCTTGAATAAAGGATAGGCCAGGTCCCTTTGAAGTAGGACCCTGCTGCACTGACAATAATTTATACTTTTTATCTTCCTAGGCCTCCCCAAAGGCACCCAAGGCCATTTATCAGAGTGATTGTGCATTGGGAAGGGCAAATAATTAGACTTTTCTGGGATAACCAGCCTCTAGTTCTGAACTAGCAGTAATTACAGGAGACTCAAAATGCCACCATGGTTCCTCAGAGTAAGAGTGTATGGAGGTCAGGTGATCAATGGGCTTTTTGGCTCAGATTCATCTCACAGTAGATCTAGTAGATTCCTGAACCCATCCTATGGTTATTTCCCTGGTTCTAGAATGCGTAATTAGAATAGACATAGTCAACAATGGGCAGAATCCCACACTAGTTCCCTGATCCATACAGTAAAAGTAATTCTGGTAGAAAAGGCCAAGTAGAAGCCACTAGAGCTGCCTCATTCACAAAAATATTAAAGCAAACTAATACCACATTCCTGGAGAGATTGTTGAGATTAGTGCCACCATCAAAGACGGGAACACATCTCCACTTAGCTCACCTACTCAGCCTGTGCAGAAGACAGATGGATCTTGGAGAATGACAATTGGATTAATTGTAAACTTAATTAACTAGTGATTCCAAGTGCAGGTGCTGTTTCCACATGTGGTTTCAGTGCTGAGCAAACGATACGTCTGACAACTGGTTTGCAGTTGTTACTGAGCCAGGCCCAGGTTTGTTCTGTTCTCACACAGTAAATCAATCACTGTGACATGGGTTTTGCAAAAGAGAGAAGAATTATTCACAAGGCTGTCCAGTGAGGAGATGGGAGAATGGCTCTCAAATTCACCTCCCCAAAGATGAGGCTTAGAGAGATTTATAGGTTAGAGAAGTAGGGTGGTCTGAGGCATGGGGAAAGGTGATTGGCAGTGGGGAAAAATGCAGTCATAATTGGGGTTCATATGACATATGTGCAGAAAATGGTGGCGTTAACATGATCTGAGGGTGGAGTTTTTGGCCCTCTGATGTCAAAAGGCCACCTCTTGGGCATGTGTACAGGCCCAGTTGAAGGGTTGGCAGTCTCAACTGGTTTGAACTGGACAGGATCTGCCCCAAGTTCCTGAAAAATAAGTGGTTGTTATGGTGACTTATAAATGTTATCTATAAGGTAGCACGTAAAAGTTGAGTTACAGTGTTCAATAGCATAGCCTTCAGCTATCGTGGCCTTCAGCTTCATGGGGGAAAAAATAACAAAGAGCAAGCAACCAAAAGCAAGCGGGGCAGGCGAAGTGTGGCACACCCGATCCGATTATCCCCTTGGCTGCCCAGTTACCCATCTGGTGAATGTTTCTCTATACCTGTGAGTAAAGACCATCAGGAACAGTTTGCTTTCAGCTAGATACACCTTCACCACCCTATCTCAAGGCTGCCTCAACTCTGCCGCCCAGCTCATGATCTAGTTCCCAGGTCCTTTGAGAACCTTTTCACCCTCAGGACGACACACTGGTCCATTATATTGATGACATTATAGTCACTGGACCTGGTGTACAGGGAGTAGCAACTGCTCCAGACATGTTGGAAGACACATAATATGACTCAGTGTAGGAAATAAACCCACAACATGGCTAAGGGCAAATAATGTTTCCAAAACTTCTTTCTCTCTTTTTTTTTTCTTTTTTGAGACAGAGTCTCACTCTGTAGCTCGAGCTGGAGTGGAGGCAATCTTGGCTCACTGCAACCTGCACCTCCTGGGTACAAGTGAAGCTGCTTCCTCAGCCTGTTGGGACTACAGGTGTGCGCCACCACGCCCGGCTAATTTTTTTTTTTTTTTTTTTGGTAAAGGCAGGGTTTCACCATGTTAGCCAGCTTGGTCTTGAACTCTTGACCTCAAGTGATCTGCCCACCTCAGCCTCCCAAAGTGCTGGGATTACAGAAGTGAGCCACCAAGCCAGGCCCTTTTTCTCTCTCTTTCCAATAGTTACATTCTATATGTTTAAAAGGGACACGAGACAATTTTGTATGTGATTTTCTGAATCACATAATTCCACATTTAACATTTTGGGGAAATGCCAAACTGTTTTCCAAAGGGGCTGCCTGGGAGTCTCAGCTCTAGTTCTCAGTCCTCAGCAGCCATTCCTTTCCTCAGTGGGGCGTCAGTGCTGCCTTCCAAAGTCCAGGGCTGCCTTGAGACCTGATCAGGACCGGCTATTTTGCCAGGTGCAGTGCATGATGTTCAAGACCATTCAGAATTTCAAGACCCTGACAGCAGAGCAAGATAGCAGGCGGAGGCCATTCTAAGTGTGGGGCCCCGCAGGGCTGCCCAGGCTGCCTGCCTGTGAAGCCAGTCCTGCCTGATGGAGATGCTTTTGCCATGGCGTGAGGGAAAGTGAGCTGATGGTTCTCCACTTTCCCACTCTCTCTCTGCAGGTCCGGCTCCTCTAAGGGCAGAAGCCAGAACTTGGTCCCTGAACCTTCTCCAGTCTCCCTCCCTGGGCATTTCTCTCATAACCCCATCAGACCCCCCAGTAATGGCCTGACGTGGGTTCTGGAAATAGAACATGGGTTCTTAGAATGGCTCTCTGAGACTTCATTGAGTTGTCTGTCCTATTTCTTTCCTCAACAAAATGTCCACATCCTCAATCTCCTGTCTCAGCAGGAAAGATGAAAAGAACAGTGAGGCTTAGGCCAGGCACGGTGGCTCACACCTGTAATCCCAACACTTTGGGAGGCTGAGGTGGGCAGATCACCTGAGAACGGGAGTTCGAGACCAGTCTGAACTCCCTGTCTCTACTAAAAATACAAAAGTAGCCAGGCGTGGTAGCGGGCACCTGTAAATCCCAGCTACTGGGGAGGCTGAGACAGGAGAATCGTTTGAACCTGGGAGGCGGACGTTGTGGTGAGCCGAGATAGTGCCACTGCACTCCAGCCTGGACAACAGAGCGGGAAAAAAAAAAAAAAAGAACGATGACCCTTAGCATCCCAGGAAGCTTTGGGTGGTGAGAGATGGAGAGTATCTCCTTCCTGTGGTACTTCAGTTTCCCGTCTCCTTGTTAGGATGTTGCAAAGCTGGCCTGCTGAGGTCTTCTGTGATCTCCTGTGCTTCCTACACTTCCACCTGAAAATGAACCTACTGCAGGGATGAATCCATGAGCAGAATTTTAATGAAAAGGAAGCAGACACAAAGGAATCCATGGGTTGTAACTCCACCGACTTAAAATGAAAAACACAGGCAACAAAGAACAGGCACGATGCTGCTTCGCCAGCTGGTTCCTTGTTGGGTTCTGCCATTCAGGGATGTAAGAGGGAAGCTGGGATGTTGGAGGACTGGAGTGTGAGGGTAAATTTTAGGTGTCAACTTGGCTGAGCCACAAGGTCCCCAGGTATTTGATCAAACATTATGCTGGGTGTTTCTGTGAGGTTGCTTTGGATGAGATTAACGTTTAAATTTGTGGACTTTGAGGAAAGCAGATTGCCCTCTATCTGTGGGTGGGCTTCATCCAATCACCTGAAGACCTGAGGAGAACATAAAGTCTGGCTGCCCCAGACTCTCTCTCAGGCAAGAGAGAATTCTTCCGCAGACTGCCTTCAGAGTTCATGCACACCATCTACTAATCCTGCTCCACAGCAGGTGCCACTGGGCTCTCACTGGAATATGTATTCTCCTGGTTCTCCAGCCTGCTCATCCACCCTGAAGATTTGGGACTTGCCAGCCTCCTTAATTCTATAAGCCAATTCCTTATCATAAATTCATAAATCCCTCTCTCTCTATCTCCATCCACACACACACACACACACACACACACACACACACAGACACACACACACAAATGAGTGTAGATGTGTTCCAATAAAACTTCATTTAGAGACATTGAAATTTAAATTTCAAGGGCTGGGCATGGTGGCTCAACGCCTGTAATCTCAGCACTTTGGGAGGCTGAGGCAGGTGGATCACTTGAGGTCAGGAGTTCGAGACCAGCCTGGCCAACATGGTGAAACCCCGTCTCTACTAAAAATACAAAACATGTAGCCACGTGCAGTGGCTCATGCCTGTAATCCCAGCTGGGAGGCTAAGATGGGAGAATAGCTTGAACACAGGAGGCAGAGGTTGCTGTGAGCTGAAATGGTGCCCAGAAGACAGAGCGACCCTGTCTCAAAAAAATAAAAAATAAAAAATAAATTTCATATAATCTTCAGATATATTCATTCATTTACATATTGTCTGTGGTTGTTTTCACCCTTTAGGTCAGAAGTAGCCGACAACCTTTACACAGTATTTACCACTGTTATAGACATCTTTAAATATGGTTTACTTTTGCCTGTTTTTGTACTTTATAGAAATGAAGTAATAAAGTATTGTCTGTCTTGCATTTTTTGCTCAAAATTACGTTTGTCAGTTTTATGTATGTCATTGCATGTGATGATGCTGTATTTTCATTATATCATGGTATTCTGTGTATGATGATACCACTGTGGAGCTCTAGCCCACTCTTTTTTTTTTCTTCTTTCTTTCTTTTTTTTTTTTTTTTTTTTTTTTTTTTGAGACGGAGTCTTACTCTGTCACCCAAGCTGGAGTATAGTGGTAGTATCTCGGCTCACTGCAACCTCCGCCTCGCAGGTTCAAGTGATTCTCCTGCCTCAGCCTTCCAAATAGCTGGGATTACAGGCATGCGCCACCATACCCGGCTAATTTTTGTATTTTTAGTAGAGACGGGGTTTCACCATGTTGGCCGGAGTGGTCACGAACTGCTGACCTCAGGTGATCCACCCGCCTCAGCCTCCCAAAGTGCTGGGATTGCAAGCATGAGCCACCGTGCTCAGCCATCCAGCCCACACTTTATGGACATTGGGCTCTGCCTAGTTTTTGTCCTGGCTCACTGGGGATGGCCTATGTCCAGCTCTATGAAATTTGTAGCAGGCCTTTGAGTTCCTTTTAGCAACGCTTGATTGTGCCAGATCTCTCCATGTTCACTAATATCATAGGCTTGCTATGAGAAGCAACACCCAAAATCTTGTCTTTGCTAGCAGCACCAGGGCTATCTCCTACAAAGACTGCCTCTTCAGAGCCACAGCTCACAACTGCCTTGGCTGGGGTGTATGAGTGGCTGATTTTTTTCAAACTTGCAAGGCACCAAATTATTCAACTGTTTGTGTGTGGCAGGCCAGTCAGGGGTTACCTACATTAACAACACTCTGGATCCTTCTAGCTCTCCTTGCACACTGGCAAGCTCCAGCCAGAGACCACTTTTCTCACAGGACTTTGTTAAAAGCAGCCAAGGAGGAGCCAACAAAACCAGCATTCTGGATTCTTGCCGTTTTCCTAATGCCACAGATTTGGTCAAATTATGATCCACCCTCCAAGCTAACACAGGCTGCAACCTGGCCAAACATTTTACATGAGGTGCCAGCCTCCCCATCTCGAGGACGGGGATACTGCTAAACATTCTACACTGCCCAGTGCTGTCGCAACAACAAGGAATTATCCAGTCCCAAATGTCAAGAGTGCCAAGATTAAGGAACACTGCTTTATTTTATTTTATTTTTTTTTTTGAGACAGAGTGTTGCTCTGTTGCCCTGGCTGAAGTGCAGTGGTGCTATCCTAACTCACTGCAGCCTCAAACTCCTAGCCTCAAGTGATCCTCCCACCTTAGCCTCCTGAATAGCTAGGGCTACAGGTGCGTAACACCACACCCAGCTAATTTTTTAAAAACTTTTATGTAGAGATGGGGGTCTTGCTAGGCTGGTTTGAACTCCTGGCCTCAAGTGTTGCTTCTGTCTCGGCCTCCCAAAATGCTGGAATTACAGGCATGAGCCACAGTGCCCAGACCAAAACCGTTCTTTAGCAAGACATTCCTGTAGTCCAGGTCTGCTCATGGTAAACTTTTTATCTTGAAAGTCTTCATAGTTCCCTAATTGTTGAATAATTAGCTGAACGTACAAATCTGAGATGTCTGATTTTTTTCAGTATGTTAATGATACTATTTCATTAAATTTTATCATTTTTAATTTCAATTCATCAGATATTTTCCCTAGCAGCTTTCAAGGTTTATCTTCAGTGTTTCATGCTTTTGCTACAATGTAACTAAGTGTGGATGTTTTCAATTATCCTCTGTGGGATTCAGTGGCATCCCTCACTCTGAGAATTCCTGTTTTCCATCAATTTTGGGAAATTCTCAGCTTTATCTCTTGGATGTAGCCTCCCCTTTCCCTGTGTGATCTCCTAGAGCCTGTCTGTGCTCTGTTGGAACTTTTCCTTCAAATGTCCTGTCACCCATCTCTGGACTCCTTAAGGAAGATTGCACTTCAGATCTTGTTTGAGTTCACTTGGCCCCTCTGCTACCTGCATCTTATCTTTTTTGTGCGTGGGTGATGGAGTTTTGCTCTGTCGCCCAGGCTGGAGTGGCGCGATCTCAGCTCACTGCAACCTTTACTGCGCCCGGCCTGCTAACTGCATCTTATCTGATGTTTAATCTGTCCCTTGAGTTTTTATTTCTAATGATATTTTTCATCTCCAAAATGGGAAAAGCACATGTTAGCACAAATAATGAAACACTGGATATTGTTTTCTAAGGAATTTATTTGAAAGAATTATATCTATGGAAAATAAATATTCCAAAAAAGCTCTGAATTTTAGATGTTGAGATATTTCAAAGGTCAAACCAGGCCACGATTTGTGCTGGGTTGAAGGCCTGTGAGGACCCCATGTGGGACCCCCTGTGTGACGATCACAGCCTGGAGGATGACCTTCTGGGGGCTGAAGGGCATCACATTTTTGGACAAATCATAAATGTAGGAAAGCTCTGGGGCTGGTGGGAGTGGCTTGGGGGATGGGAAATGTGGGGCTCAGTGGCATAGGGAGTGGTACCTGTGGCCCACGCTTTCGGGGAGGGCCTGGGAGGGGGAAGCGCAGGATGCTTGTGTCAGGCAGTAGCAGAGGGCTCCTGGCATCAGCAGGCACCGGGCCAGTGCTTCTTGGGCCACTTTCTCTTAGGCAGCAGCAGGGGGTGTCCCTGGACTCCGTGCCTGTGTGGGAACACGAGATGGGCCTCTGGGACAGGGAGGAGCCACCTCCCCAGCACCACATCCAGACAGGGGTCCACATTGCAGGATCCGCAGAGAAGCAGGAAATGGTGCAGGAGGATCTAACCTGGATGCAGGGTAGGTTATTTGTTCTGTGACTTCATTTGCCCACATGCATGTGAGTAGAGGCTTGTTCCTTGACCCCAATTGACTTTTAGACATCTGAAGGAGAGAAAAGACAGCCTAAGTGAGTTCTCCATCAGTGGGCAATAGAGGAACTCACCCTCATGCTGCACACCTTCAAAGAAACTGTGTGGTCTGTGGACTTCAACAAACTAACCCATGCTCCAGGGGTACAGACTTTGTCAGACAATTTAAAAGCTTTCCCAAGAATAGGAGAGGGCTCATAAGCTGTCCCAAGTGAATTTCTAGGTTTGAACAAACCTTCAGTAAGAAACACGGTGGACACCTCCAAGTCATCCTCTCCTGACACACGTTTGCCAAGGTCCATTTCCTATGAATTGATAGGTTCTATTAGTTTTTATTTATTTATTTATTTTTTGAGACAGAGTTTCACTCTTGCTGCCCAGGCTGGAGTGCAATGATGAGGTCTTGGCTCACTGCAACCTCCGCCTCCCTGGTTCAAGTGATTCTCCTGCCTCAGCCTCCCAAGTAGCTAGGACTACAGGCGTGTGCCACCATGACTGGCTAATTTTTTGTATTTTTAGTAGAGAGGGGGTTTCACCATGTTGGCCAGGCTGGTCTCAAACTCCTGATCTCAGGTGATCCATCTGCCTTGGCCTCCCAAAGTGCTGGGATTACAGGCATGAGCCACTGTGCCCGACCGGTTCTGTTACTTTTATAAGGCATGAAGGGATAATCCTTCCTGGTGAAATCTGAAAGTCCTTACCTTCTAGGTTACTGAGGTTTCGAGGTCTGGGCAGCCGATTGGCTGTCTGATGTGAGGTGGAGAAGATGGGCCTGGTCAAAGGGGCAGCCTTTGGATTGGAACTGGATGCCCAGTCTGTCTGGGAGAAGGAAGGCAGTGAAGGGAAGGACCACGAAAAGGAGTGGCAGAAGACTGGCAGTCCCTTCACCCCACAGCCCTCTGCTTCATTCTCTGGCAGCTGTCCCTGACCTTTGTGACATCGAGGTCCCAGCCAATCACAGCACTCACTCCTGCTGTCCCAACAGCCTCCAAGGCAAATCTCTGGAGACTCCACCCACTGAGCTCCTCCCCTGGGGTTCTCTAAGCACTCTGAATTTGTGGACAAAAGCCCCTTTACTACCAGCATAACTACATACTTCACTTTCACAAGTTGGCATGCCTGGGTGAGGGCAATTATTTTAGTCATATGAGCTTCGATTTCTGGGAGAGTCAAGTCAATTCAGTTTTTGAGAGTGCTCTATATTTCAAGGGTGAATTTATATCTGTTATTTTACTTTATTTATTTATTTTTGAGAAAGGGTCTCGCTCTGTCATCCAGGCTGGAGTGCAATGGCATGATCTCGGCTCACTGAAGCCTCCGCCTCCTGGGTTCAAGCGATTCTTGTGCCTCAGCCTCCCGAGTAGCTGGAACTACAGGCGTGTGCCTCCACGCCCAGCTAAGTTTTGTATTTTTGGTGTAGAGATGGGGTTTCACTATGTCGGCCAGGCTGGTCTCTAACTCCTGGCCTGAAGTGATCCACCTGCTTTGGCCTCCCAAAGTGCTGGGATTACAGATGTGAGCCACCATACCCGGTCAAAATTTTTTATTTTAAATAAGTTATGGAAATGATGAAAACATTTCATTTACAAAATAAATGTGGGCCGGGCGCTGTGGCTCATGCCTGTAATCCCAGCATTTTGGGAGGCCGAGGCGGGTGGATCACCTGAGGTCGAGAGTTTGAGACTAGCCTGGCCAACATGGTGAAAACCCATCTCTACTAAAAATACAAAAAATTAGCTGGGCATGGTGGCACACACCTGTAATCCCAGCTACTCGGGAGGCTGAGACAGGAGAATCGCTTGAACCTGAGAGGTGGAGGTTGCTGTGAGCCGAGATTGTGCCACTGCACTCCAGCCTGGGGACAGAGTGAGGCTCCATCTCAAAAATAAATAAATAAATAAAATTAATGTAGGAAATTTAGGAAGTTTGAATTATAAGAAATCTAATTTTGGTCTGGAATAAGCCAAAATATTGTACTAACATTTTTTAAAAAAATAAACTAATAAGGAGTGAATCATGCTAACATTTTCCTTTATTTTGAAGTTGGCGTCTTTTCTTTTGTCATAGCTAGTTTAAAAGGTTATCAGGGAAATACATTTTCTAGTGTCCATAAAAAATAGTTCAATAACTTTTTTCTTTAGACAATTTAGACTTTACCTGAACTAAAAATTCCTAGAATATATGCATAACGGCTGAATGTAATTTTTGTTAAGTCTTTCATTTTGTTAAGTTTTCAAAAGAGGGAAAAGGAGAGGAAATGGGATAGAAAAAAAATGAGAGGGAGCTGGCTTTAGACAAATAACTAATCATTTTTCTCTGTAAGAAGAGGGATGAAAGTTTAGACATATATACAATACACACACGAGAGTGTCCTATATCTGGTTTTGACATAATTTCAGTTTGTGACAATTCTATCAAGCCATACAATTTTTTAAAAGCCAGAATGTATTAATCTCCAACTTATGGAAAGGAAGGAAGTGATGCCTCCCTGTGAAACAAAATGATCTGTCATTTAGGCAAACAAGACAAAGATTTTCCTCATGAGGGGTCTTTTATTCTTGATATCCAGAGTCTCCTTAAAATGTTTAGCCAAGCCCAGGTGCAGTGGCTCATGCCTGTAATCCCAGCACTTTGGGAGGCCAAGGCCGGTGGATCATGAGGTCAGAAGATCAAGACCATCCTGGGTAACATGGTAAAGCCCTGTCTTAGCTAAAAATACAAAAAAAATTAGCCGGGCATGGTGGCGGGCGCATGTAACCCCAGCTACTTGGGAGGCTGAGGCAGGAGAATGGTGTGAACCCGGGGAGGCAGAGCTTGCAGTGAGCTGAGATCACGCCACTGCACTCCAGCCTGGGTGACAGAGCGAGACTCCATCTCAAAAAAAAAAAAATGTTTAGCCAAATATTGATGTTTATGCAATAGAGTGATTTGCCAGCCAACATTTTTGTTTACCCAACATAGTGACAGTTTTGGACCTGAAGCCTTTCACAAAATGTGGCAAGGGCATTGGAAATGTCAACATTTTAAAGATGCTTGGTCGGGCACGGTGGCTCATGCCTGTAATCCTAGCACTTTGGGAGGCTGAGGTGGGTGGATCACTTGAAGTCAGAAGTTTGAGACCAGCCTAGCCAACATCGTGAAACTCCATCTCTACTAAAAATACAAAAATTAGTTGGGCGTGGTAGCACAGGCCTGTAATCCCAGCTACTCAGGAGGCTGAGGCGGGAGAATCACTTGAACCTGGGAGAAGGAGTTTGCAGTGAGCTGAGATGGTGCCATTGCACTCCAGCCTGGGCAACAGAGTGAGACTCCATCTCAAAAAAAAAAAAAAGAAAAGAAAAAAGAAAAAAAAGATGCACATGAGGGAAAAGATGCTCCTATTTCATATTAGTTATAGCTAAAGAATATTTTAGAGAAGCATTTTTTGAGTCCAAATTGTGTTTAGGAGCCTCCTCATACCAATTAAAGACAGCAGACCATTGGATATTCAGAATTTTGCTTTGTTTTTGTTTTGTATATATCAGAGTTTCCCCAAAGTGATCACTATAATTCTAAATTATCTTTGGGGAAATTGTACCAGTTAGAAAGCTATGCACATGAAGGGAGCCGGTGTTTGGCCTGAAAGAGGCTGAGTTTTCGATAGAAAAGACTCCATGGGAACTTCAGCGTGTCCACAGGGTGGTACTTGTGTGACACTGCGTCTTGGAGCCAGCCAAAGACTAACCAGCATTCAGGGTTGTCCAAGGCTTGGAAGACAAAGCCCTCAAAGCACACTGATCAAGAGCTGGACGCCATGGTGGGGGCAATAAGCTCTTAAGCTTGCCAATATTCACAGCAAGGGGGTTTCCAAGATCAGCTGGGGGAAGGTAATGGAATGAGTTAGAGTTTCCTGGGGAAACTGCCCCTGTGTGGACCGAGGTGGAGAGGCCCTGGGGAGGAAGGGAGGAAGCACACCTGGCCTCACCAAGCACACTGCCAGAGCAGGTGAGCTGAGCCAGGGAGGGAAGAGGGGACAGAGGCTTCTCCTTCACCTTAGCAATGGCCTCATGCTACGGACAGGCCTGCAGCAGTCTCTGGGAAGGCCCAAGGCTACTAGCACCAATGGGGAAAGGCTGCTGGGCAAGCCCCTGGGGGCTGGGAAGGGATTCATTTCTCACTAAGCTCCAGCAGCCCTGTGGACTGCCCCACATCGGGTGGGCACCATCAGGCAGGTGAGGAGAGGAGAAAAGCCTGCTTGGGTGACCTGGGGCCAGCCCAGGAGGACGACTGTTCCATCTTCTGCCAGCACCATGGGCTGGCTCCATGGGACACACAGCAGCCGCTGGGTCCATAGAGTGGGGAACGTGGTGAGGATTCAAGGTGGGCCTGGGCTGGGCAGTCCCAGTAAGCAGCTGGTGACATGGGGAGCTGCATCTAATTCTCAGGGAGACCAGGGTGTGAAGAGGGTGTGAGGCCCAGCAAGCCAGACCCAGGGGAGTAGGGAGGGGATCACAAGATGTTCCTGATCCAGGTAGCCCTGGCTACCATTATACTGAGCACAAACCAACCTTGTCAGAGGACATTGCCCCTTGTTTATAAATTTGGGTTCTAGAAAAAAACCCCGATGCTGTTTTTTGGAGCCATGTGATGGGACTGCTGGAAACCAGGCAGGGAAAGGCAATGGCAGGCACACTTCCAGTTTTGGGGCATCAGGCACTGTGACAGCGAGGATGGTGCAGGGGTGAGTGGGGAGCTGCCCTGCAGGGGTCTGAGATCACCAGGCAGAAGCTAGGCTGGGATAGGGCGGGAAACGCATTACACAACAAAGATTAGATTGCAGGGGCCCCAGCCTTCTAATGCCCCTCCTGCTCTCTGAAGCTCCCTCCACAGACTCCTCCACCCCAGAACCTTCCGACAGGTAAGCTTCAAACCCTTCATACCTATCCAGTTCCCTAGCTCCTGGCCAGCCTCTAACTGTTCAGCCCCCGAACCCCCTGTTTCCACCCACCCTGAACCAGGGGATCTCTGCAGGTTGTGCTGACTCCCCCATGGCCTTGTGGCCACCAGGGGATGCTGGGGAAATCCTCTCCACCTGAGCAAATCAGAACTTCCTGTAGGACACAGGTGTCAGGATCAGCTTCTGGTTGAGCTGGTTGATATTCTAGGTAGCGCACCTTGAAGTTTCTCAGGATTGACAGTCATTGTGTCTGTTCTAAAGAAGGTGAAGGAATTTGATGGAAAGAAAGTAGGAAGAGTCGCCCAGACTTGCAGGCTGCCTCCTGTACTTATTCTGAGAACGTGTTCACATGGCATAGGCGTTTCCTTTTGTGGCCATTTGTAAGAATGGGAAATGAATGACTTTTTTTTTTTTTTTTTGAGACGGAGTCTCACTCTGTCACCCAGGCTGGAGTGCAGTGGCGTGATCTCGCCTCACTGCCAGCTCCGCCTCCCAGGTTCACGCCATTCTGCTGCCTCAGCCTCCCAAGTAACTGGGACTACAGGCCCCCGCCACCAAGCCAGGCTAATTTTTTTGTTTTTTTTTTAGTAGAGACAGGTTTCACCGTGTTAGTCAGGATGGTCTCAATCTCCTGACCTCATGATCCACCCGCCTTGGCCTCCCAAAGTGCTGGGATTACAGGTGTGAGCCACTGCGCCTGACCAGGAAATGACTTATTCTTACAAATGACCACAGGTGTGGCTGCTTGATACAACACCCATTTATTTATTATTTATTTATTAATTTATTTAGAGACAAGGTCTCCCTCTGACATCCAGGCTGGATGGAGCGTAGTGGTACAATCTCAGCTCACTGCAGCCTTGACCACCCCAGGCTCAAGCGATTCTCCCACCTCAGCCTCCTGAGTAGCTAGGACCACAGGTGGATGCCACCACACCTAGCTAATTTATTTGTATTCTTCTTCTTATTATTATTATTATTTGTAGAGATGAGTTCTCCCTGTGTTGCCCAAGCTGGTCTGGAACTCCTGGGCTCAAGCAATCCTCCCACCTCCCAGTGTTGAG
Source organism: Homo sapiens (assembly GCF_000001405.40). Taxonomy (NCBI): domain Eukaryota; kingdom Metazoa; phylum Chordata; class Mammalia; order Primates; family Hominidae; genus Homo; species Homo sapiens. The sequence continues at coordinate 44,422,859 of NC_000003.12, read as the reverse complement.
ATTATAGGTATGAACCATCGAACCAGCCACAACACCCATTTATTATCTCATACCACTGAAGTCCCTAAGTCAGCAAGTGTGGCTCTGCTTAGGGTCTCACAAGATTAACATCAAGGTTTTGTCTACCTCCAGCTTTTATTGGGAGCTCTGGGGAACATCCACTTCCAAGCTCATTTTGTTGACACAGTTTCCAGTAAGCCCTTTCCATTGTCAAGCCAGCAACAGTGGGTTGAGTCCTTCTCATGCTTAGAATCTCTCTCACTTCTCCTGCTGCTGCATCTATCTCTGTGATGCCAGTCAGAGAAAGCTCTCTGCTTTTTAGGGCTCGAGTGATTAGATTGGGCCACTTGCATAATCCAGGATAATATTCCTAGTTCAAGGTCCATAATTTTAATTACATCTGCAAAGTCCCTTTTGCCATATAATGAAACACAGTTGTGGGTTCCAAGGATTAGGGCAGGGCCATCTTTGGGGGACAATTCTGCTGACCACACATGGTCATGTTTGTGTAAAATTTGCAAGAGTGATTTTTTTGGTCTTCTTTTGTATCAGATTCTCCATCCTTCTCTTAATTGAAGATTGTGTTTTTCAAGCTATGGTTCATCATTGCTGCTTTCCTTACAAAATGAATTCGAATGGCAATCAGCATTTTCTTAAGGAATATAGTAGATTTAATTACATAAAAAGAATTGAAAATATCAGAGACTATTGTACATAACTATTTACGTTCCATGAAATTGTTAGTATACACACACATCCCTGAACTAGGTCAGGACGTAAAGTATACTTAGTATACTTGGTTAAGATGAAAATATTTTGAAAAGACCATTTAAGAAGAAAATGACCCTAGAATTCATCTGGAGCTTCCAGTTAGGAGGCTAGAGCTTCCTGTTCCAGGAAGGCTTGGTGCTCCGGGAGAGAGTGAGTCCCCTGGTGAAAGGTTCAGGCTGAGGGAAGCCCAGGCCCTGGCAGTTCCCCCTGACCCTCCACCCGACATATGGAGGCTGGAAGGCCCACCTGTGTTGTCTCACTTTTCTCCCTTTTAGGTATGTCTAGAGGTCAGTTTGGACAGGGACAGGAACCTCTAGACATGTTTTTCTGGGTGAACGAGATAAGCGGAGAAATCACCTACCCCCCGCAGAAGGCAGATGCACCTGCTGTTTCTCCTGAGAGCCCACAAAAGAAGCCCCCATTTCAGCCCAGGAGTGTGCAGGAGGCTCCTTGCAGTCCCCAGGGCCCGCCTGCACAGAGGCCTGCCCTTGCACCTCCATCTAAGCCTTCTCTGAAAGACTCAGGCTCAAGAAACCCCTGCCCATCTGCACCCACCTGGGCCAGGCCAAAGCCGGAGGAGTGAGGAGCCCCCACCGTTCTCAGCAATCCCTGTCACCATCTCATCACCAGGAGTGACTCTGCCCATACTCGGACCCCTGGGACCAGCCCTTCAGCCACCGGTCTCGACCTCTCCTCTCAGCCCTTCTGCACCCTGGGCCTTCACCTGCAAGCTGAACAATGTCCTTACTGGGAATAACTGGTTTTCCTTTTGAATCTTAAGAAAATTTGTCTGGCTACACTCTTTAAGCACCTTCCTGAGCCACCCGTGGCCAGGCTCTGCTGGCCGCATCTGCCTGGCCCCATCTACCTTCCCTGGAAGCACAGGACTCACCCCAGGGGTCTCACAGGAACATGCCCAGTGCTTTCAAACCCAGTAAAATTTTACTTAGATTTTGACATAACGTTTCCTAGAGCTTCCCTTAACTTCCTTTAAAATACCAAGCCATCTTGGTATTTTACTCTTAATTCTTTGGGCTTCTGACATTGGTGTCAAAGCAATATGTTTAGTTTCCAGCCAGAGCCAGGAGACCTCCTTGGGTGGGAATGGGAACAAGCCAGGATGACGGACCTGCAGGCCCAGTGTCCCTGGGGCACAGCCTGGGGCCTCCTGGGCTTGAGGACAGCACTCAGGGCAGGGAGGGGCTGGGGCCCTGCATGGAGCTCCCTTTTGAGACAGCCTGAGGCTGGAGGAAGCTAGCAGTGGACACCACACTTTTAGGTAGGGTCACCCCCATCCCCAGCTCTGTGCTTTCTCTGGGTACTGCCTTTCAGCCCTCCAGGCATGGAGTGACTCAGGCAGTGTGGGAAGCAGCCCCATCACAGACCTGGCCCTCCTTGATCAGGCTGGTTGAGGGCTGGAGGAAGCCTCGGGGGTACAGGAGTGCATCCTGGGGGAAGGACACAGACCTGGCCTGGGCACACAGAGTGACCTGGTTTGAGGAGGAGCTGCTGGAGAAGCCCCACTAGTGTCCCTGAACAGGTGCTAGGTGGCTCCAAGTTGTACCGGAGCAGCTCCAGGTGAAATGCGTCATCAGGATGGACTTCAAGTACATCAGGAACACTAGAGAGGAGTGGGGCATGCAGAGCAACGGCAGGTAGGTGTGGCCAGAATCGGACGTGCAGCCTGGCCGGCATCGCTGAGCATTAGCCAGCCTTGCAGTGCATCCTCGGCTTTGCCAGTGGAGCACTGTGCCCTGCCACGAGGAGCTTGAGTTGCTGGGTACCAAGGAAGTGGACTTCTGAGGGCAAGGAAGAACAGAGCTACCTAAAAGAGGAGATCCTGGTGCTCCCGGCTCATGGGTGCCTAACCACAGAGTCCTGGTGGAGAAACACCCTCCCCTGCCCCTCAGCAGGCTGCACCAGCCCAGCCCTGGAATCATCACACCCAGGCGGCTCCCAGGTCTCATCTGATTCTTGGCCGGACCCAGGCCTCCAGAGGCTTTCATCCTAGGTGGGGCAGGTCAGAGGTCAAAGGTTAGGGTGTGGCTCCGTGTCTCTTTCCGACTAGGGCTTCTATGTTATTCCAGGAAATGGGCCCATGGTGGACCCTGACCCTTCTGAGAGTTCTCTGAGCTGGGGGCATGGGCCTGGGATCCAACCTCAAATCTGCGGCCACTACGTCCTGTGACGTCGGCAGGATTCTGCCTACCTTGGCCTCAGTTTCCTCCCTGCACAATATGGGAGTGAGCAAGCCAGTCTGTCAAGCCTGCTCAACCTACAGGCTATGACAAACACTGGGAACAAGAGGTAGCATGGAAGTCAGCCCCAGGCTGGGGTCAGCTGATCCCGAGGGCCTGGCTGCTTCTGAGGGTGGGAGAGGGCAGGGCCCATCAGCTCCACAGGGTGGGCGGGAGGACTGGTGTGCACTCCCTGTGCCCCTTGCAGGGTGGCCTTGATGAAGTCCTTGGTGTCACTGCTGGTGGGCACTCATGAGGTGCTCCAGGACATCCACTTGTGCATGGCAACACGGCCAGCAAACAACGGAGAGCAGGCCAGGCTGGAGGGCAGAGGGAGGGCCGGAGCCTGCAAGGTCATCTGGGCCCTGGGCCTTGGAGGGAAAGGTTGCCAGGGCAGGGGCTGTGGGTCTCTCAGGCAGAGTGACTGGGACCAGGGCCTCCAATCCTAACCCAGCATGGGCTCTTAAGCCTCATGCTCCTCCAACCCACAAGAGCCCCAGCCAGTGTCATAGAAATGCCCAGAGAGATACAAGCCCAGCCTGCAGCAGGAATCTGAGTTCATGCTGGGGTGGGGATCAGGGCTCAATGTACACCAGCAGAGTCTCCAGGGCAACAAATCCCCTGGACGAGCCACCGTGCTCTGCCCTGTGGCCTGGCAGGGCCACTTCTGCTGACAGTGGATGTATGAAAAAACCTGGGCAGCAGTTTCCTATCAAAGTTGGCCTTGTTGCCCATTTCCAAGACAGTTATCACTTTGAGCTCTCAGAGTCTCTAATCCAGAAAGGCAACCGACAGTGGGTGTGGGCCCCCTCACGTGGGCTTGGTGCCCTGTGTTGGATGACGGGGGCCTTGCAGTTAATAAAATCAGCAACTTCACCCCAGGCCAGGATATGTTTGTGTGTGTGGTAGGGAAAGGGTAGGGGGGATGGAAGTGGGATGAGTAGGGATCTGTGGGTGATCGCATTCTTCCACTCCCTGAAAGATGAGGAGATGGAGGGTCAGAGGTGGAGAGACTCTAGAAACACAACTGTGAGGAGAGGGGCTATTTGGTCATGGAATTCACATTCTGCCCCCAGTGGCAGGAGTGGGAATTGGGGGGATCTTGGGAGTCGAGTGTCCTTGGGGATCACAGACCATAGAGACAAAAGCTGTCAGGCCTGGGCAGGGAGGGTGCCCAGGCCATGCATTCAGCTGACTTGCTCCTGGGGGTTTGTTCTGAGATCCCACTCAGGTGAGCTGAACTTGCTGCACTGTGGCTCTGATAGGGTGATGTTTTGAGTAAAGCCCAAATCTCAGGTTTTCATGTCTCCCACGCAGAATTTGTGTCAAGGGGTGGTGGCCTGTTTGGGGCAGAGATGAGGGAAGGGTGAGGGGGTTCCAGGTCTGTATTAGTCTGTTTTCACACTGCTGATAAAGACATACCCAAGACTGGGTAATTTAAAAGATGTTTAATGGACTCACAGTTCCACGTGACTGGGGAGGCCTCACAATCATGGGGGAAGGGGAAAGGCACACCTTACATGGCGGCAGGCAAAGAGAGAATGAGAGCCAAATGAAAAGGGAAACCCCTTATAAAACCATCAGATCTTGTGAGACTTATTCACTACAATATGGGGAAACCACTCCCGTGAGGCAATTATCTCCCACCAGGTCCCTCCCACAACACATGGGGATTATGGGAGCGACAATTCAAGATGAGATTTGGGTGAGGACACAGCCAAACCATATCAAGGTCATCTGAGGGTTGTGCACCAAGGAGGTGATTCCTGGAGAAGAGCTGAGTGTCCTGAGACTGCAAGGTCTGGAGGAGGAGACACAGGGTCTAGCAGGGGCTATCCCACAGGGACCGTGGGGTCAGTGGGGAGCTCAATGGGGAGCCCCAGGGGCAGATTTCAGTTCCATTCGGAAGAGGTTTTGCTTGTTCAGAGCTGCACCCCACCTTGTGAGCTGCCTGGTAAGTGAGTGAGCGATCCATCACTGCAGGCATGCAAGCAGAGTCTGGGCAAGCCCTGCTAGGGCCTCCCAGGCTGCAGATGGCTACAGGGTCCTACTGACCACACACTCCTACCAGGACTGGGAGTGGCCTGAGCCAAGCACCCTCCTGTCCAGGGGCATCCAGGCGCTGTCCTCCCCTTCCTCCCCCAGCTGCTGGGTATGTGTCTTCAGGTGTGGCTAAAGGACGGGGCATTCAGGGAGAGACCCAGTCCTCTGCCCCCAGCCACCTTATCTGCTCCCTCACCATCTCTAGTGCCTTCTGACTCAAGGCCTGCTCTCACATCTGCTCTTTCCCAGCTCTGTGCCTCTCCCCCAGCCACTCAAGTGGCTTCTCCCATGTGAAATGCTCCCTCTTGCTTTTCTTTGCAGGCCTGGAGTCAAGGACAAGTCCCCCTGGGTCAGAGCTCCGTGCAATGCAGTTGCAGAGTTTGTGTGCCTGGCTCTGAGGGCCGAGGTGGGGCACAGGAGGAGCCACTGGGTCCTGAGGCATGGGGAGGGCATCCTGGAGGGCAGGAACAGCTTGAGCAAAGCTATGGAGGCTGGAAGCTGAAACGGAGCAGGTCATGGCGCTGGCTGGCCCAGCAGGTCCAGCCGCAGATATGGGCAGGAAGAGGTGAGATGGGAGTGGGCAGCTTTTAAGAGACCCATTGAGGAGCTGCGACTGTTTCTTCCGTCCTGGGGAGCCACAGAAGGTGTTTGAGCAGGGGGTGCAGTTCTGAAAGTGTGAAGGGTGGGCAGGGGAGCGCTCAAGGGCTGAGATGGTGTAGATATCTGCAGGGACAGGCCATCTGCGCAGGTAGATAGAGTGGGGGAGAGAGGGCGGGAAGCTGGGACAGAGTTGACATGGAGGCCTGGAGTGATGGGCAGGGAGCAGGATGGAGAGGGGTGGTGACAGTCTCCTTGGCTTCTGTCACTACACTCTTCTTGAACAGGCCCTCCAGCAGCTCCTTTGACATTGGGGCTCTGGTGGAGGAAAATATTGGTGCGGCTGGAACCTGATCTGGTCCCTGTCCTCCAAACACTTGTGGCCTATGGTGGGCAGGCCTCGGAGTGGTCTTTGCTGTGGGTGGGGGCTTTGCTGGGAAGCTAGTGTTCAGGTGCCTGGTGGTGGCCAGGGAGGGGCACCAGGACAGTGGGCCAGGAACCCCTAAGGGGCTAACCCTAAGGACTATCAGCACCCTCAGCTTGGAACTGGGTCTTGCCCCCCGAAAATGAACTCAGCAGGGCAGGGAAACTTACTTCCGGGTTCTCTGCTAGAAATTGAAGGTACCCGTGACCCTCCCATGAACCTTCCCCAGTGAGGTTTCCAATGTCTGCTGGACCAAGCCAAGAGAAGACATTCAGAGGGTCCTCAACAAAGGATGTTAAGGCCCTCCAGAGGGCATGACTCCCTTTGACCCGCAGGGCCCCTATTCCTACCCTGTGCCAGGTCCCTGTGGGCTGGAGTTTGCTTTAGTGATGGCCTGATGCTGAGCCATGCTCCCTGGACCTGCATGTCCCCATCGGTGACCTACATGGATGGAGGTCCAGGAGTAGGGGGAGGGGAACCCATGAACTTGGGTCACTTGGATACCAACCTCACGGACAAGGGCAAGTGGCCTTCAGGAGCCTGTCACAGCCCTCAGGCACACTGATCATATGAACCTGTCTCACATGTTTACTGAGAACCTACTACATGCTGGAAAAATAAGGCCAGAGACATCCTCATGTGCCCTGCTGGGTGGCCGTCGAGGCCCTGAGATGCTCTATGGTGACTTATTTGCCTCCCGAGTGATGGGATTACCATATTCTGACTCTGATGAGGCCTCTGGTAGCCAGAAAGTTCTTTCTGTCTTACCACTTGTCTACTTTGCTTAAGCCTTGTCTTGTCTTGTCTGCCTTGTCTACTTTGGCTTAAGCCAATATTAGGGCAGCTGGTCAACCATTCAGGATGAAGGACATTCTAACCTCAGACTGTTGGGGGAAGATGGCTTCATGGACATCCAAGTTCTCTGCTGTCCCACTGCTGAGCTCGCCTTTCCCCAAGGAAGTGGTTCTGGTCAGAACAGAGAGTTCCAGCCATCCCGGGTGATGGCCTGGGGCAGAGGTCCCTAGTGAGCCCCAGGCCTGGATGGGCTGGCCCTACAGATCAGGCAGTGGGGAGGGCCCTGGGTTGGGACACACCAGATGGCCCTGGCTGGCTCCTCTTGCAGTGATCCCTGGCCCTGGGTTTGAGGGATGTGGGAAGCGCACACAACCCTGGCTCGGCCCGGTCCCTGTCATACGTGCGACGTCGCCTTGCCAGTCTGGTACACAGGGCCCTCTGCGTGGTTTCCTTGAACATGTGGCCTCCATCCTGTGGTGACCTCCCTGCCTGGGGCCGTGCTGGGTGTACAGACGTTAGTGAGCAGAGCATTGAGTTCTGGAGCCAATAGGCCTTGATTTGGGGCCTGGCTTCTTCACTTCCTGGCAAGCTAAGCTGAAGATGGGGATAGGTCGGTGGTCCCCCCTCTGTGCCCACCCTGGAGGCTGCAGCAAAGACTCCATGGAATGAGGTGTACATAAGGGGAGCCCAGCCCTGGCTCAGGAGGGAAACAGATTCCTAAGGCTGGGGGCTTGCTGTGCGCAGCCCTGTGGTGCTGAGACCACCTGCCCAAGAGAGCCATTGCTTCTCTCTCCCTCTGCTGCTGAGAGTCTCTGTGGGCTCAGCATGGGGAGGCAAGGTGTCTGGAGCCCAGCCCTCAAAGCCCCCCTGCCTGGCCCTCTGGTTAAGAGCCATCTGGAGAGAGTGAGTGGGTCTTTCCCTGACCCTCATAAATGGGGAGCTACCTGCTGCTCTGACCTAAGGAGACTACTCGGTGGGGGCAGCTCCTCCCTGTGCCCAGTGCCTGTGCCATCTCCTGTTCCCCGCATGGGGGAGGGGCTAGGACACCTCCCTGGACTCACTTTGGACTTTGGCTGGTGAGAGACAAGGGGGCCTGGTGAGGCGGTCTTGGGATGGGACATGGGCCCTGCCCTGAGGTTGCACAATGGGAGATGAGGGGGTAGCCAGATAAGCTGTGCCTCGAATCATGTGGAGCCAGACATTACCGTGGGCTGGAGAACGTGACTGTGCATTGCTTCTGACTGAGAAGGGACTGGGAGACACACTCAGAGCAGAGCACGCGAGGGTCACTCCAGGGACAGTGGGCCACTTGGGTGAGAATGGCAGGGCCCAGTTCCTAACGGCCGCTGGCTCCATTCCACATGTATGCCCATCACCTCCTTCGACTTCACAGCAGAGCTCACACACCACAGACACCCTCCTTTCAGCAGCCAGGCCACAAGTGTTCCCCACCTGCCAGTTTATAGCTGGGTTGGACACACAGTGAGGCCCCAGCCATCCAGAGCACACGACTGTAGCAACTCTTCCCTCTGGAACACATCGGGGTTACCCCGACTGGGGAGAAATGTCAGCTGCAGAGCCCATGCACCTTACTTTGAGGAACAGGTGGGTTGCTAAGGCCAAGGTCATGAGGAGCAAGGCTGCTATCTCTCAGCACAGAGGATGACAGCAGTCACTACATTTTGCATTTTAAATGAATGAGCAACATGCGAGCAGGAATTCAAAGGCTGAGGGCACATAGGCCTCTAGCTGGGGAGTGCCTAGGAAGGAGCCAAGCCTGGCCTCCCACTCATGGCAGGGGGCATTGCTGAATCATTGTTATCAGTCTGGGTCCAATCAGAAAACAGAAACACACAGTGATTTATTTTTATTTATTTATTTATTTTTTAGGGGGACAGAGTTTCGCTCTCGTTGCCCAGGCTGGAGTGCAGTGGTGTGATCTCGGCTCACCACAGCCTCCGTCTCCCAGGTTCAAGAGATTCTCCTGCCTCAGCCTCCTGAGTAGCTGGGATTACAGGCATGTGCCACCACGCCCGAATAATTTTTGTATTTTTAGTAGAGACAGGGTTTCTCCATGTTGCTCAGGCTGATCTCGAACTCCTGACCTCAGGTGATCTGCCCGCCTCGGCCGCCCAAAGTGCTGGGATTACAGGCGTGAGCCACCACGCCCAGCCAACACACAGTGATTTCAACAGAAGTTTAAGGCCGGGCATGGTGGCTTATGCCGGTAATCCCAACACTTTGGGAGGCTGAGGTGTGTGGATCGCTTGATTCTAGGAGTTTGAGACCAGCCTGGGCAACATGGTGAAACCCCATCTCTACAAAAAATACAAAATTAGCTGGGCGTAGTGGCATGCACCTGTAGTCCCAGCTACTTGGGAGGCTGAGGAGAAAGGATGGCTTGAGGCCAGGAGGTCAAGGCTGCAGTGAGTCGTGATGGTGCGTGCCACTGCACTCCTGCTTGGATGACAGAGCCAGACCCTGTCTCAAAAAAATTAAAAAAATATAAACATGAGAAGTTTAATATAAATATTGTTAAATGATGTTAAAGAATTGTTAAAGGATGTAAACAATCTCAATATTGAACACAGGGCTGCAGGAGACCCCCCAGGAAAGGAAGGTTAGGACAGGCGCATGGCTCACGCCTGTAATCCCAGCACTTTGGGAGGCCGAGGCGGGCGGATTACCTGAGGTCAGGAGTTCGAAACCAGCCTGGCCAACACGGTGAAACCCCATCTCTACTAAACATACAAAAATTAGCCAGGCGTGGTGGCGTGTGCCTGTAATTCCAGCTACTCGGGAGGCTGAGGCAGGAGAATCGCTTGAACCTGGGAGGTGGAGCTTGCAGTGAGCCGAGATCATGCCATTGCACTCCAGCCTGGGCGACACAGCGAGACTCCATCTCAAAAAAAAAAAAAAAAGGAAGGTTAGAAGGGAGGCCCCTCTCCAGGGCTGGTGTTGAGGCCAAGCCACCAAGTGTAGAGGGTGGAGAGTGGTGGCCCTCAAAATCATCCATTCATTTGCTAAACCTCAGAACCTTGATATCACCTCATGTGGCAAAGTATATGATCCAGTTAAGGCTCTTGGGAGTTAAGCTCCAGTGAAGCTTGTCATGGGTGATCTGGTGGGTCACATGCAGCCACACGTTCTCATAAGAGACCAGCAGAGACACGGGGAGGACACTGGGAAGAGGAGGTGGCTGTCACCAGAGACAGAGCCAGGGGAAATGTAGCTGCAAGTGAGGGAGTGCCGACAGCCACCAGGAACTGAGGGCAAGAAGCAAAGGAAGGGATCCCACCCAGAGCCCGAGGAGGGCCAGCAGCCCTGCTGACACCTTGATGTCAGATGTGTGGCCCCCAGAGCTGTGAGGGAATCAATTTCTATTGTGTTAAACCACCGAGTTGATAACTTAGTTCAGTCACAGGAAACCAGTGCACTGAGGGAAGTCTGCGGCGTCAGCTCCTCAAGGGCAGCGTGTTTGTCCTTGCTGTGTCCTCAGTGCCCCGGACAGGGCCTGCATACAGGAGGTGCTCCCTCAGTGTTTATTGGATGACTGACAAGAAAGGAAAAGACCGAGAATTTTACCCCAAGGCTTAAAAATCCTGCACTTCAGGGGCCGGGCACACGGACTCTCACCTCTAATCCCAGCATTTTAGGAGGCCGAGGCGGGTGGATTGCTTGAGCCCAGGAGTTTGAGGCCAGCCTGGCCAACATAGTGACCCCGACCCTACTAAAAATACAAAAATTAGCTGTCTGTGGTGGCATATACCTGTAGTATGAGCTACTCAGGAGGCTGAGGTGGGAGGATTGCTTGAGCCCAGGAGGCAGAGGTTGCAGTGAGGTGAGATCGTGCCATTGCACCCCATTCTGGGTGACAGAGGGAGACCTTGTCTCAAAAAAAAAAAAACCAAAATAAAAAAAACATCCTGCACTTCTGGGTGGGGATAAAAGTGAGGCACCAGGGCTGGCACTTACACAGATTATCCCTGCCTCCCAATCACACAGCCCCTCCTGAGGCATCTCTGCTGTCCTGCTGACCTAGAAGTCTCTGGCTAATGCAGGCGGCCAACAGGTCTAAGCCAGTGCCTGTGGTAGTGACAAATGAGAAAATGAAAAAGAAAAACCGACTGCCTCCCACTCTTGAAGATTGTGAGGGTGAAAATCTGATGGCCCTTTCAGTTTGGGCAGCACACTCTGCTGAGCCACTTTCCCCCGAATGAGTGGCGTGGTGGGGACTTTTTGAGACAGGGTCTCACTCTGTCACCCAGGCTGGAGTGCAGTGGTGCAATCATAGCTCACTTCAGCCTAGACCTCCTGGGCTCAAGTGATCCTCCTGCCTCAGCCTCCCTAGTAGCTGGGATTACAGGCATGTGCCACCATGCCTAGCTAATTTTTCTTATTTTTAATAGAGAAGGGGTCTCACTATGTTGCTCAGGCTGGTGGTGGGCACTTTGGGGCAGAGGTGTGCAAACGTCCCTCTGAGCATGACATTCCTAGGGGCCTTTGTGGTCCCAGGGCGCCCCGTCCCCTGGCTGGAGCAGAGGGAGAATGGGGCTCCCTGAGCAGCTTGGCTGGTGGGAGGTGTGAGGGGCGAGGCCTGCCGGGATTCCCATGGGAGCAGTGGGGAGCAGAGCTGCAAGGTGCCGCCCTGACCCAATCTGCACAGCAGTTCTGTAGAAGCAAGTTAGGCCCTCTCAGCTGCTGGCTCATTCATTCCTACCATCGTGCCAGGACTGACACGCCCGGCCACCCAGGGAACATCTAGGGTCCCTGTGTGTCTTTCTCTGCTGTGATCCTATCCTCCTCCCAGATGGAGCAGTGCTGCTCTGAGGTCCCACGTGGTGGTGACCCTAGACCTGGTGCTGACCTCATGGTGGGCTTGCCCAGAGCTGGGGGTGCTTCTGCCTGCTCAGATCCGTCCAGCCCCTGGGACACCTGGATTCTAATCTCACCTCTCCTGCCTGCAGCAGGCAGAAGGGTCTTGGACAATTCTCTTCCCTAGTCTGGGCCTCAGTCCCCTGATATGTAATATCTGTCAGCTTAGGGAAAAAAAATTCCCTAAAAAAACTCCATAACAGTTCCCCATGAGGGAAAGGGTTTTTTTTTGTTTTGTTTTTGAGACTGAATCTTGCTGTCACCCAGGCTGGTGTGCAATGGTGCGATATTGGCTCACTGCAGCCTCTGCCTCCTAGGTTCAAGTGATTCTCCTGTCTCAGCCTCCCAAGTAGTTGGGATTACAGGTGTGAGCCACTGCACCTGGCCTGAGGGAAGGGTTTTGAGCAGTCAAGAGAACCAGGTTGTAGTAGCCGAGACTTGGGGGAAGAAGGGTCCCACAGCACCGATGCAGGTCTCATCTGTCTGGGGCACTAGCTACTCCATTTCTTTCTTCTCGTTCTTGCCCAACTGCTATGGAATAAGGGGTACTTAGGCTGGCCAAGGACCACCCATGGGAGCTGTCTGGCTTCCTGGGACAGATTTTCTCAGGGTGGCAAGAACCTCTAAGAACATGCCTTCGTGCCTCCTTTTATAGGTGGGGAGACTGAGGACAAGTGAGGGGTGGGTCTTGCACCCAGGGCCACTTAACATCTGCGGCCACTGGGACTCCATATCGGGGTCGATTTTCACCCATGGGATGGGACCTGTTGTGACCTTGCCATGTCAGAGGGCCTGTGGTTGGGGTCTTTGGCCAGGTGGCACAGGTAGGAGTGTGGTCTTGGAACAGTGTGGGCACTTCATGGTTAGCCAGTTGCCAGGCCTCACTGGATGCCTCTGTGGCTCCTATACCTTGGCCTGTGGGTGGGAGGTTGCCAGGACCATGGTCCCCTACAGAGGAGCCTGCAGCCTTGGGGCCCATCAGTCTCCATGGAACTGATTTGATCTGCTTGGTTTGCTCCAGGGAAGCCTGGGCAGAATTCTCCAGGGAAGCTGGGGGTGGGGCGGCAGACTCCATGAAAGAGGTCAAGTTAGTATGGGGGACACAGGGGCATCAGGTTGCTGGGACAGTGACCTGAGCTGGAGGGGGTTAACTCCAGGGACCTCTATCTGGGATATACACTTACTCCCAAGAGATGCCAAAGGTGAGCTGGCCCTTGAGACAGCCCTGGTCCCTTTTGTCCCACCTGGCCACTTCTGAAAGCCCACTACCCTCTCATTAGCTCAGGAAGGCCACCTGGAGGTGCAGTCCTTTAAGAGAAAGGAGGAAGTAGGGCCTGGTAAGAACCTGTCCTAGGGAAACACACATGCCTTCCTGCCAGGACAGCCTGGGCAGGGGAGTGCAGGCCTGTTTCTCCCTTGGGACAGGCCTAGCCCTGAGCTGGAGCTCAGGTCCCTTTGGAGACCACTTCTCACCTGAGACTTTGTAGAAACAGTGAGGGGGGCCTGCTCCTGTGCCAGCTTTCAGTGGTGGGACAGAATTTTCTCTTTCATGTTAGAGTGGGAAAGGAAGTCAAACAGGCATATACAAGTACCAATTTCTTCTCATTTCCTATTATACTGCAATAGTTCCAAAACTAATAACAGTTGGGTAACAAGAAAAAAACAGTTATCTGGTTGATGTATTATTTATTATGTAACAGTTCTGAGAAAAAATCCAATTCAAAACATATTACTGAGGATTCTGTATTAGTATATTTTAGAAATCGTATAATCCAAAGCTGATTTTCTAATATATTTTCTTATATAACACTTAAGGAATTTTTCACTCCCATTATTTGGCTCTAGAAAATCTTATGGGAAACATTTGTTACACTAGAAAACAAAATTTAAGTACAGTTGTTAGGCACGGTTAAAAGGGATGATACACACAAACTATAATAATTACAAATCAGTACTTCTTTTGAATACACATTTGAATGTAAACTTTTAAAATCAGTGTTTTAGATAAATATAAAACATACTTCAAGAACTTATTTTAACATCTCTTTTACTTTCTAATGCTCTTCAGAAAAAATTCCTTTCTGATTCATTCAGTAGCAAGAGCCCAAAAATGGTGTTCCAAGCCAAGATTCACCTTGTCCTCTTCAGAAATGACCTGAAGAGCTTTTGGGTTGGTTAAAAATATTGCCCGAAGGTATCTTAGGGTAAACTCGAAGAGCTAAAAGCACTGAATCCAGAGATCAGGTCTCTCGGCTGTGCTGGGGACACCATCAACCACTTGGGGTTGAATTCTATTGCTATGAATGAGAGGTGACTCTGAGGGGCTTTAACCAGGCCGGGGCTAATGACAGGGTTTCAAACATCAGTAATAACAGGAAGATCGTGGTTGAGAAGAGTGACAAGAAATCCTGAATGGTCTGAACCATTTTACACTTGATTCTATTTCTTAGAGCTCTTTGGGAAACAGGCAAGCAAGGCTTTTCCTGGATAGTGTTTGCCCATGAAACAAATGAATCACCTCACTAAATGATTAAAAAACATTTCCTGTTGGTTTCATACTACTAACAATTATAATATTTTAATGGATAGGAGAAATTATGGGTTTAAAATTAAATTCTCTGTTAATGCACACGTTTCAATAAACTGGTTATCAGACTGCTTATGACAATGTCAGTACCATACATTCAACTGCTTTTAGTCCTTCTAGTCTTTCTCTTGGGCAAAATTGGTGGTTATCTAATTTCTGTTACCTATCAATCACCTGTTTTGGACATTAACTGTCAATTACTGGCTGCAAAATATGTCTGTGTATATTTACATGAGATGTAACTATACAGATGCATGTTGAATTGTAGACATGAGTTCCATTATTTCAGAGCTATACTCTGAATGTGAGACCTTTATATTTACACACACATACCTCTCCAGCCCAACCCAACATTCATTCATATAAAAATATATGACTATTGTAGAATCCTTCATTTACATATCACTAAAAATATGTTCTTTCATTCTAACATCTTTTTATCTAGCCTTGCCAACCAACATCATAAGACTGGGATATAAAATCTTTTTATTAGTTACTTATTTATTTTAAATTATCATTATTATTTTTTGAGACAAGGTCTTGTTCTGTTGCTCAGGCTGGAGGGCAATGGTGCAATCTGGGCCCACTGCAACCTTGGCCTCCTGGGCTCAAGTGATCCTCCTATCTTAGCCTCCCTAAGTAGCTGGGACCGCAGGCATGAGCCACCACGCCTGGCATATAAAACCTCTCCTAGCAGAAATTAATTTTTTTAAAAAAGTCTACTTTTAAAGCAGCAGTTAGAAACTTTGTTCTTATGTAAATAATACTGTTATATCAAATTGTGGATTTAAATATTTTTAATTTAAGTTCCTTTCTTATCTCTTAAAAAAATAAAACAGATTTCTGTGTTACTTAATGGCTTCTCCATTCTTCCAATTCCAAGGAATACAAAGGTCTCCATCTTGCATAACAGAGTAAAAATGTGAAATGCAGAGGTGCATCCCATGTAGGTAAGGCAGTGATTGTTCTAGAAGTCTCTTACAACAATCCACCATTTGTATACTAGAAATGCTGGGCTCTTTATATAACTTCTCCAAAGAAAATTTCTTTGTTGATGCCTGTATCAATTCATTTTCAATAACCTTTAACCTATTATATAGAAAATAAAAATATTGTCATAAGAACAAATATTGTCATAACCAAACAAAAGAACACACAATGTAAATATATTCTTACATGTTGGGGCCCTAACTGTGCACTCACAACACTGAAAATGCCACCCACAAAGGCCAAATTATACGTTTGGAAGACACGCCAATAGCCATCATTGTTAAATCTTTTGAGTTACTGTCACATGGATCTCTAAAAGTATTTGTTAATGTTTTTAGCAGTAAAGGGCTAAAAATAACATAAATTTAAAAAAGCTCTTATATTGCCTTACCTAGCAGCTGTTAGTGACTGAAGGAAGGAGAAAATGAAGAATATAAAACCCCTAGTTTTAGGACCCACCTAAAGTTTAACCCTTGGGAAGTAATGCTGTCTAAAGATTTCCCAGATAAAAGCAGGCTCACAGAAAACCAGGATCCTGAGGAGGACAGGTTCTCTTCACTCTTACTCTCCTACCTCACCAGCCCCCTGTCTGTTCCCTCCCCTCTGCCTGAGGTTACAACTCTCTTATTCCATCAGGGGCTTCAGTTCAGGTCTACAAAGTATACAACTCTAGGCAGAACTCAGTGTCTCAAATACTTTCTCCCACAGGTGGCAAGTGCTTAGGGATACAGTGTTTTGATAAGTGGATTCAATGTGCTACATCTAGACCAACACATGAGTTACTCAGCAAGCCCATTTAACAACGTGAATAAAGCAAAACTGCCATGGTCGTGTCCCTGAACCAGTCTATTTAAAATACTTCATTGGTTTAAAATGTCCAAATATCTTACATTTAATCACCCTTAAACACTGCATAGAAAAGTAGGTACTATAAAATTTCCATAAACTAGACAGTAAAAAACAGAAATGGTCATAGCAGTTAGTTATCATGGCCTATAATACTGATCACTTTCTTAAGTGCTGTTTGCTTTTTCTGTAAGATTATTCTTACTTAGAATATGCTGCTTAGAGATTCAAGCAGACAGACAGCAGTCAGGGCTGATGGTTCTGCAAATGTTTCACAGCTGGGCCTGCTTCTAATCTCTCCAGGATTAGACAGAAAGAACCCTTAAACTTCTATCAATAGCAGGGGATGAGTAACTTTTTCTGTAAAGGGATTTTTCACTTGTCAAGAAAAGATATTAACAACCATGCTTGGAAGTGAAAAGCCTTGTAGTGTGACCATGTTGCTGCATAGTTCTCCAACAATATATCTTTAAAATCTGGGCAAGACTCTCATTTTCATTCCTTTTAGGAGAAGCCTACAGTCTCATCTCCAGGTTTCCCAGACCCATGGGTCACAAGCTTTATATCAGGAGAACCCATCAGTTCTTCTGAGGTACAATCTTAGAGAAGCATTGAGAAGGCAGCCCTTGTTAAGGTTGCCCAGGGTTGTCCCCTCAACAGGAAAATAACGTGTACCAGCCTTTCCTCATCCTTGGGTGCCTCTGCAGTCAGCATGAGATTAATTTTTTTTTTTTTTTTTTTTTGAGATGGAGTCTTGCTCTGTCGCCCAGGCTGGAGTGCAGTGGCGTGATCTTGGCTCACTGTAACCTCTGCTTCCCAGGTTCAAGCGATTCTCCTGCCTCAGCCTCCCAAGTAGCTGGGATTGCATGCATGTACCACCATGCCCGGCTGTTTTTTCTATAGTAGAGGCAGGGTTTTGCCATGTTGGCCAGGCTGGTCTTCAACTACTGACCTTAGGTGATCCACCCGCCTCAGCCTCCCAAAGTGCTGGGATTACAGGTGTGAGCCACTGTGCCTGGCCTTGAGATAGGGTCTTGCTGTTGCCCAGGCTGGAGTATCACTGTCGTGACCATGGTTCACTGCAGCCTTGACCACCCAGGCTTAGGCAAACCTCCTGCCTCAGCTTCCCAAGTAGCTGAGACTACAGGTGCAAACCACCACACCCAGCTAATTTTTAAATTTTTTGTAGAGACGAGGTCTCACCATGTAGCCCAGACTGGTCTTGAACTCCAGGGCTCAAGTGATCCTCCTGCCTTAGCCTCCCAAAGTGCTGGGATTATAACTGTGAGCCACCATGCCCACCCTTTAGTCATTGTTTCTACTACATGCAAGTATCAGAACTACTTAAACACTCTTCTATTACTGTACATTTTGATTGTTTCCAACTTATTTAAGTGATTTTAAAATTTGAAATATATGATATAGAGTAAAAGGAAACATCTGAGTGGGTTACTATAAAAACATAAAGTGAGGAATGCCCCTGCTAGGGAGAGCTGGTTGATTCTCAGGTGCAGGTTACTCTGGGTTATTACCACCCTACAGAAGAACTGTGAACTAGGTTATCACCAGCCTCCAAAGGACTGGGGGTTCCACAGGCAGCAAATACTGTCTATATGCCAGCCAGGCAATGCCAAGAGACAGGAGCTACAAGTCACACAGTTTTGGGATGGTCATGTGGGTTGTACATACTAGCTTAGAATAGTGTGGGTTTTTTCCCTTTTTCTAACTATTCAGCAAGCTGAGAGTCCAGCAGAGCTGCTACTGTGAGGACCCTGTGAGCATGGGTGGCCTCTGGCTCCTTTTCTTTTGAACTAGAACAGCTGAGAGCTTTAATCTTTTTTATTAGGTTGGTGCAAAAGTAATTGCAGTTTTTTGCCATAAAAAAATGGCAAAAACTGCAATTACTTTTGCACCAACCTAATAAAAATAAACTATGTTTCCACTTAAGAATCCACCTTATAAGTGAAAAAGTATCTGAAAACCACTCTCTAGGAACATGCTTCACTGAAGGAAAGAAGTTAGTCTTCATCACTGCTCTTCGAATATAATGAAGGTGTCTTACTAGGGCAGGGACAGCAGAGCAAAGGAAGGAAAGACAGCAAAGGCGAGGAGAGGCTCCTGGGCCCAGAGTCAGGGGCATGAGGATGATGACTGAGCAGGAAGGAAGGTTGGGACCAACAGCAAGTGCTTTCTCTTCTTGGGGGCTAAGTATAGGGATGAGGACTCTGGGGCCCAGAGCCAGAAAAAGGCTAAGGAAGCAGGTGAAAGGTCAATCGGTATTTCCTGAAGGCCCCCTGTGTGCCAGGCACCCATCCCAGTTGGCACCGGAGGGAACAAAATAGACTGAAGTCTTCCCTCAGTGGGCTTACCTTCTGTTGGGAAGGAGAGAGAGAGAATACATTAATAAGGAAACAGCAAATTTGCTGAGGTGGATGGAGAAAGGCAGGCCAGCTGAGGTGGAGAGGGGAGTGCAGCAGAGGGTGGGGACTCCATGCTTCGAGTTGTGTGGCCAGAGAAGGTGGAATGTGAGCAGGGCCTGAGGAAGCTGAGATTTCTGAGGAAGGAGTGCCTCAGGCTGGGGGAAGGCACACAGGCCCAGGAGTGGATAACATGTCAAGAGTGCCCGAGGACTATAAAAAGGCTGGAGCAGAACGAGTGAGAGGAGAGTCCCAGGAGCTGAGCTGAGAGAAGCAAGGGAGTGGGCAGAGGGTCTGTGGGCACTGGGCAGAGGAGTGACAGCTCTGACTAGGTTCCCACTGCTGCTCTGACGAGAGTCCACTGCGGGGTTGGGGAGATGCTGAGTGTGGAAGCCTGAAGACCAGACAAGAGGCCATCACAAAATGATGGAGGCTCAGACCAGGTGCAGCAGGAAAGGAAAGGAGAAGAGGTGAGTTTCTTTCCATGTCTGCTCTGAAGGTGGACTGGGGTAGGGAGTGAGACAGGGGAGAGGAATCAAGATGATTCATGGGTTTTTATTCGCCTGAGCAACTGGTAGGACGGAACATTCACAAATTGACCTATTTGAATTTTTTTATTTTTACTTTCCTTTCTCACAATCTAATAAGCATTACTCCAAAGCTATATAATGGCCATAGAGAAAAAGAGAAAAAGCAGCCGATAGGTTATAGCAAACAAAATAATCAGTCCTAATGATGAACAGTTGGCTAGAATTGCTCTTGAGGGTTAAAGCAGATGTAAAATTTAGAAAAGAAATAGCATGAACAAATACTTAACAACCAATCAAGAGGTAGGGTGTGATAGGATCTGGCCTACCGAGTTGTCATCAATTCCATAAGGAAAACAGGAAAACAAAAGAGATGCTGCTCCTTCATTTACTTTATATATAAAATGATCTCACTGTCTCTTGCTAAAAGAATGGCTTCCATCGTTAGTTGCCATCCCTTCTCTCTATTTATTTATTTTTCTGAGACGGAGTCTCGCTCTGTTGCCCAGGCTGGAGTGCAATGGCATGATCTCGGCTCACTGCAAGCTCCACCTCCCAGGTTCAAGTGATTCTCCTGTCTCAGCCTCCCGAGTAGCTGGGATTACAGGTGCATGCCACCACGCCCAGCTAATTTTTATATTTTTAGTAGAGACGGCGTTTCACCATGTTGGCCAGGCTGGTCTCAAACTCCTGACCTCAAGTGATCCGCCCACCTCGGCCTCCCAAAGTGCTGAGATTAAAGGTGTGAGCCACCATATCTAGCCTCTCTCTATATTTAAGATTCCTGGCTTTTTAAATGAGTACTTTGTGGAAACTGAGCCTCAAATGAACGGTAAGGCGGGAGAACTGCTTCCACTGGCACCCTGCTAAACAACCAGGTTCCATCACCCTGTCCTCTTCTCTTCTCCTTGAAACTTCCCTCCATGGACATGTGGAATGGCATTCTCTCCAGCTTCCATCCTGTTCCCTGCTGTTGCCTTCCCTTGTCCCCTATGCTACCAGGGTGTCAGCTTTGGCTCTTCCCACTTGACTGTGCTCCAGCTACCACTGGCAAATTTACAGCACTCACATCTCCTACTAGAAACAATTCCAGGAGGCAGAGATCATGTCTGAGTCTTTCTATCAATGGCATTGATCTCAGCTTTGGGCACGTAACAGTCACAGTAAATGCTGGCTAAGTAAATGACTTCATTTCTTCACAAGTGATACATAAAACATTATCAAGCAATATCTTACCACCTACAAAACAGGAAACTGTTGGCTATAATAGGACTCCTTCAAAGATACAAACAACATAAAAACAATACTGCTTAGGAACTAAAATGATACATATATTTTTTTGAGAAAGGATTTCATTATGTCACCCAGGCTGGAGTACAGAGGTGTGATCACAGCTCACTGCAGCCTTGACCACCCAGGCTCAATCAATCCTCCCACCTCAGCCTCCTGAGTAGCTGGGATACAGGCATGGTGCCATGCCTGGCTAATTTTTTTTTTTTTTCCCCACCATATTGCCCAGGGTTTCACCATGTTGCCTAGACTGGTCTTGAACTCCTGGGCTCAAGTGATCTCCTTGCCTTGGCCTCCTAAAGTGCTGGGATTACAGGCTTGAGCCACTGTGCACGGCCTAAAATGATTTTTTGCTTTAAGGTTTCTTCTCAAGTTAATTAAAATGCAGATAAAGTTTTATTTATATCAATAGTTAAAACGTTTATTTTTTTTCTTTTTCTCACTCTTTCATTCAGGCTGGAGTGCAGTGGCATGATCTCGGCTCACTGCAACCTCTGCCTCCTGGGTTCAACCCATTCTCCTGCCTCAGTCTCCTGAGTAGCTGGGACTAGAGGTGACCGCCATAACACCTGGATAACTTTTGTATTTTTAGTAAAGATGGGGTTTCACCATGTTGGCCAAGCTGGTCTCAAACTCCTGACCTCACAAGTGATCTGCCTGCCTCGGCCTCCCCAAGTGCTGGGATTACAGGCATGAGCCACCGTGCCGGGCCTAAGATGAGTTTTGTACTTTAAGTTTTCTTCTCAACTTAATCAAGATACAGATAAAGTTCTTTTTATATCAACAGTTTGAAAATTTTAAAACAATAAAGATTCCTGTTAATCAAGAAATAACCAATATTTTTCCTTGTTGTCAGTCTTTTCCATCTGGAAAATTCCTTGCTGATATTCTTATTTTTCATTCTGTTTCTGAATTGACTTTTATATTAAGAAGCTGTACTTCTCAAACTGAGGTCCGTGGTGGTAATATAATTTAGGTAGGGAAGAAATAAATATGGAATATCTAATAATTAGTCAATTTCCTAAGCTTCATACTGTTTCCAGGTCCCATATTTATGAGTTCCAAATATCTGAGGTTTTCAGTTAGACTGAATGATCTGACTTTACAGAAGACTGGCAGTACTTACTCTTCCTTTCTTTTCATGTTCTCTCTTGCCTGCTGAGCTTTGGTGAGAATAAACCACTGGAGATTTGCTGGATCACAGAGTGTTGGAATATTAAAATGCCCGAGTTCATGCAAGCTTGGAGCATATCTGTCACTGCAATAAAATATACATTAAAGGAAAAACCACTGACCCTCTCCTCTCCCCCACCAGAGAAAATATTTTATTAGTCTTCAGGAAAATAAAAAAAAATCATCAAGAAAAGCCACCTCAAAAGTACAGCAACATTGACTTAAAGCTTTGCTGCCCCCAAAGACACACTTCTTCAGAAGATCACGACCTACTTGCAAGCCCTCTGACCTTCCTTATCTGTCACATGCCAGGGGTGACCTGCTGCACAGTGAGGTTGTGAGAGCTAAAGACAGAATGCATATAAGTACCCAGCACAGTGCTCGGCAAACAGTGTATACACCACAAATGTTGGCTACTGATTTACTATTAGTTTAATCTTATAATGTTTTCCATTGGATTGACTTTGCCCAGTAAATCTGCTCAGCAATATATTCAAAGAATGTTCTAGACATTAAATCCTTCAATCCTCCCATGCTGGCTTTTCTAGTGTGTAGAAGAGGGTTGCTAACACAAGTAGTGGCATTTTTTTCTTTAATTCCTAAGAACTACCCATTGAAATACAAAACAATTTAATGCATTTACACACACAACCCACCTAGACGAAGGAATAAAAGTAATCCTTCTATCTTAGATATTTACCTGTTAAGGATCATTTGTAAACCACGCAAACTTCGAGGGTGAAATAGTATTCTACTTTTCAACAGTCTATTATAAAACACATCAAGAAGAGAGTAATATTCTTCAAGTGTCAATACTGGCTGTAATTCTTCAATATAAACAACTTGTATGCCACCTAAAAGATAGCTTATTTGGTCTTCTAAAATCATCAGCCTCCTCTGAAGGTCAAAATAACTTGGCAATCTTTCAAAAAGCTACAGTGTTAACAAAGGGAAAGAAATAATTAGTTTTATGTTACTATAATAATTTAATTTTAGAATTCCAATAAATGGCATTAAGACATTTTTAACAAGAAAATGATTTTCATTGAAGGAAAGTTCAAGTAAGAGATAAAAAAACTTAATGTAATGCTGGAAATATTAATATTCAAAACAAGCCACTGTAAATCTTTGGGATTTTTAGATGGGAATTTGTGAGGTTCCAAAAAAAAATATGCTCCAAATGAAAGTAAGTCCTAATCCTAAGCACTAATATTTAAATATTTAGGTAAGAATCTTAAATTAGTTTAGAATTATTAAATGGCATAAAGAAAAGTTTTAGAAATAAAGTGTATGTATTTCAACTCAGTCTATTCCTTCAAAATTTACTTTAAAGCAACTAAATACAATTAAGTGCAATAAATATGATTGCGCACCTACCATATACGTAAGCACTGAGCTGGACACTTCAAGTGTACAGATTATAAGAGTTTGTCCCTGTTTGGCTGGGACTCACAGTTGGGGTACAAGGAAACAAAAATCCGAATTTAGCATGCTAAATGCCAAATCAGGCTGAGTGGATACAGAGGAGGTTCAGGCAAAGGTTTCTAAGGGAGTCTAATTTAATCAATCTTAAACATTAAGTAAGATTTAGAAATGGCACATGAATGTAAGGGATGTTTTGGGGGAAGGAAAAAGAGCATGTGCAAATATGGAACCATGAAAAGGAACAGCATGTTTGGAAACAATAAGGAGTTTGGTATGGCTGGCATGTGACCTGCTGCGATTGAGTGGAAAGAGAAGGGCTGAAGGGGGACGTAGGGGCTGGGTCAGGGAAGGACCACTAAGGACTTAAGATTTTCTATTAAAAGCCAGGGCCTTTTAGAAGAGTTGGAAGGCATTAAAAACTCTGCTATAATAAAAGCAATAGCTATGTAAAAATTCTACAAATTATTTATAATCTACTTTTAACATCTTGTGGAAAATAATTTTACTCCCTATTTTTCAATTTTTCCATGGGTTACTCATGTATATATGGTAACTACATTTTAAAAGCTTTTTATTTTGAGATAATTGTAGATTCATATACCTTTCACTTAATAGTACATCTTATACAATTATTGCCATAATATCACAACCAGGAAATTGACATTGATACAATTCATTAATCTTACTCAGAGTTCATCAGTTTTACTTGCATGCGTTTGTGTATTTTTCACACGTGTATTCATTTTATTATATGTGTACAGAGCCGTGTGACACTGCCACAGTCAAAACACACAGGAGTTCCATCACAGGGATCCCGTTTATAGCACTGACACCTCTGCTCCCCTCTCTCTACTTCCTGGCAACCACTAATCTTTCCTTCCTTTCTATCATTTTATTATTTCAAGGGTGTTATGTAAATATAATCATACAGTTTGTAACCTTTTGAGACTGACTTTTTCACTCAGCACAATGCCCTTAAGATCCATCCAGTTGCTGCATGTATCAATAGCTCATTCCTTTTCATTGCTGAGTAGAATCCTATGGTATGGATGTACCAGTTTGTTTAGCTATTCACACACTGAAGAAAATTCATTTTTTCCTAGTTTTTGGCTATTATAAACATTCATGTACAGGTGTTTGTGTGAACATAATTTTTCATTTCTCTGCTGTAAATACCCAAGGGTGACTGCTGGGTCATGTTTAGTTTTGTAAGAAACCATTATAATCTTTTTCCAGAATGCCTGTACCACTTTACATTCCCATCAGCAATGCATGAATGACCTATTTTTTCTGCATTCTTATCAGCATGTAACTATTTTTCATTTTAGCCGTCCTGGTGTGTAGTGATAATGCACTATGGTTTTATCTATCTATCTATCTATCTATCTATCTATCTATCTATCTATCTATCTATCTAATCTTTGTATCTATTTGAGACACAGTCTCGCTGTGTTGCCCAGGCTGGAATGCAGTGGCGCAATCTCGGCTCACTGCAACTTCCGTCTCCCGGGTTCAAATGATTCTCCTGCCTCAGCCTCCCAAATAGCTGGGACTATAGGCGCCTGCCACCATGCCCGGCTTTTTATTTTTTTTTAATTTTTAGTAGAGACGGCGTTTTACTGTGTTTGCCAGGCTGGTCTCGAACTCCTGACCTTGTGATCCACCTGCCTTGGCCTCCAAAAGTACTGGGATTACAGGTGTGAGCCACAGTGCCCGGCCAATAAACATGTTTTTATGTGCTTACATGTCATCTGTACGTTCTCTTTGGCAACATGTCATTTCATGTCACCGTTTTTGGTTGGATTGGTTTTTCTAGTAGCCCTTTTTAGTTGTTTTTTTTTTTCTGCTGAATTTTGAGAGTTTTAGATTGCCCTTTTTTAGTTGGATTGGTTTTTTCTCTTCCTGCTGAAATTTGAGAGTTTGAAAATATATTCTAGATATAATGTCTTTGTCAGATATACGGTTTGCAAATATTTCTACCAAATAAATATTTGATTTGAACAGACGCTTCACTAAAGAAGATATGTGGATGACAAATAAGCACATGAAAAGATGCTCACCATTATTTATTATTAGAGAAATGCAAATTACACATTGAATGAGATTGTACTACAGAGCTATTAGACTGACTAAAATTAAAAAGATGACCATAGTTAAGTGTTGGCAGTTTTTTAAAAAGTTAAAATGCTCTACCATATGATCCAGCCATTCTATTCTAGGTATTTACCCAAGAGAAAGGAAATATATGTCCATATATTTGTGCACAAATGTTCACAGCAGCTTTATTTGTAATAGTCACAAAGTGATACGACCCTATGTTCATCAACAGGTGAATGAATAAACAAACTGTGGTATATTTATACCATGAAATAGTACGCAGTAATAAAAAGGAATAAACTCCCAATACATGCAACCACATGGATGAATCTCAAAATGAGACAGTGAAAGAAACCAGACACAAAAGTTTGCAAGCCCTATGATTCCACTTATGAAAAACTCCAAAACTAATCTATAGTAACAGAAAGCAGACCAGTGGTTGCTTGGAGAGGGGGTGGTGGGATGGGAGGGAGTGTTTACAAAGGGCCATATGCTCACATATATGCCCAGTTGTTGGATACGTTTGCTATCTTGACTGTGATAATGGCTTCATGGGCATACATAATATGTCAAAACTTACCAAATAACACACAAGAAACATGTGCAGTTTATTAAATGTCAGTTATACCTCAATAAATCTGTTAAGAACAAGTAAAACAAAACAGAATATAGGCTTTCAGGCTGTGCTTCAGAAAAGAATGCAATATTACCAGATAAAAACTGCCTTAAAAATCAGTCTTTCCTCTTAAGTATTTTAAGTACATGGTATTTAAGCATCTGATCTGAAAACAGCTGATACTGCGATTAAAAACATTAAAAAACAAAAACAAAAACACAACAAACCTTTTTTTAGTCCCTTAACATTACAGCATTGTTGGAAATGAAAGTTTATGAATGACAAGGAGTTTTTAATTTTAAGGCTCTTTCTTACTTTTGTCCAGTGGTGATGGACATCCATTGTTCCTAGCATCACATGGCCCACTGCACTCATGCCAGAACGGTCTGTAAATATGATTGTACACCCTGATGACAAAACACAAAACCTTTGGTCATGGTCGAGGTGCTTCATTCTTTCAGCATTGTGCAAATAGTGTATAAACCCAGGATTAAATTCAGTAGAAGCTTAAAGGCTAATTTTATGCCACTGCTTTATTCAAAGAACAGATTTAAAAGTTCAGCTGTGATAAAGTTATTTGGTTTTTCCATTAAAATTTATAGACGTACATAGCAGCTAAGTGATTTTTTAAAAGAAAATGGAAAATGTTTACCTTTTGCTTTTTTAAGTGTTTCCAAATTCTGCTGTGCTAAGCGGCTTAAACTATGCAGCTGGCTACAGCGGTGGGCGATGCCCCAGCTCCTCTGCCACCTAGGCCAACAGAGCACACACTCATGTTAACAAGTGGCACCCTGAAGACGGAGCGAGCACCCACCACAACTACTGGAGTCCTTGGAAAGCCAATGAGTCTCTTTTTGAAGCACACACATAACATGTTTTGATTGATCATATGTTTCTAAGCTAGCTAATTTTTAAAAAAGCAACCAAATGGAAAATGAATTGTTTACCAGAGGGCAGAAATATTACTACTATGTTCAGGTATCCAAAGATTTAAAATAAGCAAATATAAGATGTTTCTATTTAAAAATAAGATGATGAAATGGGAAAACTTTGAAAAAAGTGTTTTTCTTTTTCACATTGTTACAATGACGATGGTTTTGTTTTAGATTCAAGTTCCAACTACGAATTCCAGTTAGGTTTATCAGGTTCTCTTTTTTGTTTTTGAGACAGAGTCTCACTCTGTCGCCCAGGCGGGAGTGCAGTGGTGTAATCACGGCTCACTGCAGCCTTGACCTCCTCTGCTCAAGAGATCCTCCTACCTCAGCCTCACGAGTAGCTGGGACTAAAGGCATGTGCCACCATGGCCGGCTACTTAAATAAATTTTTTTGTAGAGACAGGGTTTCACCATGTTGCTTAGGCTGGTCTTCAACACCTGGGCTCAAGTGATCCACCCGCCTTGGCCTCCCAGAGTGCTGGGATTACAGGCGTGAGCCACCGTACCTGACCTCAGGTTCTTTTTATCTCATTCTAGAGAAAGTGATTTTGATGAAATCATGTAATCTGCTCATTTTATAAATTAATATTAAGCCTCAGTGACACATGGAACCTGACACTGACACGATGTCAGAGGCCCTGCTGTGTAACTGAAGAGCACCGGTCTCGAGTGCTGTCAGAAAACCCACCTTGGAATTCTAATTCTGTGGTTTACTAGCTCTGTGACCTTGAACAAGCTGCTTTTAGCCTTCCTAAGGTTTTCACTTTCATGCTTGCAAAGTGAGGATGTTTCCTGCTACACAGATAGTAGGCATCAAATGAGGTAATGTGTGTGAAGGAGTCAGGCATTCAAAACAGGCGCTCAAGAAACGTAGGTTCTTCTTTTATCCTAATACTAATTCTGATGAATGTCATTTCTGATAAAATGAAAACTTGTTTAAAAAATTGTTTTTTTCTTTAAACTACAATTTAAAAAGTAAAATATAATTTCAAAGAATATTAATTTTTGATTACTTGAAATTAAAAAATTTAAGTGACAAAGGTAGTAAATGCTGTTTTTGTTAAAAATGGTGTTTTATATAGGCTGTTTAGAATGAAAAACAATGTCATTAGTTAATGTTTCTGTTTGCTGGAGTTTTGGCTAATTTTTTAGCAAGTAAAAAAGCCCTCATGCCCATGGTCCTCAAATGTTATGGTCTCAGGGACCCTTTTATACTCTTAAAAATTGAAAACTAGAGTTTATGTGGGATATATACATATATATATATATATATATATATATATATATATATATTTTTTTTTTTTTTTTTTTTTTTTTTTTTTTGAGACAGTCTCGCTCTGTTGCCCAGGCCGGAGTGCAGTGGCGTGATCTCGGCTCACTGCAACCTCTGTCTCCTGAGTTCAAGCAATTCTCCTGCCTCAGCCTCCTGAGTAGCTGGGATTACAGGCACGTGCCACCAGGCCTGGCTAATTTTTGTATTTTTAGTAGAGACGGGGTTTCACCATGTTGGTCAGGCTGGTCTCAAACTCCTGACCTCGTGATCTGCCCGCCTTGGCCTCCCAAAGTGCTGGGATTACAGGTGTGAGCCACCATACCCGGCCGGGTTATATCTATTGACATTTACCATAATATAAATTAAAGCTGAGAAATTTCTCCATGATACTGTAAAATAATGTTTATTTCTTTTTTTGTTTAAGAAATCCTTTCATTTTCCTAACCCCAGTCTGCTTTGACAGATCTTTTAAAATTTCTATTAGAAAAAGTTATTTGCATGCACCTTAATTTATCTTATAAACTTTTAAAAATGATCTTACTATTTTTAGTTAGAAAAGTTTATGCTAATAGACTATGGAATGGGAAGAAACCCCTATAATAAAGTTTAATCTGAAAATGATTAGTGTGATGATAAAATAATGGATATATGCATACATTCAAACATTCCACACATGGAAGTCTAAAAGAATGCTTTGAAATTCTGAATTATCTTATGATGATTTGATTATACAAGAACAGAACATGTAAATACTATCTGTACTCTGTAAACACAGGAAAAAAAGGTGTTTTTATGGTACCCAAGTCATTTGTTTTAATATAAGAAAAAAAAGTCCTAATAATGAGAATTGAAAACAACAAAACAGGCTATTGCAAATAGTAACAAAGATGTTTAAACATGAAGACTGGATGACGATTTTTCCTAGTTCTAGTGATGGGAAGTCCAGTGACTGAATGACCTGACTCCTTTTCCCTTCCTTACAGTTTTAAGAACTGTTAAATCTATTCCACAATAAATTTCAGCATGGATCTTTATATAACTGCAATTTCCAAGTTTATGAAAACTTACTTAAAAAGTCCTGCTATATAATATAAAACCAAGAATACAACATCCATTTTCTCTCTCCCCTCCTCTTTTTAAACTCAAATACTAATCTTTTAAAACACTTATTATTATTATTATTTAGAGATGAGGTCTCGCTATGTTGCCCAGGCTGGTCTCAAACTCCTGGCCTCAAGTGATCCTCCTGCCTTGGCCTCCCAAAGTGGTAGAATTACAGGTATGAGTCACTGTGTCTGGCCTTAAATATCTTACAAGATGGGGGCATAATTATTTTTTATATATTATGTGTATATGGAAGAGGGTATTTTTCTTACAAACTTATTATGTAAAAAAGTTTATTACGCCAAAAATGTCAGTACTTAAACAAACCTTACTTCTTTATCTATATATAGAAGAAAGAAGTAACATATATATAAATTGAGATGAAGTCTTGCTCTATCACCCAGGCTGCAGTGCAGTGATGCAATTATAGCTCACTGCAGCCTCAAGCTCCTGGGCTTAAGTGATCCTCTTGCCTCACCCTTCCAAGTAGCTGAGACTACAGGTGCAGGCCATAGTGCCTAGCTATTTTTTTTTTAAGTTTTTGTAGAGATGGGGTCTCTATATGTTGCCCAGGCTAGTCTTGAACTCCTGGGCTCAAGCGATCCTCCCACCTTGGCCTCCCAAAGTGCTGGGATTACAGGCAAGAGCCACTGTGCACAGCCTTATTTCAGTATTTAAAATAAGAAATTAATAAGAGTTTTCTTACACAGATGAACATTTCATGATGTTCATAAAGATAATTGAAGAGTACTCAGTTATCAGAGCAATTAAAGATGCAAATATTTAGCTGCTGAAAAGCTTATCAGTTGGTAATTCATATTCATTTCAATTTCTAAATTAGGTTCTCTCTTCTTTCTTACCTGATATCTGAGAGTTGCAATTGATGAGACAGTTCATCTTTTAAACGATCTAGTTCTTTTCTAAGTGGCAAACTGTTCTTTAGCTTTTTAACAGCACTTTTCCCATTGTTATCTAACCAGGATCTAGAAAGAGAGAGATACATACTTTACAATACTAACTATAATATACATATTTTTACTATTAAAAGACACATGCATGCACTTGCATATTCACAATAGCAAAGACTTGGAATCAACCTAAATGCCAATCAATGACAGATTGGGTAAAGAAAATGTGGTACATATATACCATAGAATACTATGCAGCCATAAAAAAGAATGAGTTCATGTATTTCATGGGAACATGGATGAAGCTGGAGGCTATTATCCTTAGCAAGCTAACACAGGAACAGAAAACCACATACTGCATGTTCTCACTTATAAACGGGAGCTAAATGATGAGACCACATGGACACAAAGAGGGGAGCAACAGACACTGGGACCCACTTGAAGGCAGAGGATGGAGGAAGAGGATCAGTAAAAACAACTATTGGGTACTAGGCTTAGTACCTAGGTAACAGAATAAACTGTACAACAAACCCCTATGATGAGAGTTTATTTATATAACAAACCTACACATGTAACCCGAACCTAAAAGTTAAAAAAAAATTGTACTCAGAAAAAAAGGACACATACATTACCTTAAAGCAGCCCCACTGTTAAACTGAGTTTTCAATCAAACCTTTACTTCTACCTATTCTTTTTCAGAGATACCTACTTTTAAAATAAGTTGCTTGGAGAACTGCCAACACCTGTCAAATCATATTCTAGTTATGACAACTTCCTTTGCATATTAAAAAATTAAATTTTAATTATATCAAACCTGTCACTAGATTCCTAGAGATAGAATATTTTTTTAAATTAAAAATACTTCAAAGTGTGTTTATTACAACCTTCGGTAAGCTATACTGGATTTTCACTGATGTCAGTCATACACATATGGGAGGGTAGAACTAATACTAATTATGGAGCAAGTGAGCAAATATTATAATAGAGCTAAAAAGGTGTAAAAGTCAAACTCAACAGACATATCTGATGGGACTAGTGACAATTAAGAGGCAATGGGTCCTGATGAAGGAATAGGAAAAGATTACTTTGTGGATTCTGGCTGGGTGGACTCCAGTTTCTCCCTTTATTTTGGTCTTGGATATTACTACCCTGAGCTCCCAATGCTTATTCCCTCATCCCTGTAACCTAGTCCCTCCGACTGGTCAGACCTTACCAATCTAGTCATTTTGCCACACCCTCCTTCCAGGAGGGCCTCTTCACTACCCTGGTGCTCAGTGACACCTCCATTCCTTTCCACCCAACCAAATGTCCAGTTTCAGTTTCATCTCAACTATATCAACTCTATAATAAGCTCAGCAGAAAGATGTTCTCTAAACCTGTATTTCTTAGAATGTTTACCTCAATAGTCTTACAAGAAGAACTAAATATCAAAAATGCTTTGGCTGGGTGTGGTGGCTCAAGCCTGTGATCCCAGCACTTTGGGAGGCTGAGGTGGGTGGATCATGAGGTCAGGAGTTCGAGACCAGCCTGACCAATGTGGTGAAACCCCATCTCTACTAAAAAATACAAAAAAATTAGCCAGGCGTGTTCGCGCGCACCTGTAATCCCAGCTGCTTAGGAGACTGAGGCAGAAGAATCGCTTGAACCCGGGAGGCGGAGGTTGCAGTGAGCTGAGATCACGCCACTGCACTCCAGAGCTTGGGTGACAGAGCGAGACTCCATCTAAAAATTACAAAAAAAAAAAAGTCTTTAAGGATTAGAAGGGATAGCTTTCAGAAAAGAGCTGAAAGCCTGTGTGGCCTTCTAGAGAGCAGCACTGCCTCTGTAGAAACTCTCACTTGGTGCTATAATCATGACATAAGGGTGCTTGTTAGTGCTCAGGGTCACTGGCTACCCAAGGGAAGTCCAGAGAAATGAGTGACCTGGATGGAGTCCTGGGAGGCTGAAGAGCTGCTGCAGGAGTGGGTGGTGACGGGGAGGGGACAGAATGGTAAAGTGACTCTGGGCTGAGGGGATCATTTCAGATTCCAAAACAAAGTGGTTGGGGGTGGGCCCCAGGCATTACTATGCAAGAGAAAACTCCAGGAAAACCAGAGGTTCCCTTTCTTCTTATTATTTTTTTGTAGAGACTAGGTCTCACTTTGGTGCCAAGGCTGGCTCCAAACTTCTGGGCTCAAGTGATCCTCCTGCCTCGACCTGCCAAAATGCTAGGATTATAGGCATGAGCCACCATGCCTGGCCATTTTTTCTTAAAATTTGTTTTTTAATTGGCTATGCTAATCTTCTCTGTATTGTTCCAATTTTTTTGAGATGGGGTCTACCTATGTTGCCCAGGCTGGAATAGGTTGGTGTGATCATGGCTCACTGCAGCCTCGACCTCCTGGGCTCAAGTGATCCTCCAGACTTAGCCTCTCTAGTAGCTGGGACTACAAGCATGTACTACCATGCCCACCTAATTTTTTAAAGTTATTATTTGTAGAGATGAGGTCTTGCTATGTGGCCCAAACTGGTCTTGAACTCCTGGGCTCAAATGATCCTCCCGCGTTGGCATCCCAAAGTGCTGGCATTAAAGGCGTGAGCCACTGTACCTGGCCTCATTCCATTTTTAGTATATGTACTGCTGAAGCGAGTGCTAGGTTCCTTAATATTCACTTTAAATGTTTTAGATGTTGTGATCTAAAGCATTTAAAAATTATCAGGTTTAGAATATTGAAACTGACAAATCATTATGCATCTATTAAACACTTATATTGAATGCCTGACATTGTGTTGTGTTGGGATTACAAGGAAGATAAAGTCCCTGTTTTAAAGGAAGACACATTTAATAAGGAATATAGAGATAAGCAATTAGAATATAATATAAGAACTATTATGAGAAAAGAAGAAGTAATTCTTCCTGGAAGATTCTGTAGAACAGGTAGTATGTGATCTGGAACCTGAAAGATGTATCAGATCTTTCCAGGTAGGTGAGAGAGAATGGCATGTCAATCATATTAGTGCATAAAGACCTATGAGATGTACCAATATGCACAGATGACAGGATGCTTAGAGGGAGAGAAGGGCATAAGAGACTGGAGAGGGACTGGGGGTGAAGTGGGGTCAGACTATGAAGGGTCTTACACGCTGAGAAAGGGAACTGGAAGCTTATCCTCTAGGTGAAAGTGTTCGATGTTTTTTTTTTTTAATTCAATGACTTTGCATAGCAATTAATAATCCTTCCTATACCCTCTTTAAGAATATTCGTAAACATTTTGTCACTTCTGCATGGTGTGTGATTAAGCAGGTAAAAATATCTTAATTTACATCACTACTATTGGATATGGCATTACAATTTTCCAACTTTTCCACACTTATTAAGTAATACATGTTGTTCAACTTACTTTAAATTATGTAAGAGAAAGCATGATTTATTGACATATGAATTATCAAATGACACATCATGTCTGGTTTGGGGCCCAAATGTTTTGCAACATAGATTCAAATATGATCTTATAGATTTGTGAATTGATTTTTGGAATTCTTACATTTAATGTATAAAAATCAACTGGTCTAGCTTAACAATATTTGTGTTTTGTTTCTAAAAACTGAAGTAAAAACAAAGACTCTCAACATGGTTTCTGTTTTATTATTATTATTTTTTGAGACGGAGTCTCACTGTGTCACCCAGGCTGGAGTGCAGTGGCACGATCTCGGCTCGCTGCAACCTCCGCCTCCTGGGTTTGAGTGATTCTTCTGCCTCAGCCTCCTGAGTAGCTGGGACTACAGGTGGGCACCACCATGCCTGGCTAATTTTTGTATTATTAGCAGAGATGGGGCTTCACCATATTGGCCAGGCTGGTCTCGAACTCCTGACCTCGTGATCCACCCACCTCGGCCTCCCAAAGTGCCGGGATTACAGGCGTAAGCCACCGGCCGGGCTTTTAATATATACAGATATAAAGATACATGTTTCCTGGCTCTGGCCACTGAGAGGATTAGTAGTAACTGAGCGCATGTAGCACTGAGATGTTGGGTGTCTACAAACCAATCCCTACTAGAAAGAGCCAGAGCTTCCTGGCAAAACTGCTGAATCAAACTTTGGAGCAGGAACAGTCCAGATGAACCTGGAACAACTTGGTGAACCAGAAAGTAAGGGAGTACTCAAGGAAAGATGGGGACATAGGCACTTCACATAGTCCCCATATGAAGAGATGATGAAATGAGGAAATCAACACGTGGCAACCAGCAGAGTAAAACGTGATTCAAGCAAGAATCATCAATGAATATTAGAGCAAGTGAGGAAGTAAAAATCTAATGAGTAAAAGGATATTTATATAGCCCTAAATATCTCCTTAACAGAAGCTAATTAAAGGAAAAAAAATCATAACTTCCTGGAAGAAATTAGTATCATTAGTAATGGGTTACATAAACATAACATGCCTCCTATATAATACACTGAAAACAACACAACGTCACTTCTGGGGTAGGCCTGCAAAAAACTCTGACTCTAATTATGAGCAAACATCAGATAAACAAATGGAAAGACATTCTACAAAATAACTGGCTTGTATTCATCAAGGTAATGAAAGACAAGAAAACACTGAGGAACTGTTCCAGATTAAAGAAGACTAAAGAGATTTGACAACTAAATGTGGCTCACGATTTGGGATTTTCTTTTCCTAATAAAGGGTAGCGATCAGAAAATGAGTGACATTTGAATAATATCTCTGGGTTAGCTAATAGTATTGTCATAAGTGTTAACTTTTTAATTTTTAGTATTTTCTTATATAATGTTTTTATATTTTAAAAAAGTACAACCTAGGTATTTAGGGGTAAAGGGACATTGTGGCTGCAACTTACTCAAATGGTTCAGGGAAAAAATGTGTATAAATATACATATATAATTTCAATATTTAAATATATATATATAGAGAGAATGATAAAGCAAATGTGGTACAAAGTTAACATTTGAGGAATCTGGGTGGAGGTTACATGGGACTTCTTTATATTATTTCTGCAAATTTTCTTTCTTTTTTTATTTTAGTCTCTAACTTTTTTTATTCTAGAGACAGGGACTTTCTCTGTTGCCCAGGCTGGAGTGCAACAGCACAATCATAGTGTCACAGGATCCTTGGGGTGTTGCTTTTCCAGCTGGAAACCTCTGTGGTTGGTAGTGTCTTTGCCTGAGTTTGGCTCGGGCCCACTGGGCTCATTCTGCCCACTTGGCCTGGCAGGCTGCACTCAGCTCACACTACCGGCCCAGATCCCACATCTGCCAAGGGCCAGCCAGGCACAGAGTGGCAAGGGGTGTGTGAGTGAGCGCAGGGTCCAGCCACTGTGCACAGCCAGGCGTGCTGACTGCAGTGGAGAGCGGGCAAACCCATGCACCAGCACAGGCACTGGCTCCATGCAAGGCTGCAGCTGACCAGGTGTACCACTGTGGGAACTGAGGAACGTGGTGGTTCCTGGAAGCTTGGAAACACCAGGAACCGTGGGGTCCCAAAGAGGGTGTCACAGCCCTGGTTTGGGGAGCCCAGACCTAGGTGTGTTTCAGCCCTGTTTGTGTTACAGCTCTTTAAGTCCCACCATTAGGTGTTCACAAGTTCTTGTCCCATGTCCAGGAAGAATGAAGTATGTGGACAACTGGAGGGTGAGCAAGTCGGAGAGGAGCTTCACTGAGTGATAGAACAGCTCTCAGGAGACCTGGTGTAGCTCCTTTCTGCCAGCAGGTTGTCCCCACGAGTGTCCAGCTTTCAGCAGAGAGGAGACACACAGTGGATAGCTCCTTTTCACAGGCAGGCTGTGTCAACATTGAGGAGACCTGAAGTGGGTAACTCCTTCCCGCAGCTGGTAGTCCCAATGTCAGCATGAGTCTGGCTGAGTTTGGGGTTTTTATGTGCTCAGAAAGGAGGATTTTCCTGGTGGGCCTGGAAAAAGCACCATCCAATTGGCTGAACGGTCATCAGTGAAGTCTTCACTCTGGGCCATGGACTTCACCTGGAACCGGCAGCCCAGTCCCCACGCTTCAGGCTGTTCCTGGCTTGAAGGTGGGGTTTCATCAGGGACCTGGCCCTTTCTGCCCAGGAACCTATCTACCTCCTGCCATCAACATGCCGTCCATGGTACCCAGGCTGTTTGTGCTGAGGGGCTCCTGCAGGCCTGGGCCAAGCTGCCCTCAGCCACCCTCACCATGCCTCCCTCCTGTGCTCATCAGCGCCCAAAGTCCGGAGGGACAGAGATAGCAGGGGGCTGGTGTGTCAGCGCCACACTGGCCAGGTCGTGACAGTGCCCAGGCTCTGCCACAAATTTGCTCTGCACTTGAGCAGGCACTGGGAGTGGAGAGAGGCCAGGGAGTGGGAGCAGGTGCTTCTGAGCTGACAGGGGTGGGGGTTCCCAGGCCCCTGAGAGCCCAGAGATGTCCCAGTCCAGAGTGGGTGGCTGGGTAGCTGCAGCTGCACCAGGGAGCATGGGGCTCCCACCCTACCAATTCAGTAGGAGGTGGGGCTCCTGCCTGTTCCCAGCCCACACCAGCTCTGTAGAGCACGCAGCCCCGGACACGTCTCTCCTGCTGCAGCTGGTGTCTTAGCAGTGGCTGCTCCAGATGGGCTGCTGCTGCCATCAATAGCTCACTGTAACTTTGAACTCCTGGGCTCAAGCAATCCTCCCACTCGGCCTCAGGAGTAGAAAGAACTATATAGGTGTGGCTAATTTTAAAGTGTTTTTTTTTTTTTTTTTTTTTTTGGAGCTTCTGGCTCTATTGCCCAGGCTGAGGTGCAGTGGTGCAATCTCAGCTCACTGCAACCTTCGCCTCCTGGGCTCAAGTGATTCTTCTGTCTCAGCCTCTTGAGTAGCTGGGATTATAGGTGCGAGCCACTCTGCCTGGCCCTATTCCTGCAAATTTTCTGTGGGTCTGAAATTATGTCAAAATTAAAATTAAAAAACAGGTTAAAAAAAAAGAAAGTATAAGTTGCTGGCTACTGTTTGTAAGCATTTCTCTAGAGAAAAAAAATAATTGTAGAGAATGTCTTTATTCTTGAATATGTGAAAAACAAAACTGAAAATAAAGTCAACAAAAGCATTTTCTTTTGAGTTTTGGTGCTTATGTACAAGAGACACCATCGTGTGTTTCTGAATTTTGATCAAATCAATGCAACTAACAGGTCAGGTGAAGGTAATAAGAGACAAATTTTCAGATTTTTTTTGTTTTTGAGAAGGAGTCTCACTCTGTTGCCCAGGCTGGAGTGCAGTGGCGCAATCTCGGCTCACTGCAACCTCCGCCTCCTGGGTTCAAACAATTCTCCTGCCTCAGCCTCCCAAGTAGCTGGGACTACAGGCGTGTGCCACCACTCCCGGCTAATTTTTTTTGTATTTTTAGTAGAGACAGTGTTTCACCACGTTAGCCAGGACGGTCTCAATCTCCTGACCTTGTGATCTGCCCACCTCGGCCTCCCAAAGTGCTGGGATTACAGGCATGAGCCACCATGCCCGGCCTTTCAGAATTACTTTTTATGCTCATTAACTTTTTCAGGATCAGCAGTCCCTGTATTTTTCTTTAAAACAATTTAAATAAGTATATGGATCTATTTTTTAGGGTAAAACACTCTGTACAAAAGCATCTACAGTAAAGTGAGAGTCTCTCTTCTCAGCTCATACCCATCAGGACATTTTCTCAACCATGTCCTCCAATCTTCTGTAAACATGACAAGAGACTTCATATCCTTGTAATTTATTTTCTACTTACATTAGGGCTGGTTTCTTTTGTTGGCAATCAAAAACTCTTGACTAATAAAATTCCCTTTGATTTTCTTAGTGACAATCGTAAGTAATCCAAGTGTATCTCTGCCTTTCCAATATTTGCATATCCCATTTCTGTTTCTTATAATACATTGGCTGGGCTCTCCAGGACAAATACATTGCAGAGGTGATAGCAGGCATTCTGGCTGACTTGTTTCTCCACAGTTCTGAGCTCATCTGCTTTCTATCTTTCAAAAATTCCTAAAAATGTCCCTATTAGTATTTTCTCATTTATCACGCTCCATGAAATTTAATAAATGCCTGTATTTGCAGGCTACCAACTGGGATCTCCTCTAAACAATGCATGAGCTATTAAGGGGAATGACGTGACCAAAGCCTTTGGTAAAGTTGGGAATATAGAAGGAATGTAGAACCCAAGTTGCAGGGAAGAGAAACTGGTGGTAGAAAGATCCTTAGGAAGTTATTCCAATAGTCTAGAGAAAAATGAATGTGGCAATGAAGATTCCCA
This sequence comes from Homo sapiens, assembly GCF_000001405.40. Lineage (NCBI taxonomy): Eukaryota > Metazoa > Chordata > Mammalia > Primates > Hominidae > Homo > Homo sapiens. The sequence continues at coordinate 44,384,687 of NC_000003.12, read as the reverse complement.
TTAAACAACTTTGAATGATCTGTTCCCACATCAAGCAAAAACTATGAAAACTGGAAGTAAGCCAAGAGCTAGATTTACTTGAAAATCTTTCTGAGCTCCCTAATGTATGTCCTGTGATTGGCTGTATACTTGTTCAGTATTCTTTTTGGGACCAATCACAGCCTGTTTGTATAATAATTTATCTCTACGTGTCTTAAGTCCCCCATTATCCTATTACCCCCATGAGGGAAAGATGAGTCTTTTATTATCTAATGTGTACTTAATCTGAATGTCATCACAGTGAGATCACTAGACAGCATGAAATTTGACTATAAATTAAACCATAAGGCAAAGAGAAAAGAATACCTTCCTGATCAATGTGGAAACACACGGTTACCTTGTCTAACCAGACTCTAGGTCAGAAATAAAGTTCTAAATTACTCTCTAAATGAGAACACTTTATTGGATTTTAAAAGGATCATTACTGCCTGAATTTGCCACATAAATCATTTTAATTCTTGGCTTAATTTTATAATCACAGAGATTTAAAAATTCAGAGCCTTTGTTTTCAAGGGTGAGAAGTCCAATTAATTACTATTGAGATAAAAGAAATAGAGAAATCTCATATTTATTCTATAGTAAAATACCAAGTAAGCCAGACTATTTAACCTCTACTAAGCAAGAAGTTTTTTAAAAATGCTGATTTTATAAGAAATGAAATTACCTATAAACAAGTAAATACTAATTAGTAATCACTAACATATTTTTCCTAACCTTATTTTTTTCTTTTTTTAAAGACAGGGTCTTACTCTGTTGCCCAGGTCAGAGTGCAGTGGTGTGATTATGCCTGGCTAATTAGCTTGGCTAATTTAAATTTTTTTTTTTTTTTTTTTTTTTTTGTAGAGACAGGGTCTTGCCATGTTGCCCATGCTGATCTTGAACTCTTAAGCTCAAGTGATCCTCCTGCCTCAGCCTCCCAAAGTGCTGGGATTACAGGCATAAGCCACTGCACCCAGCCCCTTACCCATTTTTAAGTGTACAGTTCAGTGGTATTAAGTACATTAACATTGTTGTGCAACTATCACCACCATCAATTTTCAGAACTCTTTTCATCTTGCCCAACTCAAACTCTGTACACATTAAACACTAACGCCCCCTTCCCCTCCCTCCAGTCCCTGGCAACCGCTGTTCTATTTTCTGTCTCTATGAATTTGACTACTCCTTGTACTTCACATAAGTAGAATCATCCACCATCTGTCTTTTTGTGACTGGTTTATTTCATGTAGCATGATGTCCTCAAGGTTCATGTGTTGTAGCCTGTGTCAGAATTCCTTCCTTTTTAAGGCTAACATTCCACTGTAGGAGTATATCAAATTTTGCTTATCCATTCATCCACTGATGGACACTTGGGTTGCTTCCACCTTTTGGCTATTGTGAATAATGCTGCTATGAACATGGGTATACAAATATCTATTTGAGACACTGCTCTCAATTTTACGGTAAATCTATATTTAAGTTTTTGAGGAATCACCATATCATCTTCCATAGCAGCTGCACTATTTCACATTTCCACCAACAGTGCATAAGGGTTCCAGTTTCTTCAAACCCTCATCAACTCTTGTTATTTTGGTTTTTGGATAGTAGCCATTCTAGTGGGTGTGATTAGGTACCTCACACCCATTAGTTTTAATTTGCATTTCTCTAGTGATTAATGATGTTGAGTATCTTTTCATGTGCTTATTGGCCATTTATATACCTTCTTTGGAGAAATGTCTATTCAAGTCCTTTGCCCATTTTTGAAATGGGTTGTTTGCTGGTTGAGTTTTAGGAGTTCTTTATTTATTCTGGATATCAATTCCTTTATCATATATATGAGTTGCAAACATTTTCTCTCATTTTGTGGGTTGCCATTTTACTCTGTTGATAGTGTCTTTTAGTGCACAAACTTTAAAAATGTTCATGAAATCCAATTTGTCTATTTTTCTTTTGTTGCCTGTGTTTTAGGTGTTATATCCACGAAATCACTGGCAAATCCAATGTCATGAATCTTCTGCCCTATGTTTTCTTCTAAGAGTTTTATAGTTTAGGTCTTACATTTCAGTCAAAGATCCATTTTGAGTTAATTTTAGTATAAGTCAGTGTTCAACTTCATTCCTTTGCATGTGGCCAGTTTTCCCAGTACCATTTGTTGAAAAGATTATCTTTTCCCCATTCAGTGGTCTTGGCATTCTTGTTGAAAATCAGTTGACCATATATGCAAGTATTTACTGCTGTATTCTCTATTCTATTCCATTAGTCTATATGTTTGTGTATTTCTCTTTTTATAGAGATTGGGGTCTCACTACGGTGCCTGGGCTGGTTGGACTCAACTAATCCTTCTGCTTCAGCCTCCCAAAGTGCTGGGATTACAGAAGTGAGCCACTACACCTGGCCTATATGTCTGTTTTTATGCCAGTATCACAATGCTTTGTTTACTATAGCTTTGCAGTAAGTTTTGAAATGAGGAAATGTGAGTTCTCCAGCTTTGCTCTTCTTTTTCAGGATTGTTTTGGCTATTTGAGGTCCCCTGAAATTCTAATTTTAGGATGGGTTTTTCTATTTGTGCAAAAAATGTCATCAGGCTTTTGATAGGGATTGCATTAAATCTGTACTTGCTTTGGGTATTGACATCTTAGTAATATTATCTTCTGATCCTTGATCATAGAATGCCTTTCCATTTACTTATATCTTCTCTAATTTCTTTCAGAAATGTTTTTATAGTTTTCATTGTACTACAAGTCTTTCGTCTCTTCAGTCAATTCCTAAGCATTTTATCTTTTCTGATGCTATTGTAAATGGAATTGTTTTTGTAATTCCCTTTTTGGATTCATTGCTAGTATACAGAAATGCAATTAATTTTTGTGTATAGAGTTTGTATCCTGCTAACTTGCTGAATTTGCTAATTAGGTCTAACAGATTCTTCAGTGGAATCTGCAGAGTTTTCTATGTATAAGACCATTATCATCTGTGAACAGATAATTTTACCTCTTCCTTTCCAAGTAGATGACTTTAATTTCTTTTTCTTGCCTAATTGCTCTGGCTAAGACTTCCAGTAGTATGATGAATAGAAGTGGTGAAAGTAGGCATCCTTGCCTACTTCCTTATGTTACATGAAAAACTTCAGTCTTTTACTACTGAGAATGATGTTTGCTGTGGGTTTTCATATATAGCTTTTATTATGTTGATGTAGTTTCCTTTATTTCTAGAGTGTTTTTAGTATGAAAGTATGTTGAATTTTGTCAAATACTTTTTGCATTTGATCATTCTAGATCATGCATCATGATCATTCTAGATGATTTAAATGATCACGTGGGGTTTCTCCTTCATTCTGTTAGTGTGTATCGCACTGATTGATTTTGTATGTGGAACCATCCTTGTACTCTAGGAATATATCCTACTTGGTCATGGTATTGAATCCTTTTAATATGCTGCTAAATTAATTTTTCTAGGATTTTTTGAAGCTTTTTGTATTAATGTTCATAAAGCACACTGATTTGTGGTTTTCTTTTCTTGTAGTGTCTTTGTCTGCCTTTAGTATCAGGGTAATGCTCTCACAGAATGAGTTAGGGAGTGTTCCTTCTTCAGTTTCTTTTTGAAAAGTTTGAGAAGTATTGCTGTTAAATGTTTGGTAGAATTTGCCAGTGAAGCCATCCAGTTCAGGGCTTTTCTTTGTTGGGAAATTTAAAATTACTGACTCAGTCTCATTTTCTATTTCTTTGTGCTTTAGTCTTGGTAGATTTTGTGTTTCTAGAAATATGTCCATTTTATTTAGGTTATCCAACTTGTTGGTGTACAATTGCCCATGGTACTCTCTTATAATCTTTATTTCTGTGGAATTGGTAGTAATGTTCCTGCTTTCATTTCTGATTTTAGTAATTTGAGTCTCCTTTCTTTCTTAGTCCATCTAGCTAAAGGTCAATTTTGTTGATCTTTTCAAAGAACCAAGTTTTGGTTTTGTTGATTTTCTCTATCCTTTTTCTATTCTCCATTTTGTTTATCTAATATCTACTTTGGTTATCTGCTCTAATCTTTATTATTTCCCTCCTTCTACTAGTTTTGGGTTTAGTTTATTCTTTTTTCTCTAATCCCATAAGGTGTACAGTTAGATTGTTGATTTGAGATCTTTCTTGGTTTTTAAATGTGTTTATAGCTATAAATTTCCCCCTTAGCATTGCTTCACTGAATTTGCTGGGTCCCATAAATTTTGGTACATTGTGTTTTTGTTTTCATTCATCTATATTTTCTTTTTTGCTCAAAATTGTTAATCATACATTTTTTTAAAATTTTCAGGGTACATTCAGTAATGTAATATTCATATAATTTGTAAAAAATCAGTGTAATTGGTATATCCATCACCTTAAATATTTCTTTTATTGTAGAAACATTCCAATTATTCTCTTCTAGCTATTCTGAAATACACGATTGATGATTGTAAACTATAGTCACCTTACTGATCTATCAGACAGATCTTATTTTTTTCTATCAAACTGTATATCTGGACCCATTAATCAACCTCTCTTCATATCCCCCTGAAAATTTTCCCCTCCTTTTTCTCCTAAAAGTCTTACTACTTTACATTTTACATTTAAGTCTATGATCTAATTGAGTTAAAATTCTTAATTTTTTTTTTATTTTAGGTCTGGGGCTCATGTGCAGGTTAACAAAGGCAAACTCATGTCACGGAGGTCTCGTGTACAGACCATTTCTTCACCCAGGTACTAAGCACAGTACCTGATAGTTATTGTTCCTGATCCTCTCCCTCCTCCCACTCTCTTCCCTAGATATAATTTTAACTTTTATTTTAGATTTGGGAGTACATGTGCAGGTTTGTTACATGGGTGTAACGTAACGTGCTGGGGTTTGGGGTATGATTGATCCTGTCACCCAGGTATTGAGTGTAGCACCTGATAGTTAGAAACACCCTTCCCCTCTCTCTCCCTCCCCGCTCTAGTTATCCCCAGTGTCTGTTGTTCTCTGTGTTGTGCCCATTGGTTCTCATTATTTTGTTCCCACTTATAAGTGAGGACATGTGGTATTTGGTTTTCTGTCACGGCATTAGTTTGCTAAGGATAATGGCCTCCAGCTCCATCCATGTTCCTGCAAAGGACATGATCTCATTCTTTTTTATGGCCACATAGTATTCCATTAGGTATATGTACCACATTTCCCTTAACCAGTCCCAGTCCATTGATGGGCATTGAGGTTGATTCCATGTTTTTGCTATTGTGAACAGTGCTGCAATGAAGATATGTCAGCATGTGTGTTTACAGTAGAATGATTTATATTCCTTTGGGTATAAACCCCGTAGTGAGATTACTGGGTTGAATGTTAGTTGTTTTAAGTTCTTTGAGGAATTGCCACACTACTTTCCACGATGGTTTAACTAATATACACTCTTACCAACACTAAATAAGCATTCCCTTTTCTCCACAACCTGACCACAGCATCTGTTATTTATTTATTAATTAATTTTTTTTTTTTTGAGACAGGGCCTTGCTCTGTCACCCAGGCTGGAGTGCAACGGCACAATCTTGGCTCACTGCAATCTCTGCATGCACCCCACCCCACCCTCCCCACCGAGGCCCAGGCTCAAGTGATCCTCCTGCCTCAGCCTCCCCAACAGCTGGGACTATAGGCACATGGCATGAAGCCTGGCTATTTTTTTGTATTTTTGGTAGAGAAGGGGTCTCGTCATGTTGCCCAGGGTGGTCTTAAACTCCTGAGTTCAAGCAATCTCCCCACTTTGGCCTCCCAAAGTGCTGGGATTACAGGTGTGAGCAACTGTGCCTGGCCTGGCTTTTTAATGCTAGCCATTCTAACTGGTATGAGGTGGTATCTCACTGTGGTATTAATTTGCATTTTTTTTTTTTTTTGAGACAGAGTCTCGCTCTGTTGCCGTGGAGTGATCTCGGCTCACTGCAACCTCTGCATCCCAGGTTCAAGCAATTCTCCTGCCTCAGCCTCCTGAATAGCTGAGATTACAGGCACCTGCCACCATGCCTGGCTAATTTTTTGTATTTTTAGGAGCATGGGGTTTCACCATGTTGGCCAGGCTGTTCTTGAACAGCCTTTGATTCGCCTGCCTTAGCCTCCCAAAGCACTGGGATTACAGGCGTGAGCCACCGCACCCAGCTGCATTTTTCTTATGATTAGTAATATTGAGCATTTTTTCATACGCCTGTTGGCTGCATGTACATCTTCTTTTGAAAAGTGTCTGTTCATGTCTTTGCCTGCTTTTTAATGGGGCTGTTTTTTGCTTGTAAAATTTTTTTTTTGGGGGGGTAGGGTTGGGGACAGAGTCTCACTCTGTCGCCCAGGCTGGAGTGCAGTGGCACGATCTCAGCTCATTGCAACCTCCACCTCCTTGGTTCAAGTGATTCTTGTGCCTCAGCCTCCTGAGAGCTGGGATTACAGGCATGTGCCACCATGCCCAACTAATTTTTGTATTTTTAGTAGAGACGGGGTTTCACCATGTTGGCCAGGCTGGTCTCAAACTCTGGACCTCAGATGATCCACCCACCTCAGCCTCCCAAAGTGCTGGGATTACAGGTGTGAGCCACCGCACCCAGCAGTTTGTAAGTCTTAAGTTCCTGATAGATTCTGGATATTAGACCTTTGTCAGATATATAGTTTGAAAGTACTTTCTCCCATTCTGTAGGTTGTCTGTTTACTCTGTTGATATATCGTTTCTTTTGCTGTGCAAAAGCTCTAGTTTAATTATGTAACATTTGTCAATTTTTGCTTTTGTTGGAATTGCTTTTGGCATCTTCATCATGAAATCTTTGCCAGCCCCTATGTCCAGAATGGTATTTTCTATTTTCCCTTGGGATTTCTTTTTATTTTTAATTTTCATGGGTAACATAGTAAGTATATTTATGTGGTACATGGTATCTTCTTTGATCTGCTGGTTAAGAGTGCTTTAATTTCCACAATTTTGTGAAATTTCCAGTTTTACTTCTGTTGTTGATTTCTAACTTCATCCCATTTTGGTCAGAGAAGATACTCTGTATATTTATCTTTTGAAATCTATTGAGACTTAATTTGTGGCCGAAAATATGGTCCATCCTAGAAAACGTTCCATGTGGACTCGAGAAGAATGTGTATGCTGTTGTTGTTAGGTACAGTGTCTTGTATATGTCTGTTAGATCCAGCTCCTTAATTGTGCTATGCAAGTCCTCTGTTTCCTTACTTATTTCTTGTTTGGTTCTTCTATACACTATTGAGAGTGGAGTACTGAAGTGTCCAGCCATTATTGTAGAACTTTCTATTTCTCTCTTCAATTCAGTCCACTTTTGCTTCATATATTTTGATGATCAGGTATTAGGTAGATAAATATTTATAGCTGCTATCTCTTGTTGTTGTGGAGCCTTTTATTAATATGTAATAATCTTCTTTTCTCTTGTAATCTTTTTAAATTTAATGTCTATTTTGTCTCATATTAGTATAACTCTCTTTTGGTTACTATTGCATGGAATACTATCTTTTTCCACCCTTTCACTTTCAACTCCGGATCTAAAGTGACTCTTCTGTAGATGGCATATAGTTGAATCATGTGTTTTATTATTTATTTATTTATTTTTGAGACGGAGTCTCACTCTGTTGCCCAGGCTGGAGTGCAGTGGCATGATCACGGCTCACTGCAAGCTCCGCCTCCCAGGTTCAAGCGATTCTCCTGCCTCAGCCTCCCGAGTAGCTGGGGCTACAGGTGCCTGCCACCATGCCCAGCTAATTTTTTTGTATTTTTTAGTAGAGATGGGGTTTCACCATGTTAGCCAGGATGGTCTCAATCTCCTGACCTCGTGATCCACCCGCCTTAGTCTCCCAAAGTGCTGGGATTACAGGCGTGAGCCACCTCGCCCGGCCAAATCATGTTTTTTAAATTCACTCTGCCAGTATTTGTCTTTTGGAAAGTTTAATCCATTTACATTTAAAGTAATTACTTATAAGATACAACTTAATTCTGTCATGTTGCTATTTATTTTCCATGTGTCTTACCGCTTTTTTGTCCCTTATTTCTTGCATTACTATCTTCTTTTGTGTTTAATTGATTTTATTTTTTTTGTGGCAAAACATTTAAATTCCTTTCTCGTTTCCTTTTGTGTATATTCTTTAGTTATTTTCTTATGGTTACTGGGGGGATTACATTTAACATCCTAAAGTTATAACACCCTAATTTGAATTTATACTAGCTTAACTTCAATAACAAAAACTCTGCTCCTTTACTAGCTCTCCCCAACTCTTTCAGTTGTTACCACAAAATTATCTTTATACATTGTCCAAAAACATAAACTAATAATACTTTTAATAAATATATTTTTTAGGAAGAGTAGTGATAGTTCTTTTTAAAAATGGCTTTGTTGGAATACAATTCATATACCATATAACTCACCCATTCATCCATTTTTAGTATGTTCACAGAAGTGTACAACCACCACCACAGTCAATTTTAGTATACTTTCATCACTTGAATAAGAAATCACATACCCATTAATAGTCCTGCTCTCCAGCCCTACCAACCACTAATCTACTTTCTGTTTCTCTAGATTTGCCTATTGTAGGTATTTTACATAAAATGGAATCACACAGTATGTGGTTGACTGCAATCAGCTTCTTTGACTTAGCATGTTTTCAAGGTTCATCCATGTCGTAGTAAGTATCAGTACTTCATTCCTTTTTCTGGTTAAATAATATTCCATTATATGGATATGCCACTTTTTAAAAATCCATTTATCAGTTGGTAGACATTAGGTTATTTCCACTTTTGGCTATTATAAATAACGTTGCTATAAGCATATTTTTGTGTGAATGTCTGTTTTCATTTCTCTTGAGTGTATACCTAGGAGTGGAATTCTTGGGTCACATAACTCTGTTTAATATTTTGTAGTATTGCCAAACTGTGTTCCACAGCAGCTGCACCATTTTATATGGAGGAGAGTTCCAATTTCCCTACCTGCTCACCAACACTTGTTATTCTCTTTTAGAATATAGCCATCATAGGGTATGAAGTGGTAACTGGTTGTGGTTGTCTGTTTGACCTTGGCCTGTGCTACAGTTTAAATATTTGTCCCCTCCAAATCTCACGTTGAAATTTAATCCCCAATGTTGGAGGCAGGGCCTGGTGGGAAGTTTTGGGTCATGGAGGCAGAACTCTCATTAATGGCTTCATGTCATCTTCATGGTAATGAGTGACTTCTCACTATTAGTTTCCATAAGATCTGATTGCTAAAAATAGCCTGGCGCCTCCTCCTCTCTTTTTTTCCTCCTTTCTTGCCACATGATGCTTGTTCTTCTTTCCCTTCTACCATGAGGGGAAGCTTTCTGAAGTCCCTACCAGAAGCAGATGCTGATGCCACACTTCTTGTACAGCCTGCAGAACCATGAGCCAAACAAACCTCTTTTCTTTATAAATTACCCAGCCTCTAGTATTCCTTTATATTATAGCAATGCAAAATGGACTAAGACAGCTTGATTAAAAATGATTTCATTATAATTGCAGCAATATGTAATACATATATTACATGTATTGTTATAAGATCCAAATAAAAAGAAAAAAACTGATAATAAAATGAAGCCAAAAGAACATTAAAAGGTATATAAAAATGAATGCCAGAATACCACGTACAAGGACTAATGCTGGACTGTGAAATCATTTGGTTCGGTTCCTAGGGTCATGATGCTTTTGAAATAAAAATAGTAACTCAAGCGAAGCTCAGTTTTCCATGGATTTAAGAGATGAAAAAAGAAAGCCATGATCCAAATTACAATAAAGTTAAAATTGCATAAATTTTACACTCCTAGGCTTCAAACTGTATAAAACAAAGGAGTTTAGACCAATAACAGCCTTTATTTTATTTTCACTGCCTGAAGTTCATAGAGCAATAGTTTTTTTATTTTTATATTTTTTTTGGAGAGACAGGGTCTCACTCTGTCACCCAGGCTGGGGTACAGTGGTGTGATCATGGATCACTGCAGCCTAGACCTCCTGGGCTCAGGTGATCCTCCTGCCTCAGCCTCCTGAGTAGCTGGGAGTACAGGCACATGCCATCACACCTGGCTAATTTTTTAATTTTTATTTTTCTACAGACAAGGTCTTACTAGATTGCCCAAGTTGGTCTTAAACTCCTGGCCTCAAGCAATCCTCCCGCCTTGGCCTCCCAAAGTGCTGGGATTATAGTTAGAAGCCACTGCACCTGGCACCAAAAGCTTTTTATACTTCTCTGATGGCAACACATGGTAAGAAATATTTCACATAGTGAACCAGCATATACACACACACCTGTATTTATGTGTATGTAACTAAACGAAGTATTTTGAGAAATAATACTTAAACTTACTACTAGAAATGCATTCACAATATATAGTTAAAATAAAAAAAAAAAAAAAGAAAGCAAAGCAAAACAACTTTGCTAGTCCTGAGTCACTAAATTGTGCATTATCACTTGTAATTTTAAAAACAGTGACTTAGCCTATAAACAAAGGGAAGAGTAAATAAACGCACAATATGAGTTAAATCATGACTATCAAATCCCAAACATTTTATAGAATAGTTCCAATGTTGTAGGTGTCCAACATGGTATTTCATGAACACAAAAATTGATTCAAAGTTTAGACACTGAAAGTGAAATGTAAATATATTTGAGCTAAGGTCAAATAGAAAAAAAGGAACTCTGACATTCACTGGTATCTTAGTAGCTGTAAGAATAGTATTTCAATGGTCTTTTTCTAGTTCAATGACATGTTTGTTCAGTGGGATAGACATTTCATATGGAATTATTTTGCTTATATAAAATGGATCTGGTTAGCTCCTCTCAAATACAAGCTATATAATTAAAGTACATTTTTGTTTTAACATAATTTGATAATCAAAGAATATACCCAAAATATAGAAATACAAAAATTGACAACACGGAACAGCATTTCCTAATTTTTTTTAGACTGGAACATTCCTTTTATAATTTTATATAATTTTCAAAAACTACTTACGTATTAAAATTTTCTTTTCTTTTCTCTTTTTTTCAGACAGAGTCTCACTCTGTCACCCACGCTAGAGTGCAGTGGCACGATCTTGGTTCACTGCAATCTCTGCCTCCCGGGTTCAAGCAGTTCTCCTGCCTCAGTCACCCAAGTAGCTGGGACTACAGGCATGCATCATCACGCCTGGCTATTTTTTTTTTTTTAATAGAGATGGGGTTTCACCATGTTGGCCACCATCTTGACATCAAGTGATCTGCCCACCTCAGCTTCCCAAAGTGCCGAGATTATAGGCGTGACCCACCACACCTGGCCTAAAGCTTTCATTTTATCATTTTTATAGGTATATAACAAAGGAATGTTGAAGTAAGATAAAACACAATCTGCTGAGAAATTCAAAATTACAAACCATGCCTTAAAATATACATTAAAATGTAATTAATGGATATAATATAAAAGTGGGTTAAATAGAGTTTTTATGACCTGATAAATCTCCCATTTTGTGTTTTTAAAAAACTCCTCCAGTCTAGGCAACCAAACAAGACCCTGTCTCAAAAAATATTTAAAAATAAAAATAAAAAAACTCAACTGATTTATTTTTATGATTTCTTATTTTAATTTAAAAATGCTAGGACACAATTTTACCCTGCACTTCTCAGCAAAACCAAAAACAGATAAAATTATTTTGAAAGTTAAAGTCTATACTAAATAACACTGTAATTATATTTTCTCGTTTAACATAGTGCTCAGAAACATTAAAACCATCTTAACTTGCTTTAAAGATTTAATTAAAAAGAAAATTTTGGGCCGGGTGCAGTGGCTCACACCTGTAATCCCAGTGCTTTGGGAGGCCAAGACGGGTGGATCATGAGGTCAGGAGATCAAGACCATCCTGGCTAACACGGCGAAACCCCATCTCTACTAAAAATACAAAAAAATTAGCCGGGTGTGGTGGCAGGCGCCTGTAGTCCCAGCTACTCGGGAGGTTGAGGCAGGAGAATGGTGTGAACCCGGGAGGCGGAGCTTGCAGTGAGCCAAGATAGCACCACTGCACTCCAGCCTGGGCGACTGAGCAAAAGACTCTGTCTTAAAAAAAGAAAAAAAAAAAAAAGAAAGTTTTGATCCAATGAATGTAATTTGTAAATCAAGAGATCAGATTGATATAAATGGGCAGAATTACCATTTTTATGCTACTTCTGAACTATATAATTCAGCATGTGTTCCTTATGATTCCTCTCTATAATCTATACATGTAATGAAGATGAATTAAACAATACATGAATAAAAATTTAAACTGCATATGGCCAAAATGACCATGATGGCTAATAGGTTTTAGTAGACTTATAGGCACCATGAATCTCTCTACTAGGCAGTCACTTGATTCACATGATTTGAAAGCTCTGAAATGGTTCAACAGTTTTACAATTATTTGTAAAATAATTACAGATATAAAAAAATCAGTACAGTTTTCTCTTGCTATACATGAGGCATTAGTTCCAAGCCCACCCACGGGTACCAAAATCTGTGCATACTCAGGTCCCGCAGTTGGCCCCGCCAAACATGCGTATACCAACAGTCGGCCTTCCCTATACATAGGTTTCACATCTTGCTAATACTGTATCTTCCTTCCTTCCTTCCTTCCTTCCTTCCTTCCTTCCTTCCTTCCTTCCTTCCTTCCTTCCTTCCTTCTCTCTTTCTCTCTCTCTCTCTCTCTATTACTATTTCAATAGTTTTTGGGGAGCGAATATGGTATTTTCAATCTGCTTTTGGTTGAAAAAAAATCCGTGTAAGAGTGGATCTGCACAGTTCAAACACACATTCTTCAAGGGTCAACTGTAATTGAAATGAGAAATTGATAGAGATACCATTCCAGCTTTTATGATATAAGCTCCTGGAACCCTTACTAGGAAAAACTACCATATATTAAAACATTGAACAAACCCTCAGCAGAGGTTCCTTCAAACTGGGCAATGCTCATGCTTAGGGAAAGGTCAAGGGGCTCTGGGCCTATGTGAACATGCTAGAATTGGGAAACCAGGTTATGTTAGGGAGATAAGAGATATGAAACCTTTCAGATGAGTACAGGTATTATAATGCTACATCAGCACTGTAAGACATGCTGGTAAAGGGATTTAGCCTACCCTGCATTTCACTCTAACAGCCCAATGAGCAGTATTCCTTGTCTTGTCTTGGTTCAGTGTAGTGCTGTCCTCTCTCTCCTACCCAACCTGGACTTTTTGCTCTAAAATTACACATTCTTAAGCTAAACTCAAACTCCATGAGTTGTGATGATCTGGTTCAGGTAAATCAATAAGATGTCAATGCTTAAGAAATATAATCTAGCCGGGCATGGTGGCTCATGTCTGTAATCCCAGCACTCTGGGAAGCTGAGGCAGGGGGATCGCTTGAGCTCAGGAGTTTGAGACTAGCCTGCACAACATAGTGAGACCTTGTCTCTACTAAAAATTAAAAAATTAACCGGGTATGGGCCAGGCACGGTGGCTCATGCCTGTAATCCCAGCATTTTGGGAGGTCGAGGTGGGCGGATCACCTGAGGTCAAGAGTTCGAGACCAGTCTAGCCAACATGGTGAAACCCCGTCTCTACTAAAAATACAAAAATTAGCCAGGGGTGTGACGGTGTGTGCCTGTAATTCCAGCAACTCGGGAGGCTGAGGCAGGAGAATGCTTAATCCGGGAGGCAGAGGTTGCAGTGAGCCGAGATAGGGCCATTGCACTCCAGCCTGGGCAACAGAGTGAGACTCCATCTTTAAAAAAAAAAAAAAAAAAAATTAGCCAGGTATGGTGGCACATGCCTGTAGTCCCAGCTACTCCAAAGGCTGAGGCGGGAGGATCACTTGAGCCCAGGAGTTTGAGGCTGCAGTGAGCTATGATCATGCCACTGCACTCCAACCTGACAGAGTAAGACCCTGTCTCAAAAAAAAAGAAAGAAAGAAAGAAAGAAAGAAATTAAAAAAGAAATACAATCTAAGGCCCTTCAATATAAGCATAAAAAAACTAAAAAAAAAAAACAAAAAACCTATCTACTGTAATGCTATGCCACTATTAATTTCACTTTATGAAGCTAAAAAAAGAAAGGCTCTAACTGCTTAATAATGGGTTTACTTTAATTTCTGTAAAGATAAAATAGCTGTTGACAAGATGGATAATAATAATCAGTGATTTAGAAAGCTAAATTTCCACTGACTTCAATTTCTAAAACAGTGGTTTTTTTTTTTTTTTTTGAGACAGAGTCTCACTCTGTTGCCCAGGCTGGAGTGCAGTGGCGTGATGTTGGCTCACTGCAACCTCCACCTCCCCGGTTCAAGCGATTCTCCTGCCTCAGCTTCTTGAGTAGCTGGGACTACAGGTGCCCACCACCACGCTAATTTTTTGTATTTTTAGTAGAGACGGGGTTTCACCGTGTTAGCCAGGATGGTCTTGATCTCCTGACCTTGTGATCCGCCTGCCTCGGCCTCCCAAGGCATTTTTTATGTTGCTATACTCTTAAAGGGTAGACAACAAGTCAGAGGGACTTGTTTTTTGAGCTTGTCCTCATAACTGTCAAAATAAAAGCTTGAATTTAAAACAAAGCTGACTTTTGAGGAAATCAAGAATTCACAGCAACATAACTTATCTATGCATAGAAATTTTCCTTAAGACAATGTATCTTTCACTAAAAATAGCAGATTTTTTTAGTTAACATTAATGAAATTAACAGAAGCACTTTAAGAAAAAATGGCCCTCTACATTCACTGCTAAGTGACTTCTATTGCTACGCTATGTATGTTACTTTGCATTCACATATTAAAGCCCGAGTTCTTCAAACTGAGCCTCTAGCACATCACATTTAGTTATTCAACAATTCTTTAGTTCAGTTCAATGAAAATACTGGATGGATTCTATGAATCTATGAAGTAGATTAGTAGACACAGAGATTATCAAAACATATTCCCTACTCTTAAGAACTCATATAGTCGAATGTAATATAAGAAAGTCTCCTTTTACTAAAGACTAAGGAATTTTACTGGATAAATGACATACAAATAAAAAAATTATAAATACTGAGCTTAGGTAAGGAACCCAGTTGAATACACTTATCTTGTTGAGTTGGCTTTCTATAGTTTCAATGTATTTTCACTACTTTGCCGGTGTCTAAGTCCAGTTCTAGGTCCTTGGGGCACTCTTTTCATGATGGCTGCACATCCAGCTCCAAATAAAAACTGTGTTCTACGAAATACTCAACTGAACCACAGACCAACTGCTTCTATGAAATCCTTTAATACATTCTTCTTAGGCCCTTTTAACTTGAGTGAAGTCCAAAAACTGTTACTTTTGCTGTTTTGGCTTGATGTATTCAATCTCACTGTTTTCTATACTCTTTAGGCCAGTAATCCCCAACTTTTTGTTCATCTAGACACAGCGCAAGATAAGTACAACAATATTCTCCCGCGGGTGTAAGCAGAAGTTGTATGTGCCGTGTCCCACATAAAACTTGAAGGCAAGGCTGAGAACTTCTCTTCCAGTTTGTGCTCAGAGAAATCTACTTCAATTCTCACTGTAGCCTCTGTGTGCAATTAACCTTAAATTATCTCTTCTGTTTTTCTATACCAAAATTTTCAATTCGGCAACCTCTATGCCACCATGACTCTACTTTTTATTTATTTATTATTTTTTGGAGACAGGGTCTCACTTTGTCACCCAGGCTGGAGTGCAGTGGCACAATCATAGTTCACCGCAGCCTCAAACTCCTGTGCTCAAGGGATCTTCCTGCCTTAGCCTTCCAAGTAGCTAGAACTACAAATGTGTACCACCATGCCTGGCTAAATTTTTGTATTTTTTGTAGAGATGGGTCTCACTATGTTGCTCAGGCTGGTTTTGAACTCCTGACCTCAGGAAATCCTCCCACCTCGGCCTCCCCAAATGCTGGGATTATCGGCATAAGCCACAGTGCCAGGCTCTTCATTTTTTACCTGACTTCTTACTGTGTCATTACTTCTGGTCCATCATTAAATTGTTATTCCCAAACCCACATTTCCATCTCAGAGGAGAATCTGAACAATTAAAGTCATCATATTTAGGGAAGTGATTTATCCATCAGTTATGCATATAGACAAATATCATAGACTATCACACGTAGGTACATACATACACGTCTTCAGACACATACTTCTATACTTTTCTGTACTAGACTCTGCTACCTTCCTACCTTTTCAGCCTTATTTAGAATCTAGCTAGGTAGCAAGGAGGAATCCCTTAGTATAGATAATCCACAAAGCAGATATTATGCCAGTGGATAATGAAGGATCATTTACTATGCCATAATGAGAGAATCCTCTGATAAGCCACTGGACTTTTTAGATACAATCATAAGAAGAGAATGTGATGGGTCTTTATGAAATCCAAAAATGACTTAAAAAACATTAAGGTGACTTTACAAATAAGGCATGCCAAATAATAGAAAACATTTTATATATGATTTTTATAATTTAAAAAGTAACTCTTTAAAGCAGCTATTCTAGATGATATTTAATAATTTGGTCACCATGTATTTTTCTTATGTATGGATTATTACACTAAAGTACATCACTACTGAACTATCCGTTAGAAATGCCTAACACATGAAGAAGAGTAAAAAATATTTGTATAGTCTTAGGTATAGCCTTTCTCCATGTACCGGGGGTAACTTGAATAGAATTTTTAAAAGTTAAACAAAACAATCTCCTGCATGTGTTTGGTATCAAAAGACCACAACTTTAAATACAGTTGGAAGTATTTTGGCAGCTTTAAGTAAGAAACATGAAATATATTTTTCATAATGATTACTGGATTAACTAGACTGATAGTATTACTTTTCCTGGAAAATTAGGTTTTAATTTTAAATGTGAACTACACTTTTTATTTATAAAAAAATGTTTTTGCCATCCCAATAAATCAGTGTCATAAACACAAACTACAAATACAGTTTAGTTAGATAAAAACTTTTACATACGTGAGAGTTGTTTCCACTCTCGAGACTTGTTCAAGGTCTTCATCAGGGTCCTTGAATCCAGTAAAGGAGTAATAAGACTTGTCCCATTTGATGGGCCTGTCAGGCATCCTTTTAGCTTCTTTGAGAGGCTGGGTATGCATATTAGTATTCAAGCTTTGGATATGTTCAACAGATAAACTGCAGGAGTTGAGAATATATAACACTGTGCTTAGCAGATCTCTGGTGTGCAAAGTAAATTTGACTGCTCGAAATCCTAGAGAATATAATTCCCCCAAACAATTAATACAGATGATTATTTGCTTTATTTCAACATATATAAAATCAAAATCTTTTAAACATTCTATTACTGATTTAAATTCGTCCTATTAGCAAATCACCTGTAAATGGAAAATGACTTCCCTTCTCTAAAACTACACCACACTATTTTTACCTTCATGAATTACTTCAATCATCAGCTCCATTTTCTAGTTTGGCTCCAGTGAATTACTTCAATCATCAGCTCCATTTTCTAGTTTGGCTCCAGTGACCAAACCCATCCCAGCCCACCAAGGGGATTTAGAATATTCTCAATTCTGTCGATAAATCTGGTCTCTTAAGAGAGAGAAAAGCTCTCCTATAAGCAGGTGTCCACCAAAGATAGTTTCTAGTGTACACTGTGACAGCAGTTCAGGTAAGAGGGGCCATATAATCTAGTCTCAGTGGTCACAGAAACCCATCTTGAATTTTCTCTATGATTGAAGGAGATGGTCCTCATACTTGCTCACTCCACTAGGTAGTAACCCAATATTTTCAGGAGTGATTTAAAATTCTCTAGTTGTTTAAAAGTTACTCCTGTAATCCCAGCACTTTGGGAGGCCAAGGTGGGTGGATTATGAACTCAGGAGTTTGAGACCAGCCTGACCAAGACGGTGAAACCCCGTCTCTACTAAAAATACAAAAATTAGGCCGGGCGCGGTGGCTCATGCCTGTAATCCCAGCACTTTGGGAGGCCGAGGCGGGCGGATCACAAGGTCAGGAGATCGAGACTATCCTGGCTAAAACAGTGAAACCCCGTCTCTACTAAAAATACAAAAAAAAAAAATTAGCCGGGCGTGGTGGCGGGCGCCTGTAGTCCCAGCTGGAGGCTGAGGCAGGAGAATGGCGTGAACCCGGGAGGCGGAGCTTGCAGTGAGCCGAGATCGTGCCACTGCACTCCAACCTGGGTGACAGAGCGAGACTCTGTCTCAAAAAAAAAAAAAAAAAAAACAACAAAAATTAGCCAGGCGCAGTGGTGGGCGCCTGTAATCCCAAGTACTCGGGAGGCTGAGGCAGGAGAATTGCTTGAACCTGGGAGGCGGAGGTTGCAGTGAGCCGAGATTGTACCACTGCACTCTAGCCTGGGTGACAGAGCAAGACTCTGTCTCAAAAAAAAAAAAAAGTTACTGATTTTGATGTTGGGTAATCATTGGGCTAAGGTAAGTAATCTAAATTGTTAAGTCATCAATAAAAAATCCACTGGTTTGCTTTTTTTCTTTTCTGGGTGTTAGGCATGGTTCCAGCTTAATTTACATATCTTTTCAATCAACACTACCACCAACTATGCCATTATCATTTCTCTTGTCAAATGTGAAGGAACATAGATTAAGAATGAAGCCAGGGCTTAAATCTGAGTTGACACCAAGCCAAATATTTTCTCCACTACAACATGCTGACTCTTCGCTTTTTTAAAAAACTATTCTTAATTAGTTTTGAAAATTAAAAGCAAAATTCTCCTGTTAGCAGGCATACAACTTTACCATCTTTACTTGAGGTAATCACTATTAACAGGTACATATTCTTCCAGACCTGCTCTACCCAAGATGGTAGCTACTAGCACATGTGGCAATTTAAAATTAAATTGATTGAAATGAAATAAAAATTTAAAATTAAGTTCTTTGGCCACATTGGCCACATTTCAAGTGCTCAATAAGCACGCGGGGCTAGGGCCCACCATATTAGATGATGCAGATATGGAACATTTCCCTCATCACAGAAAGTTCTCTTGGGCAGCACTGTTCTTTGACCTTTTCCGTCTATGTGCTTGTATGTGTGTATCACGTATGAGGCCGGGGCAGTGGTTCATGCCTGTAATCCCACCACTTTGGAAGGCTGAGGCAGGTGGATCACTTGAGGCCAGGAGTTGGAGACCAGCCTGGCCAACAAGGTGAAACTCCGTCTCTACTAAAAATACAAAAATTAGCGGGTGTGGTGGTGCACTCCTGTAATCCCAGCTACTCGGGAGGCTGAGGCAGGAGAATCACTTGAACCCAGGAGGCAGAGATTGCAGTGAGCCGAGATTGTGCCACTGCACTTAAGCCTGGCAGCAGAGCAAGACTCTGCCTCAAAAAAAAAAAAAGTATTTGCAACTGATGACAGACACCACACTTTAAATCATTGTCAGAGATACACATTCTACTTGCCACACCAACTTATGAGATCCAGAACATGCCAACTAAGAAATACTTTTTTTTAGTTCAATAATTTGGGTAAACTTAGAACTACTGGCAAGGGAATTATTCTAGTCAGTAAAGGAGGAAAGGAAAACCCAAATTGCTGCACTGGAGGTTAAGAAAAAATAGCTCATCCTCAGAAGTGCAAAGTCAAGGAGTAAATCTGTTTCTATCTCAATTTATCAGCTCATTATTTAATCCAACATAAGAGCTGCTATATAGTGAGGATTGCCTGTACCACACTGCAAATATCCTTTACTGGTTCCTCAGGATACATTCCAAGAAGAATTTTGTGGCTTTGGGGAGAGAATTCCAAGCTGCAGAGTTTGTAGTTTGCACTAATTTATATACCCATCAATAATGTGGGAAAATGTATTTTTACCATTTATGGGTATTACCAGCAAAAAAAGAAAAAAATTAATGGGCAAAAAATACTACCTAATTATTTCAGTTTGCGTTCGAATACTGAGGCTAAAGATTTTTTTTTTTTTTTTTGAGACAGGGTCTCACTCTGTCACCCATGCTGGAGTGCAGTGGTGCCTGCCATCTTGCCTCACTGCAACCTCTGCCCCCTGGGCTCAGGTGATTCTCCTACCTTAGGCTCTCGAGTAGCGGGGACTACAGGCACATGCCACCACGCCTGGTTAATTTTTTGTATTTTTAGTAGAGACGGGGTTTTGCTATGTTGCCCAGGCTGGTCTGGAACTCCTGGACTCAAGCAATTTGCCTGCCTTGGCCTCTCAAGAGTGTTGGGATTACAGGCGTGAGCCACCACGCATGGCCTAAAGATTTTTATATACTTAACTGACATTTATATGTGTTATTTCTTGAACTGTCTATTTATTGTCTTTCTCCATTTTTGGAATGGAACTACTCTGGTTTATTTTTAATTTGTAAAAACTCTTTATGTATTAGCATCATCTTTTTGTCATATATGCTATATCTTTTCTCCCATTTCTAGTTTAATTTTTTCTGTAACCTTTTACATTTTTTTTTTTTTTAAATGACAGTCTCAGCCAGGTGCGGTGGCTCATGCCTGTAACACCAGCACTTTGGGAGGCTGAGGTGGGCGGATCACGGGGTTAAGAGATCGAGACCATCATGGCCAACATGGTGAAACCCCGTCTCTACTAAAAATACAAAAATTAGCTGGGCATTGTGGCGCTTGCCTGTAGTCCCAGCTACTCAGGAGGCTGAGGCAGAAGAATCACTTGAACCTGGGAGGCAGAGGTTGCAGTGAGCCAAGATTGCACCACTGCACTCCAACCTGGCAACAGAGTGAGACTCCGTATGAAAAAAAAAAAAAAAAAAAAAAAAAAAGACAGACTTGCTGTGTTGTCCAGTTGTCCAGGCTAGCCTCAAACTCCTGGGCTCAAGTGATTCTCCCACCTCAGTCTTCTGAGTAGCTGGGAGTACAGGCTTGTGTCACCATGCCCAGCTATAAGCTATTTTTGTTTAAGAAATCATTCAAAGTTAACCATTAACTGAAAGTAAAGGATTCTGTTTTTACTCAGCCAGAGCTGGCTACAGCTATTTGTCTTAGCATTAATTCACAGAAAGCTCTTAGCAAATCTTTAACTTATTTTAAAATTTATTCTAATAACAACATTTACTTCCTCATGAACCACCAAAAAGATACGGAGCTGAAGAAATAATTTCAGCCTTTAAGGATTTCAATGTATTAATAATGCTAAAGGCTCATAAAATTTCAGTAATGAAAATCACTAGTAAACATTTTACCTTATCACCATCTTATTTATTCAAAGCTGATTAATGATTTCTAGTGTTCTAGAAATAAAAATTTTTTAAAAATCTACTTGATTTTAATTTTATAATCAGGTAAAAATGTTACAGAAGTAAAAATGTTTTAAATCTTTGTCAGAGGGCCAATCTTTGTTATAAAGGCAAAAGGAAAAATGATTAATTACAATATTTTAAAAGAAGAATTAATAGATAATGTGGTATACAAATCAAAACACTGGACTAGGAATAAGGAGACATTAGTTCTAGTACCAGCTCTGTCCCTAATTTGCTGTGTGAAACTTCCTAAGTTTTCCACTAAGCTTTTAAATTCAGTTTACTCTTTAACTCCATGTATATTCAATATTTAAGACAAATCCAGCTGAGAGTGGTAGCAGAAGCACTAGTGGTAGCTGTAGGAACGAGCTCGACTCTTTCAACCACATACAAATAAAAACAGATTGATGATAATATTTTTATTTTAACAACTATAAAGGATATAATCTGCCTCTAAAAATTCCATCTGTCTTCCTGGAGAAATAATGAAACCTAAGTAGACCACTACATATATGTAAGATGTTATTTAATTCCTAGCCTAATCTTGACCCTGACTAACAGGAGCATACATCTATTAAAAATATTTATGAATATTTGGTTTTACACTAGTAACAATCTATCTCAGTTGCTTATGAGACTCTCATGCCTAGGAACAGCACATTCATGTATTTAAACTTTCAAACAGAATTGTGTCACTTAGAGTGATCAACATGCTTATTATTCATTATTTACAGCATTCTTCAGTATACCTGTTCCTTCACAAAAGGGCTATGAATTGACTTTCTATCTTTAAATATTGAAGAATAGGGCTATTTTTAATAAAACTCTAAGTCAGAGGTAGATGGAGAAACTGCCAAGAAAAGGAATTTGTGACTCCTGATCTCCCATATTCAATTATGAGAAAATAAAAGGTAAGAGATCATATACTATCAAATACTAGTCCCTGGAGAGACTGGGTGAGGAGTTGTCTTCAACATACTTCAGCATTCTTCAGATCAAGCTCTTCCTCCTTCCATTTGAAGTCCTGAGAGCCGGGGGAGGGTGAGGTGTAAATTAGGGATCTTCCATGTGAGTGGCCTCTACACAGTTCTCCAACTCTTTCATTTTAATAAATGAACACCCAAAAGTTAAAGGTCACACAGCTAGGTCACTGGCAGAGCTAGAAACAGATTTTAGATCTCAAAGACCTATCAAATTCTGAGTTTTATAACAGTTTGTTTCAAAAAAAAATTACAGTGTATCCTGTTTTAGCCTTAACTCACAGAAAGCACTCAGTGAATCCTTAAATTGTCTTAAGTTCATTCTAAAAATATAGTTATTTCTTCAAGGATCATTAAAAGCATGTATAATTAGAGAAATGATAGGCCTTTAGTGATCTTTACCCTAAATATTTGTCCTTAATTTTAAATATGGATAAGCAGTGACAAAAGGTAGTGAAAAGGTGGCTGTCTGCTAAGATCAATTGGATTTTAGAAGCAGCATAAGGTTGGAGTTCAAAGACCTGGGTTCAAGACTCATATTCTTTCTCTCTGGTCTTGGGAAAGGCACTGAACATCACTAAGTTACAATTGGGTAAGTACTACCAGCCTCAGAGTATTCAGAGGACTAAATAAGAGAATGCAAGCTGTAGTTTTTAGAAATACATATTGTTTGGACATGTTTAACACTTAAAATAACACTGAACTGGTAAGGGAACAAATAGGAACACTTTAGTTTTAGAAACAAAAACGTTTAAACACGCAAAAAATCACTTGTTCGAACATATGCAGGTAGGAATAGAATCTAATTCTAGGAAAACAATCAATTAAATGCTATTATTTTTCTATCACCAAAGTTTTCATCCAAAGGTATTCTGGCAATGTCAAAATTAATGAACACATTTAACATTAAGCTTGCAAGGGACACACCAGAAATAAAAAACGTACCGGAAGTACTAAAAGGTTCCTGGCCATCGGAGGAACTCTGGTCTGTTTCTCTTACATAAAATGTAAGCTGAGTTGGTTTCAAAGACTTGAAGCCTGGTTTCTGGAGGTTTTCTAGGTAGACACTTAACCTTTTAAGAGAATTTTCATTGATTTCCTGGAAAAAAACATTAAGGGCATTTACATACAAAATAGAACAAGGAAATATCAGAAATGATATCTATCTAACCTTTTAAACACATTGAGAGTATTAAATAATTTAGTATTTAAAAATGTTGGGATTTCATAGCTCTTTGGTAAAAGATAAAATTGGATCTACATCTCACAACATGTAACAGAATGAACTCCATATGGGTAAGATGTAAAAAGATGTAACCATATAAGTAATAGAAGAAAACATGGTTGAATTCCTTTATAACCTAAATGTAGAAAATGCCAATGACTAAATATCCCAAAGTAATAAATGATTGTTTGTTTAATTTATTCTAATATGATGTTCTTAGCCATATGAGTCCTGCAGGCAAGTGTGGGATAATTATTGCCAGTGTAAGACTAAATCTTCATCATTATTTTTTGATAAATATTTCTATTTTTGCTGAAAAGCAACACAAGAAGGCTGGACGTGGTGGCTCATGTCTATAATCCCAGCAGTTTTTGGGAGGCTGAGGTAGGCAGATTGCCTGAACTCAGGAGTTTGAGAACAGCCCGGGCAGCATGGTGAAACCTCGACTCTACAAAAAATACAAAAATTAGTTGGGCACGGTGGTACATGCTTGTGGTCCCAGCTACTCAGGAGGCTGAGGTAGGAGGATCACTTAAGCCCAGGAGTTCGAGGCTGCAGTGAGCCCCTTGATGGTGCCACCACACTCCCCGCCTGGGTGACAGAGCAAGACTCTGTCTCCAAAAAAATTAAAAAAAAAAAAAGATTATATATAGGAAGTGAATAGGAACTGGGTAAACGAAACAGGAATATAGGAATGAGACTTCTCATTAAACTTTGTATTTAGTTTTGATTTTTTTTTTAAACCCACAATGTTTTGCAGATTTTTAAATTAAATTAAAGAGGATTTTTTAAAAAACCCAAAAATCCTGTGCATCACTGGGAAACCCTGGACTTTGAGTTCGATGCTATGAATAGATGGGACTTTAAGCCACTCTTCCTAAGAAAAGGGGCAAGGGTGTTCTCTAATAGTAGGAAGAAGACTGAACTGAACATGTGGTGGCAAGAAGAGTGACAAGAAGAGTGAACAGTCTTCATGGAGCTTGCATTTTAGTGAGGGGAGAAAAATAAACAACAAACCTCACAAATAAGGAAATAGGGTACATGGAAAGGAAAAAAAAACAAGTACTGCAGGGTAAAGAGGGGACGGAATGCTAGGAAGGAAAGCAGAGATGGCAATTTAAAATAGGGTAGTTTTAAAAACAAAACAAAACAAAACAAACACAAGTAATAGTGTAGTCTGGGAGAGCCTCACTGAAAGGTGAGAAAGTAAAGGACAAGCCATATCTGGGATATCTGGGAAAAGGATGCTCTAAACAGAGGCAGCAGCTAGGGCAAGGGCTTGACACAAAGGAGGAGTCAATAAATACAAGTTAAAGATAACACGAAAATGTAAACTTATCAGAACCATTAAACTCTAGGCACATTGTGTCAGGGGTCCCCAAGACCACTCTCAGGTTCAACGATTTACTAGAAGGATTCACAGAACTCAGACAAGCTGTTTTATTCACCATTATGGTTTATTACAACAAAAGAATGGAGATTAAAATCAGCAAAGGGAAAAGGTGAATAGAGCAGAATCAGGAGAGACCACGTGCAAGTTTCCAGTTGTCATTTCACAGTGGAGTTTTACAGACAGTGCTTAATCCCCCCAGCAATGGTGTGTGACAATACGTAAAAGTGTTGCCACCCAAGGAAGCTCATCCAAGTCTGGATGTCCAGAGTTTTACTGGGGGTCAGTCAGGTAAGCATTTAGTGCTTATGTGACTCACTTCAGCTACTCAGTCTCAGCTCCCCAAATACCCAAGGTCAAATTAATACAGTGCAGCCCAGGGTCTTAGACACAGGAAAACAGGTATTCACTATAAATCACATTGTTAGCATAAACTATCTGGCATGGTCAAAGGCCTCAGGCAAACAGAAACATTCCTATCCAGGGGCTCAGAGCTCATTTCCCAGTAGCCAGTCAAAGGTCAGCACTGGGGTCAGACCTTTCTTTGGAATGTGCAAGGTTTAAGCAACCCAAGCTTGCTGAGTTAACCCTTTACCACACGTAGAAGTTTTTGTTGTTTGTTTTTTAAATTTAGGAGATGAGGACTCACTATGTTGCCCAGGCTTGAATTCCTGGGCTCAAGTAATCCTCCTGCCTCAGCCTCCCTAGTAGCTGGGACTACAGGTGTGCCACCATGCCCTGCTGCATACAGAAGTCTTAATTAAAAAAAATACATTGGTAGAATAATATTAAAGTATTACTAAGCTTGATTTTTCTATACATTTTGAATTTAAAAACTTTATTAATGCATCCCCGAGTTAATGAATATTTTTCTGTTGATTCAATTTACTGATTACTTTGAAAAGTTCTGACTTTGAGTAGCCAACATATCACATATCATAATCAGAATATTTTCCTAGAAGCAAAAAAGCAAAATAGATTTTCCATTGCAAGTAGAAAAAAATAACGATGTTCTAATTTTCAAGATTTCAAGTTCCTTTTCATATTAAACTAGATATCAGTGTTAATGAAAATAGAAGGAACACTGAAGTAATTCCAAAGCATGTGGCTTTGTAATACATAGCAGTCCCTTGGTATCCATAGGGGATTGGTTCCAGGACCTCCCGTGGATACCGAAATCTGCGAATGCTCAAGTCTCTCATATAAAATAGTGTAGTATTTGCAAATAACCTATGTGTATCCTCCCATATACTTTAAGTCATTTCTAGATTACTTATAATATCTAATATAATGTAAGTGCTATGTAAGTAGTTGTTATCCTGTGTTGTTCAGGGAATAATGACAAGAAAGAGAAGTTTGTTCATGTGTAGTACAGATGTATTTTTTTCCCCTAATATTTTCAGTCTGAGGTTGGTTGAATCCATGGATGTAAAACCCATGGATATGAAGGACTGACTGTATTTTCTAATGTTAAAATATATTGACTGTCTTAACTACATCTACCATAAGTCATTTTTCATATCAGTTTGTATTCCTGGAGCACACATTAACTGATGTTGTAGGGGAGTGGTCCAGCAGCATGCATCATAAGGAAAAATCACTAGGGCATTGAAAACTCTTCCATGTATCATCCTTAAAAAAAAAAAAGAGAGAGAGATTGATCATGATAATAAAGGTCTCAAGTTTTCTTTCAAACCCTCAACTGTACTTCAAAAATTGGTACCAAAAACATGATTACTAGTACTCTAAAGAGTTTAAATGACAGCTTTATTGCCTGCACAAAACAATGACAGCTTTCATAAAAAAAGCTCTATTTTCAATTTTCAGTATCTACATTTCAAATTAGTTCAAAGCATTGATTATATCACCACAACAGAATAATCCACATTTATAGAACTCTATGTATTATATTGTATCAAAGGTAAATAAGCAGAAATGTACACTAATGGTTTAAAAATAAATAAATGTTTACCCTTTCTACGGGGTGCTGTCCAAAGAAATCTGGATGTACTGCAAAATAGAAAGGCCTCAAGGCATTGACTGCTTCAGCTCCCGATAAAGCTCTTGAAAAGGGAAACCAGTGTGGAAATATCTTCTCTAGACATAACCTTTTAAAAAGATGTGGACTGGTTATTCATTGAGGCACTCACACACACACAAATCCTCAATGTATAAGTGACAATAAAACTAAACGTACTATGCACAGCAGAAACAAGATAGATACTTTGTGGTTTTCTGAAATCTATTAGTTTTACAAGCAGTGAGTACCACATGGTTTCTAAAACAGTGGTTATAAATTTTTCTGGTGCAAAATGAGAAATATTAAATAACATAATAATTTCCCCTCAATACTCCACTTTGAAATTCAGCTGACTTCACTGCAAATGATAACAATTTTCTTTATAAGTTTCTTATTCAGATCAAAAAATCTTAATATCCAATAGTGTAATTCTCTTTCTATATATATCTGTCTATATCTATCTCTTTCTCTCTTTTTTTCTTTCAGACAGA
Organism: Homo sapiens; assembly: GCF_000001405.40. Classification (NCBI taxonomy): domain Eukaryota; kingdom Metazoa; phylum Chordata; class Mammalia; order Primates; family Hominidae; genus Homo; species Homo sapiens. The sequence goes on along the minus strand of NC_000003.12, from coordinate 44,357,337 downwards.
GTCTTGCTTTGTTGCCCAGGCTGGAGTGCAGCGGTGTGATCTCCGGGGGTCAAGTGATCCTCCCACCTTACCCTCCCAAGTAGCTGGAACTACAGGCACGTGCCACCACACCCAACTAATTCTTTTGCTGATCTCAAACTGCTGGCCTCAAGTAATACTCCTGCCTTACCCTCTCAAAGCAATGGGATTACAGTCATGAGCCACCATGCCTGGCTCAATTTTTTCTTTATAGTAGCAAACATTTTGATAATTATTATACTTAAAAAGAGATACAGATGTCTTTTAGTTCATTCCCTCATTATTAGCATGCTAAAATTATACTAGTTGGATAACTTGATATTCTCATTCTTTTTTTTTGAGATGGAGTCTTGCTCTGTTGCCCAGGCTGGAGTGCAGTGGCATGATCTTGGCTCACTGCATGCAATCTTCTGCCTCTCAGGTTCAAGTGACTCTCCTGCCTCAGCCTCCCGAGTAGCTGGGACTACAGGCATGTGCCACTACCGCCGACTGTTTTTTTTTTTTTTTTGTATTTTTAGTAGAGACAGGGTCTCACCATGTTGGTCAGGCTGGTCTCAAACTCCTGACCTCAGGTAATCCACCCGCCTCAGCCTCCCAAAGTACTGGGATTGCAGGCATGAGCCACCATACCTGGCCGTGATATTCTCATTCTTAAGTTTTGTAACCCACCTGGGAGTGTTTTTTAAAAGTACGGTGTTTAAATCCAAATGAAATTATTTGCGGTTTTTTGAAAGCACTTCCACGACACCTATTTTTAAATGTTATAATTTACCTTTTCCATCCTAAGCTTTTTTTTTTGAGACAGAGTCTCACTCTGTTGCCCTGGCTGGAGTGCAGTGGCATGATCTTGGCTCAACCTCTGTACCCTGGGTTCAAGCAATTCTCCTGCCTCAGCCTTGCAAGTAGCTGGGATTACAGGTGCACGCCACCGTGCCCAGTTAATTTTTGCATTTTTAGTAGAGACGGTGTTTCGCCATGTTGGCCCAGCTGGTCTTGAACTCCTGACCTCAAAGGCTCTGCCCGCCTCGGCCTCCCAAAGTGCTGGGATTACAGGCGTGAGCCACTGTGCCTGGCCCAACCTAAGCTTTTTATAATGAAGTCTCTAAACATTGCACATGCTTTTGTTCTCATACATTAGGTGTGACAAGTCTTTAGAAAAGTTTTATGTTTTTAAAATGGTAGAGATTGTGGAATCATTTCTGGTGATTTTTAAACAATCTGGAGACCACCAACCTATTTGCAGATTATCTTTTGTTTCTCCTATATATTTGAACCTTTTATAAAGTCAATATATGGATTTGTACATCAAAGATTAGAACAGGAGTTTAAAGTAAAGGAAAGAATCAGCCAGCATTAAATATGAGCTAGTCTAAGTAAACCACAGTGGCAACTCCACTTATCCCTCTGAGCTTCCGTTCTCATTTCCCAACGTCTGACATACACTTAGCTCTCCTGCCAGCTGCTCAAATTTTACATATCTAAAAAAGGAGTATGAGTCATTATTATCTTTCTAAATTCAGCCTGGTTACAGAAGGCCAGGGAGCAGTTAGCAACTCAATCCAGGATTATCTTCCTTATTTTTGTTATTGTGGTACCACCTTTCTCAATGTTGCAAAGCACAAAACCCAAATTAGTTCACTACCCCCATTCACTATCAGTTAGTAAAGTCTTCTCACTTTACAATGTTCAATGAAATCATTCCTTCTTTCCACTTTCTCTGCTATCAATTATCATCACTACAAAACTGGACTGTACATAATTAGTCTACTCTGCTGTCCTTTTCTCCAACCATATTGGGTATCACCAACAGATTAACTTTCTTAAAATTCCACCATCACTGTATTCCTTACTCAAACAGCTTTGGTGGTGCCCTAATTCCTGCAGAATAAATCCACTCCTTAGTCTGGTATTTGAAACCCTCTTTCATGGTTTCCCCATCTATCTTTCCAACTTGATCTCCAACCACTCCTTATACAAACCCTCAGTTCCAGCTCCCAAGAATCTTCCTCATTCTCCCCTTTCTGTCCTACATAATTTCTAAGCCCTAATGCATCCTCCCTGACCTGCATTTTTACCTATCCAAATTGAACAATTACTGCACACCTGCCATGCGCCAGGAGGCATTGTATCTATTCCCCCAGAACCTTCCCTTTTGTATTCTCATTAGTCTCTCCCTCTTTTAAACTCTAAAGAAAAGAAACTGTGTGCCCTAGATGCTTGAAACATAATACCATAAAGTGAATTGTGTTAAGAGGAAACTTGATCTGTTTTTCCTTTTAAGCTTTTCACACCTAACTCTTCTGAAGGACAGTATTCTTTTCACCTTCTACTCTGAATGTACTCTTGGAGGACCTGTCTTCTCATATAAATTTTCTTTCTTTTTGTTCCAGCTTTCCACCATAATATAACTTCAGAATTGGAAAAATAATAACAAACTGAAATAAACCAAATGCATAACAGACCTCCCCCCGCCACAATACTAATTACAGATTGGACCATGATGCTTACCTCCTCATAGGTCTCAGGTGGCAAAACATTTCTGAATATATATGTACGTCAACTTCGAGGCATCCATTAATTGCTTAAAAGTTAAGCAGATATCACAAATGAACAAGTAGAATTTTAAATGTAAAACACATTGCGATTTATATTATCACCCCAAAATATGAAATACTTAGTTATTAATCTTATAAAATATGTATAAGATCTAGATAAGGAAAACTACAAACTCAGATGAAGGAAACAGGAAGACTAAATAAATGGAGAGATACTCCATGTTCATGGATAGCAAGACTCAATATTGTCAAGATGTCATTCTTCCCAACTTGATCTATAGATTCAATGAAATTCCAATCAAAATCCCAGCAAGTTAGTTTGTGGATACTGACAAATGGATTCTAAAGTTTATAAAGAGAGACAAAAGACCCAGAGAGTAGCCAACTCAATAAGGAAGGAGAACAAAGGTGGAAAAGTGATACTACTTTATTTCAAGACTCACTCTAAAGCTACAGTAGTCAAGACAGCGCGGTGTTGGTGAAAGAATGAATAGATCCATGAAACAGAATAGAGAGCCCAGAAATAGATTCATACAAATAAAGTCAACTAATCTTTGGCAAAGGAACAAAGGCAATCCAGTGGAGCAAAGACAGCTTGTTCAACAAATGACACTAAAACAATCGTACATCCACATGCGAAAAAATTAACCTGGACACAGACCTTACATTGTTCACAAAAATTAACTCAAAATGGGTCACAGACCTAAATATAAAATGCTATAAAACTCCTAGAAGATAACAAAAGAGAAAATCTAGATGACCTTGGGGATAGAAATGACTATTTAGTTATAACAACAAAGGCACTATCCAGCTTAACTGGTAAGCTGGACTTCAGTAAAACTGAAAAATTCTGCTCTGTGAAAGACAATGTCAAGAGAATGAGAAGAAAAGCCACACACCTGGAGAAAACATTTCCAAAAGACACATCTGATAACAAACTATTATCCAAAATGTACAAAGAACTCCTAAAGCTTAACAATGAGAAAACAAGCAACCCAATCAAAAATGGGCAAAAAACCTTAACAGACACCTCACCAAGAAGACATACAGATGGCAAATGAGCATATGAAATGCAGTTCAACATCATGTGTTGTCAGACAACTGCAAATTAAAATAAGTGAGATGCCACTGCAAATCTATTAGAATGGCCAAAATCCAAAACATTGACAACACCTGCTGATAAGGATGTGTGGCAACAGCAACTCTCATTCACTGCTAGTGGGAAGGGAGAATGCAAACAGGTGCAGCCACTTTGGAAGACAGTATGGCAATTTCTTACAAAACTAAACATACTCTTACCATACTATACAGCAATAGTAGTCCTTGGTAATTTACAAAACAAACTGAAAACTATGTCCACACAACAACTAGCGCACAGGTGTTTACAGAGGCTTTATTTATAACTGCTAAAACTTGGAAGCAACCACGATGTCCTTCAGTAAGTAAATGGATAAACTGTGGTATATCCAGACAATTGAATATTATTCAGGCTAAAAAAAAGTCAGGGAGGAAACTTAACTGGATACTACTAAGTTAAAGAAGTTGGCCAGGCGCGGTGGCTCATGCCTGTAATCCCAGCACTGTGGGAGGCTGAGGCAGGCGGATCACCTGAGGTCAGGAGTTAGAGACCAGCCTGACCAACACGGTGAAACCCTGTCTCTACTAAAAAATACAAAAATTAGCCAGGTGTGGTGGGCGCCTGTAATCCCAGCTACTTGTGAGGCTGAGGCAGGAGAATTGCTTGAACCCAGGAATCAGAGGGTTGCAGTGAGCCGAGATCGCGTCTTTGCACTCCAGTATGGGCAACACGAGCAAAAACTGTCTCAAAAAAAAAAAAAAAAGAAGTCAATCTGAAAAGGCTGTATACTGTATGATTCCAAGCATATGATTCCAAGCATATGAATTCCAAGCAGTCTGGGAAAGGCAAGAAGTCTGAAGACAGTATAAAAAGATCTGTGGTTAATCGATAGGGAGGGATGAACAGGCAGAGCTCAGAGGATTTTTAGGGCAGTGAAACTATTCTGTATGAACGATACTAAAATGGTGGAAGCAACATTTGTCAACGTTTGTCAAAATCCTTAGAATGGACAACACCAAGTGAACCCTAAGGTAAAGCATGGACTTTGGGTGATAAGGATGTGTCAATGTAGATTGACTGTAATAAATATACCATTTTGGTGTGGATGCTGATAGTGAGGGAGGTTATGCGTGAGTAGGGATGTGAGTATATGAAACTCTCTTTACTTTCTGCTAAATTTTGCTGTGAACCTAAAATTGCTCTGAAAATTAAAGTCTATTTTTAAAACAAGCTATGGAGATAAAAGTGGGGGAAAGGATTTGAATCACATGAACTTTTCCAATAATGTAGCTCTTTAGCAAGATATTCGAATATACTACAGTCTCCATATCAACTGACCAAATGATTTTTAAAATCCTATGAGCAGTACCTTATTAAAGTCTTGCAAGGCCCTATTATTTGCATAATAACCATCAGATAAAAAATTCTTTTCTCCCCCATGTAATTGAGCTCTGAGCTTTTTCTGTTTTCCATTATTCCATTCTTGTGGAGAGCTGCTGAGTAGCACGTTCTCTCAAAACAATCACCACATGGCTAAAGTCCTATTCTGTCACATTTTAAGTACCAAAATGTTTTATATATATAATATATATATATATACACACACACATATATATGACTTTATATATAATACATATATAACTAACATATAATATATACATAACATATATGTTAGTGAAGTGGTCAATATATGTGAAGAAATCTAATGAAGCATAACTGTTATTAATAGAATGATAGAAAATTTTAAATGAAAAATCAGGAATTATCTTTTTTAAAAGTACATTCTTAAACAAAAATGGATACTTCAATTTATTTCCAGGTTGACTGATGTGGCAAGAGTTTCTAGGAGACAGAATGCATTTATAGGTATCCATTTAAATATTAAAAAGGTGGGTTGGGCGCGGTGGCTCATGCCTGTAATCCCAGCACTTTGGGAGGCTGAGGTGGGAGGATCACCTGAGGTCAGGAGTTCGAGACCAGCCTGGCCAACATGGCAAAACCCCATCTCTACAAAAAATACAAAAATTAGCCAGGTGTGGTAGTGGGACCCTGTAATCCCAGCTACTTGGGAGGCTGAGGCAGCAGAATCACTTGAACCCGGGAGGCAGAGGTTGGAGTGAGCCGAGATCACGCCACTGCACTCCAGCCTGGGCAACAGAGTGAGACTCTGTCTCAAAAATAAATAAATAAAATAAAATAAAATAAAATAAATTTAAAAAGGTGATTTTTTTAAACCATGCACATTGATATTTTGAGACAAATACAAAGATACAGAAAATACTTCTACCACTTCAAAGATTTCTGAGATCAAATGGAGATACAATGAGGAAAAAAAAAAACATTTGGGGCTAGATGCAGAGGCTCATGCCTCATGCATGTTCTCCTGCTCTTTGCTCCGTAAGAAAGATCCACCTATGACCTTGGGTCCCCAGCACTTTGGGAGGCCGAGGGAGGTGGATCAACTGAGGTCAGGAGTTCGAGACCAGCCTGGCCAACATGGAGAAACCCTGTCTCTGCCCAAAGCACAAAAATTAGCCAGCCATGGTGGTGCATGTCTGTAGTCCCAGCTACAGGCAGAATCACTTGAACCTGGGAGGCAGATGTTGCAGTGAGCCGAGATCGCACCATTGCACTGCCTGGGCAAGAGAGTGAGACTCCATCTCAAAAACAACAACAACAATAAAAAATACAAAAAAAATTTGGACTATTTGAAGGTTCAGTGTTACCTGTGAGGGACTAAATTCTCACCCAAACTTCATCATAAGATGAACAAAATAACCTAGATTTAGTTAAGACAGCACAAGTACCAGACCCCAAGCTTGCAAAGAAAAAAAGACTAGAAAAATATGCAATCTGTAACAACAGCTATCTCTAGGTGGTAGGATATTAAATGTTTTCATTTTGCTTCTTATTTTCTATATTATTTACAACAAACGTGAAATATGTTCTTAAAAAAATCATCTGCATATAATGGTCCCCACTTGTAATCCCAGGAATTCGGGAGGCTGCAGCAGGAGTATTGCTTCAGGCCAGGAGTTCAAGACCAGCCTCTGGGCAACATAGTGAGACTCTGTCTCTAAAAAACAAAAAAGTAGCTGGGTAGTGTTGTTTGTCTGTTGCCTCAGCTACTCAGAAAGCTAAGGTAAGGATGGCTTGACTCTGGGAAGTGCAGACTACAGTGAGCTGCAATCGTGCTGCTGTACTCCAGCCTGGGAGACAGAGCAAGACCCCTGCCTCAAAAAAAAAAAAGAAAGAAAATGAAAAAGAAGGAAGTGGGGCCTTCGGGAGGTAATTGTCAGGCCTCTGAGCCCAAGCCTGCACATACACATCCAGATGGCCTGAAGTAACTGAAGAATCACAAAAGAAGTGAAAATGAGTGGTTCTTGCCTTAACTGATGACATTACCTCGTGAAACTTCTTCTCCTGGCTCAGAAGCTCCCCCACTGAGCACCTTGTGACCCTCGCCCCTGCCCTCAAGAGAACAACCCCGTTTGACTGTAATTTTTCACTACCTACCCAAATCCTATAAAACTGCCCCACCCCTAACTCCCTTTGCTGACTCTCTTTTCGGACTCAGCCTGCCTGCACCCAGGTGATTAAAAAGCTTTATTGCCCACACAAAGCCTGTTTGGTGGTCTCTTCACACAGACGCACATGACATTTGGTGCTATGACTCGGATCGGGGGATCTCCCTTGGGAGATCAATCCCCTGTCCCCCTGCTCTTTGCTCCGTAAGAAAGATCCACCTACGACCTCGGGTCCTCAGACCAACCAGCCCAAGGAACATCTCACCAATTTTAAATCGGGTAAGCGGCCTCTTTCTACTCTCTTCTCCAACCTCTCTCACTATCCCTCAACTTCTTTCTCCTTTCAATTTTGGTGCCACCCTTCAATCTCTCCCTTCCCTTAATTTCAGTTCCTTTCCCTTTCTGGTAGAGACAGAGGAGACGTGTTTTATCCGTGAACCCAAAACTCCGGCACCAGTCACAGACTCGGGAAGACAGTCTTCCCTTGGTGTTTAATCACTGTGGGGACGCCTGCCTGATTATTCACCCACATTTCAGAGGTGTGTTATCACCACGGGGACACCTGCCTTGATCCTTCACTTTGGTGGCAAGCATAACCTCCCCTGGGGGGTAAGTATCCCCCTCTCTCCATGTCTCTACCCTCTCTTTTCTCTAGGCTTGCCTCCTTCACTATGGGCAACCTTCTACCCTCCATTCCTCCTTCTTCTCCCTTAGCCTGTGTTCTCAAGAACTTAAAACCTCTTCAACTCACACCTAACCTAAAACCTAAACGCCTTATTTTCTTCTGCAATACCGCTTGACAATAGTTCCAAGTAGCCAGAAAACGGCACTTTCAATTTATCCATCCTACAAGATCTAGATAATTCTTGTAGTAAAATGGGCAAATGGTCTGAGATGTCTGATGTCCAGGCATTCTTTTACACGTCGGTCCCTTCCTAATCTCTGCTTCCAATGTGACTCATCCCAAATCTTTCTTCTTTCTCTCTTATCTGTTCCTTCAGTCTCCACCCCAAACTCTGAGTTCTTTAAATCCTCCTTTTCTGTGGACCCATCTGACCTCTCCCCTCCTCCCCAGGCTGCTCCTTGCCAGGCCAAGCCAGGTCCCAATTCTTCCTTAGCCTCCGCTCCCCAACCCTATAATTCTTCTATCACCTCCCCTCCTCACCCCTGGTCCAGCTTACAGTTTCGTTCTGTGACTAGCCCTCCCCTACCTGCCCAACAATTTCCTCTTAAAGAGGTGGCTGGAGCTAAAGGCATAGTCAAGGTTAATGCTCCTTTTTTCTCTATCAGACCTTTCCCAAATCAGTTAGCACTTAGGCTTTTTCATCAAATATAAAAACCCAGCCCAGTTCATGGCTCGTTTAGCAGCAACCTTTAGACGCTTTACTGCCCTAGACCCAGAGGGGCCAGAAGGCCATCTTATTCTCAATATGCATTTTATTACCCAATCTGCTCCCGACATTAGAAAAAGCTCCAAAAATTAAATTCCGGCCCTCAAACCCCACAACAGGACTTAAATAACCTTGCCTTCAAGGTGTACAATAATAGAGAAGAGTTGCAATTACTTGCCTCTGCTGTGAGAGAAACCCCAGCCACATCTCCAGCACACAAGAACTTCAAAACACCTAAGCCACAGTGGCCAGGCATTCCTTCAGGACCTCCTCCCCCAGGATCTTGCTTCAAGTGCTAGAAATCTGGCCACTGGGCCAAGGAATGCCTGCAGCCCAGGATTCCTCCTAGGCCGTGTCCCATCTGTGTGGGACCCCACTGGAAATCGGACTGTCCAACTTGCCCGGGAGCTGTTCCCAGAGCCCCTGGAACTCTGCCCCAAGGCTCTCTGACTGACTCCTTCCCAGATCTTCTCAGCTTAGTGGCTGAAGACTGATGCTGCCTGATGGCCTCGGAAGCCTCCTGGACCATCACAGACACTTTGGGTAACTCTTACAGTGGAGGGTAAGTCCGTCCCCTTCTTAATACAGAGGCTACCCACTCCACATTACCTTCTTTTCAAGGGCCTGTTTCCCTTGCCTCCATAACTGTTGTGGGTATTGACGGCCAGGCTTCTAAACCTCTTAAAACTCCCCAACTCTGGTGCCAACTTGGACAATATTCTTTTATGCACTACTTTTTAGTTATTCCCACCTGCCCAGTTCCCTTATTAGGTTGAGGCATTTTAACTAAATTATCTGCTTTCCTGACTATTCCTAGGCTACAGCCACACCTCATTGCCGCCCTTTCCCCCAGTTCAAAGCCTCCTTCACATCCTCCCCTTGTGTCTCCCCACCTTAATCCACAAGCATAGGACACCTCTACTCCCTTCTTGGTGACCAATCATGCACCCCCTTACCATCCCATTAAAAACTAATCACTCTTACCCTGCTTAAGGCCAATATCCCATCCCACAGCATACTTTAAAAGGATTAAAGCCTGTTATCACTTGCCTGTTACAGCATGGCCTTTTAAAGCCTATAAACTCTCCTTACAATTCCATTTTACCTGTCCAAAAACTGGACAAGTCTTACAGGTTAGTTCAGGATCTGTGCCTTATCAGCCAAATTGTTTTGCCTATCCACCCTGTGGTGCCAAACCCATATACTCTCCTATCCTCAATACGTCCCTCCACCACCCATTATTCTGTTCTGGATCTCAAAACATGCTTTTTCCACTATTCCCCTGCACTCCTCCTCCCAGCCCCTTTGCTTTTACCTGGACTGACCCTGACATCCATCAGTCTCAGCAACTTACCTGGGCTGTACTGCTGCAAGCCTTCAGGGACAGCCCCCATTACTTCGGTCAAGCCCTTTCTCATAATTTACTCTCTTTCTGTCCATCTACTTCACACCTTATTAAGTATTTTGATGACCTTCTACTATATAGCCCCTCCTATAAATCTTCCCAAGAGGACATCCTCCTGCTCCTCCAACATCTGTTATCAAAAGGATATCTCGTGTCGTCCTCCAAAACCCAAATTTCTTCCTCATCTGTTACCTATCTCGGCATAATTCTTCATAAAAACACACGTGCTCTCCCTGCTGATCGTGTCTGGCTAATCTCCAAAACCCCAACCCCTTCTACAAAACAACAACTCCTTTTCTTCCTAGGCATGGTTAGGTACTTCCGCCTTTGGATACCTAGTTTTACCATCCTGACTAAACCATTATATAAACTCACAAAAGGAAACCTAGCTGACACCATAAATCCTAAATCCTTTCCCTGCTCCCCTTTCCATTCCTTAAAAAACAGCCCTAAAAGCTGCTCCCATACTAGCTCTCCCTAACTCATCCCAACCCTTTTCATTACACACAGCCGAAGTACAGGGCTCTGTGGTCAGAATTCTTACACAAGAGCCAGGACTGCGCCCTGTAGCCTTTCTGTCCAAACAACTTGACCTTACTGTTTTAGCCTAGCCTTCATGTCTGCACGCGGCAGCTGCTGCTGCTCTAATACTTTTAGAGGCCCTCAAAATCACAAACTATGCTCAACTCACTCCCTACAATTCTCATAACTTCCATGTAGATTACAAGCCGCTAGCGTGCCTCTTAGAATCTCTCATTTCCTTTCCACCATGGACATTCTACCCTCAAGGAAATCATTTCTCAGTGTTCCATCTGCTATTCTACTACTCCTCAGGGATTGTTCAGGCCCTCTCCCTTCCCTACACATCAAGCTCGGGGATTTGCCCCTGCCCAGGACTGGCAAACTGACTTACTCACATGCCCCGAGTCAGGAAACTAAAATACCTCTTGGTCTGGGTAGACACTTTCACTGGATGGGTAGACGCCTTTCCCACAGGGTCTGAGAAGTCCACCGTGGTCATTTCTTCCCTTCTGTCAGACACAATTCCTTGGTTTGGCCTTCCCACCTCTATACAGTCCGATAATGGACCAGCCTTTACTAGTCAAATCACCCAAGCAGTTTCTCAGGTTCTTGGTATTCAGTAGAACCTTCCCCTTACCGTCCTCAATCTTCGGAAAAGGTAAAACGGACTAATGATCTTTTAAAAACACACCTCGCCAAGCTCAGCCTCCAACTTAAAAAGGACTGGACAATACTTTTACCACTTGCCCTTCTCAGAATTCGGGCCTGTCCTCGGGACGCTACAGGGTACAGCCCATTTGAGCTCCTATGGATGCTCCTTTTTATTAGGCCCCAGTCTCATTCCAGACACCAGCCTAACTTGGACTGTACCCCAAAAACTTGTCATCCCTACTATCTTCTGTCTAGTCATACTCCTATTCACCATTCTCAACTACTCATAAATGCCCTGCCCTTGTTTCCACTGCCGGTTTACACTTTTCCTTCAAACCATCATAACTGATACCTTCTGGTTTTACCTCAAACCACCACCCTTAAGTCTCTCTTAAAGTGGATAGATGATCTTGCTGGCAGGGTACACTCCAATACTTTCACCTTGATGAAGTCCTATTCTTTACTTTCATACTCACTCTTATTCTTGTTCCCGTTCTTATGCCACCCTCTACCTCTCCCCAGCTATCTCCACCACACTATCAATCTCACTCACTCTCTCCTAGCCGTTTCTAATCCTTCTTTAACAAACAATTGCTGGCTTTGTATTTCTCTTTCCTCCAAAATCGTGGAGGACTCGTTAGTCACTGCTAAAAAAAAAGGGGACTCTGTATATTAAACGAAGAGTGTTGTTTTTACCTAAATCAATCTGGCCTGGTATATGACAACATAAAAAAACTCAAAGATAGAGCCCAAAAACTTGCCAACCAAGCAAGTAATTATGCTGAACCCCCTTGGGCACTCTCTAGTTGGATGTCCTGGGTCCTCCCAATTCTTAAGTCCTTTAATACCTGTTTTTCTCCTTCTCTTATTTGGACCTTGCGTCTTCTGTTTAGTTTCTCAATTCATACAAAACCGTATCCAGGCCATCACCAATCATTCTATACAACAAATGCTCCTTCTAACAACCCCACAATATCACCTCTTACCACAGAATCTTCCTTCAGCTTAATCTCTCCCACTCTAGGTTCCCACGCCGCCCCAATCCTGCTCGAAGCAGCCCTGAGAAACGTCGCCCATTATCTTTCCATACCACCCCCAAAAATTTTCAGGGCCCCAACACTTTACCACTATTTTATTTTTCTTATTAATGTAAGAAGACAGGAATGTCAGGCCTCTGAGCCCAAGCCTGAACGTATACATCCAGATGGCCTGAAGTAACTGAAGAATCACAAAAGAAGTGAAAATGGCCGGTTCCTGCTTTAACTGATGACAATACCTTGTGAATTGAATTCCTTCTCCTGGCTCAGAAGCTCCCCGACTGAGCACCTTGTGACCCCCGCCCCTGCCCGCAAGAGAACAATCCCCTTTGACTGTAATCTTCCCCACTACCTACCCAAATCCTATAAAACTACCCCACCCCTAACTCCCTCTGCTCTCTTTTTGGACTCAGCCCGCCTGCACCCAGGTGAATAAAAAGCTTCATTGCTCTCTCCAAGCCTGTTTGGTGGTCTCTTCACACGGACGCGTGTGACAGTAATAAGGTCATTAGTGCCCTTATAAAAAGTCCTGTCCTCTGATCAAAACTATCAGAAAAAAGGAAAATTACAAAAAAGGAAAAAGAAAAAAGCCCCAGAGGGCTATCTTGCCCCCTACCATGTGAAGTTATAGCAAGACAACAAATCTGCAGACATCTTGATGTTGAATTTCCCAGACTCCAGAACCGCAAGAAATATATTTCTGTTGTTTTTAAGCTATCTGGTTTATGATAGTTTGACACAGCAGCTGAAGACTAAGATAGTATCCTTAATGACTTTTAATCATGGAGGATAAAGTATGTTGTGTGTAAGATGGAATTATGTAGCACATTTCAGAAGCATTTCAGAAGCATTTCTGAGGCTCGGTATGGTGGCTCATCCCTGTAATCATAGCACTTTGGGAGGTGAAAATGGGCAGGAGTTCAAGACCAGCCTGGCCAACATGGCAAAACCCCATCTCTGCTAAAAATACAAAAATTAGCTGAGTGTGGTGACACACGCCTGTAATTCCAGCTACTTGGGAGGCTGAGGCCTTGAGCCTGGGAGGTGGAGTTTGCAGTGAGCTGAGATTGCACCACTGCACTCCAACCGGGGTGATGGAGTGAGACTCTCTCAAAAAAAAAAAAAAAAAAGCATTTCCATCAAAAATAATCAAAGCAAAATAAAATTTGTGTAAAGTTCAAGGTCTTTAGTTATCCAGAAAAATACATTCATCCACTAATCGCTTTGTAATCACAGAGTATAACTAAACTACTACTGAGAAATGACTAATAAAGGACATTAGTGCTTAGAAATGTGACAATAGATTTTCTCAACAAAAATAAAATGTTACCAAATACAAATCTAAACATTAAATCATGGTTTCCAGATTTAGAAAGAGAGCACTAAAAAAATGACAGGTTGAGAATTAGGTGTTTTCTATCTGCTTATTTTGTGAGCAAGCTATTTCCTAAAAAGGTTTACATTTCAGTAGAGTAATAGAATTACAATCTAGGCCTCTGCTGTCTAAAACAGTAGGCAGCCACTAGCCACATGTAGCTACTGTGCACTTGAAATGTGGTTAGTCTAAATAGAGATGTGTTAAGCTTAACATACCCACTGGATTTAAAAGATTCAGTACAAACAATGGAAAGTATCTCAGTAATAATTTTTCATATTGGTTATGTGTTGAAATTATAATTTATTAAAATTAATTTCACTTTTACTTTTTAAAAAGTAAAACATCTAGTTTTTAGAAAATTTTAAATTATATCCAAGGCTTACATTCTATTTTTATTGGATTGTGCTGATCTAAACACTTCCAGTGAATGTGACTGTCAAAGTAGGTAGTTTGCATAATGGTTAGGAAATGGAGGCTAGGGGGCTTGAGATTTGTATTCAAATCTTGACATCTTCAGTGACTGTGTGAGCAAGGGCAAGTTACGTTACCTTCTGGAGTCTGTTTCCTCATCTCTTAAATAACATAGATGGTTAAGAAAAGTCTGTTGTAACACCAAAACATTTCTTCTTTTTTTTTTTTGAGACAGAGTCTCGCTCTGTCACCTGCGCTATAGTGCAGTGGCATGATCTCGGCTCACTGCGACCTCTGCCTCCCAGGTTCAAGCGATTCTCGTGCCTCAGCTTCCCGAGTAGCTGGGATTACAGTCGCCTGCCACCGCACCCAGCGAATTTTTGTATTTTTAGTAGAGATGGAGTTTCTCCATGTTGGCCAGGCTGGTCTCGAACTCCTGACCTCAGCTGATCCTCCTTCCTCGGCCTCCCAAAGTGCTGAGATTACAAGCCTGAGCCACTGTGTCCAGCCTTAAAATGTTTATTTAATGTGAATCAGCTTATATGCAATTGGTCAATAGGGGAAAGACTTATATATGCACTTTACCCCCAACATATTACTGATTTGAAGTGATCAGAGGTAGGCTTTCTACAATTTAAAAAAAAAAAAAAGGCTTTAGTGATATGTAAAGACCTTAAGGAAAAAAAATCTCCTGGTATTTCTTTCTTTTGGTTTAAGAAGCAGATGTTTAGTGGGTTCAAGTCTGGCTACATTTTCCACTTCATCAAACCATCTGGCAATGTGCTAGGATAAACGAAAAAGCTAGAGATTTCCAAGTCTTTTAAAAAAAAATTTGATTGATAAATAAAGCTACTCCTAGATTAGAATGTTAATCTTGATGAAACTGGTCTAAACTAGATTTAATTTTACTACCATGTTTATTAGGGTTAGGGTTTTTGTTAGGGCTCTTATAAAATTTTGTTCAGTTTTGAGTGGTGTGTGCTTTTTCTCCACAAACTGTTACTTTTGCTTATTGTTTGGCAGCATGTCAGGATTTCCAGGAATGCAAGAATGGCATTACAGCAGAAACATGTGGATATATATAAACATTCTGTCCCCACTCCAAACTGCCTTTTAATTCTGAATCTTAAGTTTTCATTAACTGAGAGAATACTTTGAGCTAACACAATGCTAATCTGCTAGACAGGAGTACAATTTAGTAAATGAAATTAGTGAATATTTTATTGAATTTTGTCTTTATTTTATAAAAAAGAAAAATTACAATTCTAATACTAGTAATAAAGAATACGAAATGAAATACAAATGAGAAAACGTTATCTATATTGATATTTGGTCTGTATCTGATGCTCACTGAAGTTATCTGGACAGCACATTTAAGATAAAATGGTGGAAAGACACAGACAAAATGCTAGAAATATTCAATAAGACTTTTCTAAAAGGTGAAATCTAATTTAGAACCTAATAATGATGTTTAAGCACTGTGGATGTGGAATCCCACATCTGACTTTGTGTATGTGTTTTCAGGGGTACATCACTTATGAAAGTAGGGGCTATCTTTTTCATAGAACTTTTGTGAAGCTTAAGTAGAATATGCATAAGGGATTTAGCCACATTTAGTAAATAAAAAATTCATTACAGTTGCAACTATTATTATGTCAGAGTGTATTAAAAAATGGCATAATTTTTTTCCATCTAATGTCAGATAACATATTGCTCAAACATGCAGTTCAATACAACATTTTATTCAAAAACAAATTTTGAAAAACTTTGTTGAAAAACTCAGAATTATCACAATAAGGAGTCAATGTCTGAAGGTCTTAAACACAAGGTAGTAGGCAATTTTGCCAAGGCTACATACAATTCAAAAAGTACAGATGAATAATTTCACAAATTTTTCTCTAGAAAAATACTTTTAATTCATCAGAATTAAAAAATAGCTAGTTGTTTACTTTTACCATTTGAAGACAAAGGTGGCACTTGCTAACCAATAAAAACACAAGTTTTGATGGAAGTAGCATTTCTCTCTTCAAAATAAAAACCTAAAGTGAATATAATAAAGTTATATTGTGCTGTGGGAATTGTCTTTTTATGAATTAATACTGACTTTTTAAAGACAGTGTTCTGGGTCATGGAGAAACAATGAGAGAGCAATAGGGGAGAAATGAGAGGGAATGTGACTTTTCCTTTTTCCAATAATTCTCCTCTCTCCCACAATGGCAGCCAATTCATATTTCTAGAGGAAAATGCCTATATATATAAAAATATATTCAGTTAATAATTCTGCTATCCATTCAACAAAATTATTGCTCTAAGATGATCACTTCCTATACAAATCATTGGAAAAAATTAAAAATATATTTTCTCGTTCTGTTTAAGAATAAGAATGAAAAACCGAGTACTATGAGTCTTTTGAGTATTTCCTGTAAGCTCTTCAAGAATGGGCTCTGACGACTAAGTGACAGATGAGGATCCAGTTTTGGAAAAGAAGAAAGGGACAGGGTAGGAAGGAGAGAAAGAAATAACTCTTAGGGCAGTGGTTTTCAAAGCAGCAACAGCATCCGTGAGAAATGCAAATTATCAGGTCCCATCCGAGTCCTGCAGAATCAGAATCTGGGTGGGATGGAGGAATCTGTTTTAACACACTGTCAGGGATTCTGATGCACACTCAGGTTTGAGAACCACTGTATTAGGGAATCCTGATTCTATCACCAAAGAGGATTCTGGGGCATCTGTTAATGTTTAAGCTTTAATTCTTTAAAAATAATTATTTAATACAAACTTGGATCTTTAGCTACCCAATTTATGCTAAAAATCAAAGGAGGATTTCAAGTTTTTGCTTGAATTAGTTCTTTGTTTCCTGTATGGTTTATGTACTTTTCAGATTAAAAAAACCAAAATTCTAAGTAGAGACAATGTCCAGCAGGTTGGCAGGCATGGCTGCCTGCCGCTTCACAACGCCCAGATCTTGGGTTAGTCTTCAACCTTGTAAGAACAGAACCCAATTTTATCACTTCAAGACAGAAATACGTGGGCCTTGGGGAAGCTAAATTAGAAGGCCTGATAACTGGAATGTCAATCTGTAAATTTACTTTGAGATTATAACTGCTAAGACAACTAGAAGATTCAGATCTAATGTTCTTCCTCTTTCAGGACTAGCTACACAGAAAATCAAATTACTATCAGCTGACTGAAGACACATTGCTTCAGAGTAGAGTTGGGTGCTCTCATTCAGACACTAGCTCCAAAAGTCTGGGACATCCACATCAACCGCAGGCTTCTCGTCTTCAGATAAATTCTTACATAGGTGGTTCCTGTCCATACTGCACTTAGCCCACTATACTTCCACTTGGAAAATGCTATAAAATAACTGAAGAGGTTGCACTGTCTTATCACACTTGGGAGGCATACCGAGTCTTTAACTCACCCATTCATCACCACTTATGGGCCAGGTCCTGCGTAAAGCATTGGGACTAGAAAATTATTAAGACAATTCTAATACTCAAAAGACTTTTAGAGGGAGGGGGGAGTGTAAAAACAGACACAAGCAGATAAGTATAAAACAACGCAGTAAATGCAATAATACAAACATGCACAGAATATGAGAAACTCCCAGACGCAACACTTGGAATGGGGCGGGGAGAGCTCAGGAAGGTCTTCTCTAAGGAAATGGTGCCTTTCCTGGAAGAGGGCAGAGGACCGGGAAGGATAAAATTTATTTACAAACCATTGTAAATGACTACTTTAATCTACTTAACAGTGATATTAGTTTCTGTTTCATAAAGTGAAAATTTCTAATTTTACCTAAAATCTGTTCTAAGTGAGGCATTAAATCTGTGCAGTTTCAAACCAAATTTGGTGGAAAGATACCTAAATCAGTGAAAAATCCAAATTATGGAAGAGTACACGAAAAACGGTTTTGTTTTGCTTACTTTCAACTAACACCGAGTGTGTGCCAAATAGAGCTCTCAGGATTGAGCTTTGACCATTTGGCACAACTTTTATTTGAAAGTAATTTATTTTAACAAAATTAATATCATGCCACTCTCATTTGAACTGTGACTTCCCTTAGTGACTATCTTGTACGGTTTCTGAAAGCAGTTTGTTATATCAAGGAGGGACAAAAGCGGTAATTTTCATGGCTTTTCAGTTGAATATGAACTTCTTAGAGTAGGGGAAAAAGGCAAAGAAAAAGAGCAAAAGCAGGAAATGCTATTAGATACATTAGCCTAGATTCTGTAGCTTCCTTTTCTAAATCTCGCTATATGAGATTTAGTACGTAACAATTTCCCGTAAATCAAAGACCTCGGAAAAATATAAGTCGGAAACAATAAAACCTAAATCGTCTTTGCGTTCTCATTTCACAGCGAGTTAAAATGTAGATGCGATGCGGATACTGCGTCCCCTGGCACTGCCTCAATTCAAAAGTTAGCACTTTGCGCTAAGGTGGCTCTGAGCACTCCCCTCCGACCCCGCTTCCCCCCTAGAGGAGCATGAATGCACCACCGGAGCCCCTCCCCTCTTGCTCCTTACAGTTCTGGCAAGGGTCCGACGCGAGGGCTTTGTCCGACTAGTTCCACCTCCCACCCAGTACACCAGAAGGGAGGACAGTCGCTCCGCCCGCAGGGCTGTTCGGACGCGCATGCGCACTGGGGCGTCAGCTGGCCAACCAGCGCGCGACGCACGGCCAGGCGCTCCCACCTGCCCTCGCCCCGGTGGGCGACAGGCTTTGACGGGCTCCTAGCCGCAGTGCCCTCTGAGCCCCCAACCCTGAATTCTCAGCTGGGCCCTCCCGGCTCCACCTGCCCCCAACACCCTCCCCGCTCCGGCGGCGGCAGGGCGCTCGAGGCAAGCCCGGGCAGGGGGACGAGCTGCAGGTGACGCCCTGGTTGGCTGGAGCGTGCCAGGCCTTCCCCCTACGGCGCCTGCGCACAGCCAGGGCGTGGATTCAACCTTCCGCGGTGCCCTGCCTCTAGCTGACGTCAGCACCCTGGTAACTGCTGCACCTTCGCCGCGCGCTTTGAGCCCCCGCCCCTCCGCCTTCTTACCGGCCGCCCTGAGGGGTCTCGGCGCGCTCGGCTGAGAGCTTTAGGAGGCGCGAGCGAGCACTCCGACTAGGCCGGAGGGACTCGGAAAATGATGGTCCGGCAGGTGGTGGGTCCTGACCCAAGGGCCTGCAAGGAACGGAGAAGGGCAACCGAGCACGCGCTGGATCTTGGGGAAGAAGGGGAAAGGGACTGCTGGAGGAGGCGCGCATGCGCCGTGCGGTCCTTCGCCCCGGGCGCCCTGGCAGGGGGCGAGGCTCTGCGGAACTCCCGGAGCTGGCGCCAGGGAACAAGTCTCAGTGGAGAGCCTCGAATTTTAAAAGTCTCATTTAAGTATTTCTTTTGGTTTTCCTTGTATAAATATAGCTAACTTTTAAACATTTCTTTTCCGGCTTGTGTTGTTTGCTTTGGACCCTTCAGCACCTATTTTTAAACGTTAAGCATTCCCCAGTCAGCATGAAAGTTTTACTGTTAGTTTTATTTTGTTCCTATAATTTTGATTCCCCCCAGAAACTGCCACAGATGAAATCAAGCCAATAGAATTGAAAGCAAAGATCACCTGGTGGCCATGAAGCCGACCATCCTTAGGCAGAAACTCCTTACCTGAGGAATTTAGAGGTAACTAGACTTCCCTGTTACCTAAAGCCAGCATCTGGTACCAGACTTCTTCCCTCCAAATTTAAAAGTAACTAGAATTTCTATGCATCTCCGTAATGCACGCATGTCAAAACTCATTGTGCACCCCTTGCCATCTGCTCCATGCCCCAATCAACCCCTGTCCCCTACCATCCAGATACTTTATTACCCTCACATACTTGCACAGGAGTTACATATGCCACTAGTACAAAGTCCTCAGAAAATCCCCCAAGTGTTATGCCTCTCCACAAGGTGGCAAACGGAGATTTGGGAACAATTTGAGTTCATGTCCCTTTTCCATTGTCTGAACTTTGGCAAATTCAATCCAAGTTGGGTTCATTTAGCCAGGATCCCTCTAAGTTCATTCAAGAATTTCGGGCTTTATTGCCTTTGATTTAACCTGGCAAGACACATTTGTGGTATTAACTATTTGCTGTTCCCACGAAGAAAAAATCACGGTCTTTAGCTCGAGTTTGGGCAGACGAAACTCATGTTGGCAATCCTAATAATAGAGCCAGGGCAGAAGCTGTCCCCAACACAGAACCCAATTGGCAATACCACGCTGCCAATGCCAGCCCAAACAGAGACAGGGGAAGAGAAGATTATAACATGTTTGTTGGAAGGAATGAAATAAAACCTGTTAATTTTTCTAAATTATGAGAGATCACTCAGGACCAAGGACCCTTCCCTTTTCCAAGCTAGACTAATGGAGGCCATGCATAAATATACAGATTTAGATCCTGAAAGCCCTGAGGGCCAATCCCTTCTGGCCATACATTTTATAAGTCAGGCTTCCCCAGACATCAGACAAAAACTCCAAAAATTAGAGCAAGGCCCACAAACTCCCTTTTGTACTTTATTAAAAGCAGCCTTTAAGGACACTGAAGTTGAGAATGTCCCAAACCTCCAGGTTGCAAGCCATCCCTGGGACCCTGTCCTCACTGCAAATTGGAAGAATGAGTGTCCCTCCCTCATGAAGGGGGGGCCACCTCTTCCTTCTAGGCTATGACAGCCACAGTCTCACCAACCTACCTGACAAGGGGATCCTGCAGAACGAGGGTGAGGGTGAGGGCGAGAGCAAGGGCAAACACCTCTAATTCTATTCCTGGATTATGATCAAGCCTCTGAAATGTCAGTCATCCATCCTCTAGATGGGGCCTTGAAGCCATCCACGGCCCTGTCTTTTCCATCTCTGTGGATGATCCCAGGGCAAATCTGATTGTGGCTGAACAACAGATAATGTTACTCATAGATACACGGGACAGTTATTCAGCTTTATAAACATTTACTATGGCCCAATGTGCCAGTCCTCCATTTTCCTCATGGATATTGATGGAAAACCCCAATGAGGCTGTTTCACACAGCCATTCCCTTGTAAAATGAAAGGCTATTCCTTTACTCCTTTTTAGCCCTGTTCTATTAGGTTGTGATTTACAAAATTACAAGCTAATTTACAGCTAAGGCCCCACCTTCTAGCTGTATTAACACTTCACCAAAAGAGCCCCTGCAGCTTCTCCCAGATAGCAATCTACTTCAGTATGTGGATGACTTACTAATCTGTAGTCCTAACCAGGCTGTTCCAGACCAAAATACAGTATTAGTATTCAACAAACTTGCTAATTGTGGGTACAAAGTATCTCCTTCTAAAGCACAAATATCCACACAAAGGGTTCAATTTTGGGGTCTTATTTTAATTCCCAGTGAAAAAGCCTTTGTAGTGCTTGTACAGATCTTAAACGTGACAATTGTGGTAACTAAACAACAGCTTCAGTCATTTTTGGGTAAGGCTGGGTTTTGCAGAATATGGATTCCTTCCTTTGAGTTAATAGCAAAACCTTTATATGAAGCCCTCAAGGGAACTCAGGAACAGTCTCTATACTGGACTAATGAGATGAAGCATGCTCTAAACACTTTAAAATAGGCTTTAATCTCAGCCCTGACCTCAGCCCTACCAGATCTGACTAAGCCTTTTTCTATGTACATGAACAAAAGGGAATAGCTTTGGGAGTCTTAGCCCAAGATTGAGGGGCCCTCTAAGTGCCCTATAGCATTTTTTTTTCTTTGAGATGGAGTCTCACTCTATTGTTCAGGCTGGAGTGCAATGGCATGACCTTGGATCACTGCAACCTCTGCTTCCCAAGCTCAAGTGATTCTCCTGCCTCAGCCTCCCAAGTATCTGGGATTATAGGTGTGCACCACCGCGCCCAGCTAATTTTTGCATTTTTAGTAGAGTCAGGGTTTCACCATGTTGGCCAGGCTGGTCTCAAACTCCTGACCTCGTGATCTGACTGCCTCAGCCTCCCAAAGTGCTGGCATTACAGGTGTGAGCCACTGTGCCTGGCCCCTATAGCATATTTAAAAAAAAACTTTAGACCTAGTATGCCAGGGATGGCTTAAGAGCCTTAGCAGCGGTGGCCCTTAGTGCAAGAAGCCTCAAAAATGTATTACCTGCCCCTCCTGAACTCTTATGGTTTTGTGGCACTGCTATTAATTATTTAAATCCTTTTCAAGCTTTGGCCCTATCCCACCTTGATAATTCTCTTCGTTATGATGATTGTACCCTGGGTACAATAGCTCCTGCCCAAATCACTGTCTTAAACATAACTTCCAATCTAGAATCCCATTCTAGATGAAAAAGGGCCCTAGGACTTATTGTTGGAGTTGTGGGAATCATCACAACTCTCACCCCTTGGGGAGGTTGTACTTATCATGAAATCACACTATGTGAACATGCTGCCTCCCTCACAATCGCAAAAACTAGCACAAGTCTATCAGCACTAGAAAAGTCTGTAGCCTCACTAGCAGGAATGGTTGTTGATATCAGAAGGGCTCCAGATTACCTCCTAGCTGAATAAGGAGGAGTCTGTGCTGTCATTAACAAAATGTGTTGCACCTACATTAATGTGTCTGGAGAAGTGGAAGCTGATGTCCAAGAAATTTTCAAACAAACCAAATGGCTACACACACCTTCTCAAAGTAACCCAAAGTGGGCCAAAATCCTTACTAATTGGTTCCCAAAAATCACCTGGTTTCTCCCATTCCTTGGACCTTTATTCCTCATTATTCTTCCTCTAATATTTGGTCCCTGCCTCTTTAATGCTCTCATTAAGTTTCTATCTTCCAGATTACAATGATTCCACCTACAGATGATTATGTAATCCCAATACCAGCCTGCAACAGCAACTTCCACATATATGGGGCCTCTTGATGGAATCCGGTGTCTCCTGTCCCCAGTAAGTTTTTCATAACCCTTCATGACACAGAGCAAGAAAGGGAAAAATGTGACTTATCCCCTCAATGCTCCCTTTCAGCAAGAAGTAGCCAGACAGACCTGACACCCCTCTTCACTGTGCCGTTTCCCCTTTCTTGAAACCATAATAGGCAGAAGGTACAGAGGAGCATGGGGGATTCGAAAGGGTCAAATATTTGACCAAGATATCTGTCAGGGGGAAAATGAGGAGAGCAAAGATCACCTGGTGGCCATCAAGCAGACTATCTGCAGGCAAAACTCCTTACCTGAGGAATTTAGAAGTGATTAGACTTCCCCATTATAAAAACCTGGCATCTGGTACCAGGCTTCTTTCCCCCAAATTTGGAAGTAACTAGAATTTCTATACATCTCCAAATACATGCATGTCAAAACTCACTGTGCAACCCTTGCTAACATCAAGGCACCAAAATGTCTACAAATATAATCATTTATCATTACCTACATGGCTAATACGGTCCAAATTACCCTTAAGCTCCTGCTTTAAGCTCTATAAATACTCCTAAGGAAAAATCTCCTGTGGCGAGCTCAGTCCTCTCTTGCTGAAGCGCCCTGCTGCATCCTTCTGCATCCTCCTATCTATCTAATGAAACTTCCTTTTCAAACCTATACTGTTGTCAGTAAATTCTTCTTACTACCCGAGAGCCAACACTTTTTGTTGTCGGGGCTTTGATGCCTCACCCAGCAATGATTAACACTCCTTTCCCATCTTTTGGCACTGTTGACAGGCAAAAATGCCTCTGTTTGTTCCAGCAATAAGGCTCTTGTCATTAGAAACCAGTCCAGACACTTGTAAACCATTCCATCCAATCCCATTTTTCCTAAAACCTTAATTTATCATCCTTTCCCTCCTGCATCTTCATCCTAATACTTCTTTGCCACCAGCATCTCAGTGGTCACATATTTCTCTAATTCCTTTCTTAGGGTTTCAGTTATCATTTGTAGAAATGACTAATTTACAAATGCCCACTTTCTATTCTCCCCTTGTTTTCAAAGGTGCCTCAAAATGATCTCCAAACCTAATTCATTTCCTAGGTGCTCCACTGAAGTAATGGCAGGTTATAGTCACCCAGTTCCTTCTTACTAAAGAACTGGGTATCCTTCTTGACGTCACCTGCCTCACTTCCCCATATCCCATTTGTGATAGTATTCGTTCTACATTTCATCGATAGTAATCAGGCATTTTGGCAAGAGCTAGGATTTAACCTTCCTAGTCTTGTGATGTTACAGACTTATTCCAATGATGCTGCTATTTACCATATTTTGTGAACTCCCTTAAGAAATACTTTTGGTCCAGCTGGGCACGGTGGTCCATGCCTGTAATCCCAGCACTTTGGGAGGCCAAGGTGGGCAGACAGCTTGAGTCCAGAAGTTTGAGACCAGCCTGGGAAACATAGCAAAACCCCATCTCAAAAAAAAAAAAAACCACAAAAAAAACACCAAAAAACAAAAATTATCTGGGCATGGTGGCGCATACCTGTAGTCTCAGCTACATGGGAGGCTGAGATGGGAGGACTGCTTGAGCCTGGGAGGTTGAGGCTGCAGTGAGCCCTGATCATGCCACTGCACTCCAGCCTGGGCACAGAGTACGACCCTTTCTCAGGAAAAAAAAAAAAAAAACTTTCAGTCCCCTTAATCGCAACTTATTACTCACCTTATTCACACTTTTTAAAATCTAAATAATTTTAAATTACGGTTTAAAGTATCAAAGATGAGGATTACCACCTTGGAGAATGTGATACAGATTCTGAATATGACTTCAGAAGAGTTTTAACTTCCTAAATTGGTTTGGAAGGAAGAATCCTTGTTTAGATAATTAAGTTTTGGGTATATTTGTGTCTTATCTAGTGTAATGCACATAGATTTTCAAAACTCATCTAGTATTCCAAGATACACTAAAGGAAAACTATTCAGAGGGTAATTTAAACTTTTTGGTATAATTCAGAAAGTATTCTGAATTTTTGTGTTCATTTTCAATATTGTTTTATTATTCTCGATTACAGATGTAGTACAGCTTTAGAGACTGGACTGAGTACACACTAAACCTATTTCATACCCCTAAATGTTTTCCTGAAAACTCCAGTTACCTGCTTGCATATTTTCCCTATTATGTCTCCCTCTTACTAAATGCTGCACAGTATTCAGTTTTGGATTTCAGAATAAAGTGGGATTTACCATGCTTAGTTTCTTTTAAAGTCAAAAAGTAATCTGAAAAGTCACTTTTCTGTGTGAATAAAATCAATGAAAATTACATATCAATAAAAATTTAGTGCTTTAAAACTATTAACTTGCTGTAAGTCAATAAAGTCAAAGAGCTGAATATAGTGAAAACTGTCTATTTTTATTGCCTTTTATTTTCAACAATGATTACTTGAACTAAAAAAAAAAAAAAAGCAGACTTTATTAGCTAATGGTTACTGAAAAGCCAAACCTTTCCAGCCCACTTCATATTCTCTTTTAACCATTTCAGGGCAGAACAATGTTCCAAACTATAAACCTGTTCCTTATTAACATTGACAGTCATGTGTTTAACGAAAAGCTTTGGATCTGATATACGAGCAGCCATAATTAACCTTTCTACTGCAGCTTGATAATCATCATTGCTCCGAGACTGGTTGTCTTCACACCTATAAAATGAACACCTCATAAAGTCAGAAACTCTTAAAAAAGCTATATAGTTTCTTCAAAAGATAGTCATTTACATTTACTGGTACTAAGCTATGATAGTCTTCTCACCATGTTCTTCTAAAAGTGGCTTTCAAACTTTTTTGATCATGACCCACAGTAAGAAAGGCATTTTGGCCAGGCATAGTGGTATAACCCCAGCGCTTTGGACGCTCAGGTTGGGGGGATCGCTTGAGGCCAGGAGTTCAAGATCAGCCTGAGCAACACAGTGAGACCTTCATCTCTACAAAAAATTTAAAAACTAGCTGGGTATGGTGATGTGCGCCTGTAGTCCCAGCTGCTCAGGAGGCTGAGGTGGGAGGAGGCCTTGAGCCCAGGAAGTTGAGGCTGCAGTGAGCTATGATTGCACCACTGCACTCTAGCCTGAGTGATAGAGCAAGACTCTGTCCAAAAAAAAAAGACATATTATGGCCCAGTATATACCTTCATACATAAAAAATAAATTTGACAAAACAAGACTTATACCCTGATGACAAAAACCCTGATTTTAAAAATAATACTGGTTGTAACACCCTAAATTGATTTCACCACACAAATAGTCTGCAACCCAGTTTGAAAAATACTGATTTAGAACACAGCTAATTACCTAAATCTTTGTATTTTGAAAGTGAATAACTACAATTATTCATGAGAATGCATAAAATACTAAATGTAATCCAGTTTAGAATTAACATTCACATGTTAAGTTTTACTTTGATATTGACTATTTTTACTTATAAGCAAATACTTAATATGTAGCTAATATTTGGTAACAAGTTGTATAGCTATAGGGGCTTTATTATATTTCTGGTTATTTTCTTCAATACTGATTTAAGGTGCTTCCTTAAGTGCCAGAATTAATTTTTCTAATAATTTTTCTACCAGCGCCATCTGCAATCAATTGTGACTGCACTGACCTGCATAAAATTCACACGGTATGTCAGTTTTTTCCTCTGGGGTAGGGAATGGGAACTATTTAAAATAGAGGTGTGGCTGTTACATTAAGTATCACCTTTTTCTTTGTGTTCACTGCTTCCTACTCTTGGTATCTACCAGGCCCAGCAGCAAGTTCTGAGTAGGAGCCTATCTGCATTAACATCACAGTGTAGTCTAGAGTGACAGGAGTGAGGACTTGCACTTGAAACAGGAACCAGTGGTCAGAGAGAGGAAAGACTGGTCAGGTACCTTCTAGTACATTCTAGCTTTGAAAGAGGTGCCCGGGAATCTGGTAGGTGGTGCAGATGCCAACTATGTGCAGTCTTAAAAAGTCTAAAGATGAATAAAATTCTGTCTCATAGAGAGAGGTAAATGTAACAAGGCAGGGCTTAGCATGATAATGACAATAGAGAAAATATATTGGTTTGGACAAAATCAAAGATTTAGGTATGTCACTAGTTATGCACTATGGTTACAAATACCTTCCAAATTCAATAAGTAAACAAAGAAGTTGCATGTGTGTGGGGAATAGAAAGCTATGAGAAAACCATGACCTCATTAGGATGATGGGGAGCCTAGATGCCTTATCCACCATAGTGCACAGTGGTAAATAAGGAAGCCCTCTGAAAAAAAGAACTATAAGAAAAAAGGTGAATTTTAGTGGGTTTTTTTGAAGGTGGAACTAAAATAATTTACTTCCTAATTCTCCTCCCCTTAAGTGTGGACTGGATCAAAAGACTCATCTACAAAAAAGGAGAACAGAAGTGACAGTATGTAACTTTGGATAGTAGGCTGTTGGATGACAACTCTCCATGGGTCTCTTGAGTTTGTGAAGTTTTGCAAGAGTCACTGCCTACCCTTTGTTCTAAATTACAAGGATTATACAGTGAACAACCTTGAAAGATAAAGATAGTTTCTTCTTCTGGAGCAAAGGGCAGGTTTGCTCACAGTCTTAGATGATGGAGACAGTACCTCCCTGCAAAGCAAAGGGCAGGCATGCCTGTTACTCATAAAATATTTGGGTTTCCTAAGCTGGGTACTCCTCTCCTGTTACAGAACTCATGGCATATGTAGGTATCCATGTAGGCCCATCTATGGGACTTAGGAGCAAGAGGAAATGATGCAAATACGTAGATAATCATGCTGTTTGGTGTACCACAAATAATGAAGTCCTCTGTCTCCGACACAGGAGTCTTGTGTCTTATGCTACCATCTATGAAACTGTGGCAGGTTAGCTTGTAGCTTGCAATAGGGTAAAATCTCAGACTCTTCACAGTTCTTGCTTGATATAGGTCACAAAAGACCCTGCAGCTTCCTCCTTGCTTTTTCTTTCTTGGATCACTCATTCTGGGAGAAATTAGCTGTCAGTCATGTCATGAAGACA
Organism: Homo sapiens; assembly: GCF_000001405.40. Classification (NCBI taxonomy): domain Eukaryota; kingdom Metazoa; phylum Chordata; class Mammalia; order Primates; family Hominidae; genus Homo; species Homo sapiens. The sequence goes on along the minus strand of NC_000003.12, from coordinate 44,329,434 downwards.
CTTAACCAACCTATGGAGAGGCCCATGTGGTGAAATGAGGCTTCCACCCAACAGGTATTTGAGTGAGCCATCTAGCAAAAGGATCCTCTAGCTCCAGCAAGCTATCACGTAGGTGACTAAAGTTTCTGACAACATCTTGACTCCAACTATGTGGAAAAACTGAGTCACATGAAAATTCCCGAGCCAGGACCATCCAGCTAAACCTCTCTGAAATTTCTGACCCACAGATATTAAGATACTATTTTCTGTTTTAAGCCATTAGGTCCAGGGATAATTTATTCTATAGCAACAGATAACTAATGTAATATTCAACCAGAGGATCTGGTTTGTCACACCAGTAAACTGAAGCAAAATTCTTGTCAAGAAGCTCTAAAACAGGATTCCCAGGAGATCCTTATATTGCAAGTTTCCTGGATAAAGCTGACAAGAAATCGTATGGCATACCACGATTTAGGCACACCATCTACTGTATGCCTAAATTCTAGGATTCTAAACAAAATTACGTGAAAGGGTGTCACTCTGGTACAGTACCTACTTTATAATATTTATGCATATATAGCATTATAAAATATAGAAACTAGGCTGATGGCTTTATTTTCAATGGTATTCTTGGCTGATCACGTATTTCCCTTTTAGACCCTAGTCCTTTGATCTTTTGAGTTGACTAGAGATAAAGATTTTTATAGGTACTGATCTCTAAACACAAGAAAGGTTGGTACCTAAAGAGGATCCGTCTCTTTGAACATCTAACTATATCTCTGAAGTTGCTAAAGTGTTTACCGAATGCTACTAACTTGTTTGGTTTTAAGCCTCAAACAGGTCTAATCCTTTCTTAGTTTAAATGATATCAGAGTTTGCAATACACACACATAAAGTACATATATAAATATATACATAAATATATATGTATGTATAAAAACACATAAAACATTTACATCTTAGGGTGGGTGTGGGGAGTCATGATCTACATTCAGAATGCAGTTAAAGTTATGTCAACCAACCTTTTCAAAACTATCTGCAGTATCTGTGTAGAAGTTCCAGGACTCTGAATACTACTAGCATTAGATACCATGAAGATTTCAATAGCTAAGAGCATTTCAATCTCAGATAAATAAGATGGAATTAGAAGAAGTTTTCGGTATAAATTTCCTTCCAATGGTGGGTAGCAACCCAAGGAAAGAGCACCTGAAAAATCAAATAATAGGTCAAACTTTACTAAAACCCAATAGGTAAAAACCTAGATTTCTGAAATACCTACAGGCGATAATTACTTACACAGAATAAGTCTTCACATTAGAAGTAGATTAACAAATTACATGATAGCTTATCCTAGTATATTTGGCATTATTCTTTGTAAAGTGCTTTTGAAACATTAAATAAAAAGTGAGAAGGGCTGGGTGTGGTGACTCATGCCTGTAATCCCAGCACTTTGGGAGGCTGAGGCGGGTGGATCTCTTGAGGTCAGTAGTTTGAGACCAGCCTGGCCAACATGGTGAAACCCCATCCCTACTAAAATACAAAAATTAGTTGGGTGTGGTGGCGGGTGCCTGTCGTCCCAGCAACTCGGGAGGCTGAGTCAGGAGAATCACTTGAACCTGGGAGGCAGAGGCTGCAGTGAGCCGAGATTGTGCCACTGTACTCCAGCCTAGGCGACAGTGTGAGACTCCATCTCAACAAAAACAAAAACAAAAAAAGTGAGAAACATTAAAAAAAAAACACTCTGAAAAATGACTTTTGGGCCTTATCATGGCAAATGACATTTATTTCAAGCCACAGTAAACACAAGACAATTTCAGAATAACTATTTTTGAGCACAGTTATTTATAGTACCATTATAGTTTATGCAATATTTACTGTTGCTACTAAATGTCTGGCATTGTGCTAAGTACTAGGCATAAAATACATTTCCATCCTGTAGGTGATCTGTGTGTTGTAGCTACATTCACCAATTCATGTTTTTAAAACTTCACTTTTCAAGAGAAGAGATTTAACTTTTAAATTGTTTAGGTGCTTATTAGGAGAGATATATAGGGAAATACCTATAAAACTTCTAGAACATCCAAACTATATATAGGCAATTTTATATTATTATATTTTACTGAAACCAATTTAAATATGTATGTAAATTTTGCTTAGAATGTTTTGTTTTGTTAGGATGAGTTTCTTCAAGAAATCTTTCTAATATGGGTAATGGCTAATCTTTGAAGACCTGCTATGTGCCATGTACATGTGCTAACAAACACATGGGTTTTACCTCATTTTAACTTGACAAAATGCTACCTTTGAAATTAGGTACAATTACTTCCATGTTATAGACGAGGGGCTTTTGGTAAGCACTCAGGCTCTCTAAGCTTGCATGGGGTGCCCACTTTCTGGCTCCAGATTTTGGATTCCTAACCACTAGGTATTCCCACCTCCCTAGGTCACTGCCAGGAGCAACAAACTGTTAACTCATTAACTTTACTAGTTTTTGGTAGGTATAATTTACATGCATTCTTATTTAACTTTTCTTACCAGAATTAAAAAGCAGAAAATAAAAAATTAACTAGAAATCTACTAATACGATTTTTTTTTTCACTCAAAATGAAACGTGAGAAGAAAAATACTCACATTTGATTTTGGGGAGAAAGTAATGGAAAGATACACTAATAACATCTCTCTCTTGACTTCTCAGTTCTGAGAGAAAAGCAGTATTTTTAGGACAAAGGAGAACAAATCAGGAGCGTGAGAAAGGAAACTCTGCTGTCCCTGGACAACCTCCTCCTGATTAGTCTGGCATGAAAGCAAGGGAAAGCCATCAAGAAAGTAACAGAAAACTCACAGGATGGACAAAATATTTGTAATTCATATATCTGACAAGGGATTTGTATCCAGAGTGTATATAAATGCATATGTACATGTGTATGTATGTATGAATACTCTTACAACCAAAAAAACCCAATCAAAAAAAAAGGGCAAAAGATTTAATAGGCATTCTCAAAAGAAAATATACGAATGACCAATAACTGTATGAAAAGGTCCTCAACATCATTAGTTATTAGGGATATGAAAACCAAAACTGTAATGATACATTACTTAACACCCACTAGGAGGAAAGCTAAAATAAAAAACACAGTAACAAGTGTTGGTGAAGATATAAAGAAACAGGAAATCCCGTACACGGCTGGTGGGAATATAAATATAAAATGATGCAGCTTCTTCAGGAAACAGTTTGGCAGTTTGGCAAAAAGCTAAATATAGATTTACTGTATGAGTCAGCAATTCTCCCAAGAGAAATGAATGCATATATACACATAAAAACTTATGTGAATATTCAAAGTAGCACTATTCACAATAGCCAAAAAGTGAAAACAACTCAAATGTCCATCAACCAATGAATAAACAGATTCCATTTTATAGAATATTGTTTAGCAATAAAAAGGAACAAAGTATTGATACATGCTACAACACTGAAATTTGAAAACACTAGGCTAAGTATAAGAAGCCAGTCATGGCTGGGTGCAGTGGCTCACGCATGTAATCGCAGCATTTTGGGAGGCCGAGGTGGATGGATGACCTGAGGCTGGGAGTTCAAGACCAGCCTGGCTAACATGGTGAAACCCCATCTCTACTAAAAATACAAAATTAGCTGCGCATGGTGATATGTGCCTGTAATCCCAGCTACTCAGGAGGCTGAGGCAGGAGAATCACTTGAACCTGGGAGGTGGAGGTTGCAGTGAGCCGAGATTGCGCCACTGTACTCCAGCCTAGGTGACAGAGGGAGACTCCGTCTCCAAGAAAAAAAAAAAAAAGCCAGTCACTAAAACACATGTATTAAATGATTCCATTTATGTGATCTGTCTAGAATGGGCAAATTCATGGAGACAGAGAATAAATTAGTTGTTGCCTAGGACTAGGGTGGAAGAGGAGACAACCAGGGAATGGAGAATAAATGCTAATGTGTACAAGGTTTCTTTTTCTGGAGGTGTTGAAGATGTTCTAAACTTAAATGGTGGTGATGGCTGCATGACTCTGTGACTATACCAAAAATGAATGCATTATATACTTTAAGTGAACTAATTTCATGATATGTGAAATTATCTCAATAAAGCCATAAAAATATTAAAACAAAAAAAGTTTAAAAAAAGTCAAAACAAAGGCACTGGCACCAAGTCTTAACAGTGCCTTGAAGAAAGTCAGCGTTAAGTCCCAAATAAAGTACTACTAGACACGATTATATACCATTGAAAGGCTCTTCTTGCAAGGGTTAAGCTATGTCTGAAAATAAATCCAAAAGGAGTTCCAATATAATTTTAATGTCAATGTTGTTAGAAAATGAGATGTTTTGAAGACTGATCAGTGGCTATAAATTACTCACTTGGCTGTAAATTACTCATTTTTATTCATGGTTTTATAATTCAAGTACATTCCTTAAAAAACAAAAATACTCTTTATCCCGTAACCTCACTTGCATAAGTCTCAGAAGTTACACTGCATATGAAATAAGGAATATGTGATTAGATAAAAGGAAAAGTTCCAATAACAAAGGTACTGTATTGTACACAGGCATTAATTGCTTTAACACACTGCTAAAAAAATCTTTAAAAGTAATTCTTACTAGGGCTGAATTGATTTGGAGGAATGAGGAGTGACTGCTAATGCATATGAGGTTTCTTTCTGGTATGAATAAAATATTCTAAAGTTGATTATGGTGATGGTTACACAACTCTGTAGATATAGTAAAACCACTGACTTGTATACTTTAAATGGGTGACTTGTATGGCATTTGAATTATACTTCTATAAAGTTGTTAAAAATTTTTAAAGTAAATGATTAAGTCTAGATGCTTTAATATAAAATTTTATTTCCAACTAAAAAATAGAAATATTTATAAAAATCTCATTTAAATGTCTGAGCTTATATTTGTTCCTGTGGCATATAAACACCTTTTGATGGCATCTCCCCCCAGTTGCACAGTTATATGAAATTATTCCCATTAACTTCAATTCTAGAAACTAAAATCACACACACACATATATGTGTGTGTGTATGGTTTCTAGAAGTCTGAAGGTAAATAGTATAAAGAGTTGAAACATAACCACACAATTGAAATTAGGTGTTATGAACAAACAATTCTATCTTTCCTCTAAATTTCTGATCACCCTTTTTAAGAAAACTCAGCTTTCAAAACTTCTTTTGATTATAACCTACAAGAAACACATTTTGCATAATGACCCAGTATACATACGTGCATATATGCAACTGAAATGAAAATTTTATCAAATAATTAAACTTACTACCTGTAATGTACCCTAGTATTTTCTTTCCCATTTTGTTGGGGAAAAAAAGTTACCACCTGCTGCATTGATCACAGCTGGCCACCTGAAAAACACTTCCAGCTCAGGTAGTAGTGGCTAGGATATTTGACACATTTGGTACGGGGTGACACAGAGTAGGCACTCAAATATTTGTTATATACATGATAGTGGTAGAAATGGTAGCTGAAGACAAATTACTGCATGAAGGCAGAAAAAACAATGCTTTTCTAGATCTAGAACGTACATGGAATTACTTTCTAATTAAAATACCTGCGAGGTGGCTTGGACTAGAGAAAGCACTAGTTTTCCAGGCTTATTTGTTAGAGAACAACAGCTGTAAGTAGATTAACAAAGTTCTATTACTAAAAGCCATGTGAAAAACATATACTATGTTGCATTGTTATGACAGCCTTTATGCTTCTGATGTGACCTGCTATTGAATATTTTTAGTTATAACAATTAGGGATATAGCAGAGATAAATAAAAACAGATCTTCTTTAAACTTCATTCTACCCACTTGTTTTATGCTTGCATTATTTATAAGATATGCCAAACTGGTTCTATCCTGTCATTTGTTCCCTTTGCTCGCCCTCTAGCGGACAGGCTACTGTGCAAGAAATAAAGATTGGAAATTGCAAACATTGGAAATAAGGAAAGCAACTGGAAACAGAAGAGAAACAATAGGTTTCAAAAGAGAGCACAGATCTGTTGAGACCACTACATTTGAATATGTATTACTGCTCTTTTAATACATATAAATATCTAATCTTATATATTATAAATTCTGGGTTAGAGAATACAATTATAAACCAATATATTAAAACATTTTAAATGTAACTTACTTTTGTAGTGGGCTCTGGCTTTGAGCCATAAACGACTCCTTCCTAAAGAAGTAATTAATCTTCTGAGAAAGGAAAAATCAATAGGGATGCTCTTTGAAATCATGAATTCTGCCACAGAGGATGACATACCAAGACTACTGCTTTCTATACAGGAACCTAGAAGCTTATTAAAAAGAAGGCTATATTGTGAGACTTCCACAGTTTCTGGAATAAAAAAAATGATATAATAAAATTCATTTATATTAAAGTGTCTCAAACCTCCATCTCATACTCCTTTTTCTTTCTCCTCCCCTTCACCCTTTCTTACCCATTATAGGACTCACAGTCACTAAAATGCAATCATTTTATATATTCTCTTTATTTTTCTTCTCCTTTTTTGAGACAGGGTCTCACTCTGTCAGCCAGGCTGGAGTGCAGTGGCATGATCTTGGCTCACTGCAACCTTCACCTCCTGGGCTCAAGTCATCCTCTCGCCTCAGCCTCCTAAGTAGCTTGGACTACAGGTCCACCAGGCCTGGCTAATTTTTATGTTTTTTTGCAGAGGCAGGGTTTCACCATGTTGCCCAGACTAGTTTCGAATTCCTGGGCTCATCTATGGCCATACCACCCTGAACACGCCCATATCGTCTGATCTCAAATTCCTGGGCTCAAGTGAACTGCCTGCCTCAGCCTCCCAAAGTGCTGGGATTACAGGCATGAGCCACCGCGCCCAACCTATCTTACATATTCTCTAAGTCAGAAACGAAAAAGCATTTGACAAAAGAAAAACCATTAACTTCCTTTGCAATAGAGAAGATAAAAAGAAGCTTGACAAAAATTTCAGAGGATGCATTAAGACCTCTGTATTTGATTCCCACATGTAACTGTGTATCTGTAGTGTCTTGAATAATTTCTCAATTCTGTTTGTATTATATCTACAGTTCAGACCTTAGCCTTATATATCCCTTGACTAAAAACAAATCATCCCCTAATAAATATTTACTGCCAAATTTAAAACAATCCTTTAATGGATTTTCTATTCCTTCAGTTATTCTTAGAAGAAAGAGAAGTCATCTTAGAGACTTCTCTTTTATTCCCTATATTCAGTCAGTTGGGTCTGTGAGCTAGACTGTAGTTCCTTACTGCTTTAGAATCTTTTAGTTATCCAGGACTTATCAGGAAATTAATCTCTCTACTTTTAGTCTTTTCCTAAACACTACTGCCAGAGGAACTTTCCTGAAACACCAATTTCATTATATCACTCCCTAGACCCAAAACTCTAGTGATCCCTTTTTATACACAGAGAAGAAAATTCCTTTAGCCTGACATTTAGGGTCTTCCAAAATCTGGCACAACTATCTGTCCAATCTCCCTATTACTACTTTGTTTCATTACCAACTAATTGTATATTAAGAGATTGCTAGATAGCAGCCATTGGGCCAGGAATACCAAGGTAAAGAAAATAGTACCATCCTGATTGAGCTCACTTTGTATAAGGAGAAACAGATAAGAATGCTCATTACAATACAGGAGCACAGTGGAATTAAGTGGAAAAATGAAAATTTATAGATAGTACGATGAAAGTACTGAGGGGAGGCCCTCAGGTTAACGTTTTCGTCATCCTCTGAACCTATCACATAGCTCATTCTTGACCCAAAGCTTTTGCTCATGGACACCCAACATTCAAGAGTACTGACTACCATTTCCCACATTGGCGTTTGAACTTGGCATCTGTTTCACTTCCTCCATTTCTTTCAAGTTTACCTGTGTTCCTAGGTAATGTAAACTAAGTTCTGTATTTATTCAGTGATAAGAGAAAAAGCTTGCTCAGGGCATTTAAACATATTGTTTGCTGATGACTTGACAGAAGTAGGGAAAAGGGAATGATAAAAATGCTTGTCTTAGGAACTGCTGACAAACAACCCAAAGATAAGCATCTCAGATTTTTTTAAACCATCAGGAAAGTATATTCAATTTGCAGAGAACATATTTTACAGAAAACTACTTCATTAAAAAATATGCTGGAATATAAAACTCAATCAAAACAGGTGGATAACTATTTCTTATTAACAGTTAAACACCAGATGGGCAAGAGATAATTAAGATAGACTTTTAAAAAACATACCTTGGGAATTTTGAAAACCTGGTAGATTCTGCAAAACTTCAAATGTCTGTCTATAAAGGCTCTTGGCTAAGATTTCATGTGCAATTGTACAGAGTAAATTATGTCGATTAAGCACATCCAGTCTATCACAAGGCCACAGAGGCGTATTGATTATCCACTCTGACTCTTCCAAAAAGAAAAAAATATGAATAGTTTATACCATGAAAATGACACTTAACAGTATAATCACAACTAATGTTTCAATATATCTTTTGAAGAAACAGGCAAAACTTAAACATATGTACTCAGAGAAGATAACCATGGCTCAAATTTATTAGAAATAACTTATATAGTGATGATCATCATCTGAAGAAGATGCAAACAAATGGCCACTTTGTTATATTTATTTTTAATTAATTCTTCATCTAAGTGTACTAGTCAATTACTAATTTTAAATGTTTATTTTTATATAAAAAAGTTCAGATTATCACAAATATTTGCTTTAACATAAAATATTATTTATGTGGACAAGTTTAACAATTTCACAATAAATAATTTAATTAGTTTTTGGTATTACTGGGGAATAGCTTTTCTTTTCTTTTCTTTTTTTGAGATGGAGTCTCACTCTGTCACCCAGGCTGGAGTGCAGTGCAGTGGCGCAATCTTGGCTCACTGCAACCTCCGCCTCCCGGGTTCAAGTGATTCTCCTGCCTCAGCCTCCTGAGTAGCTGGGACTACAGGCGCGTGCCACCACACCTGGCTAAATTTTTTGTATGTTAAGTAGAGACGGAGTTTCGCTGTGTCAGCCAGGACAGTCTCGATCTCTTGACCTTGTGATTGGCCCACCTTGGCCTCCCAAAGTGCTGGGATTACAGGCATGAGCCACTGCGCCCGACCAGCGAATAGCTTTTCTTAACACTTTCTATTTTAAAAACAATTTCTATTATGAAATCGTTGTTGTATACAGAAGAATAATATATGTTATAAAAGCATAATAATAAAATTAACTCCTGTGTACCCATCACACCCACCTACGACCCTCAAACCAACAGACCTCAGACCCTCTTTAAAAAAAGAGAATATTACCTATAATGCTGAAGTTCCTTAATTTCTGCTCTGATTTTCACATTGAGAAAAACAATGGGAGACTGTAGTACAGAACACTGAGGTACTAAAATGTTAGAAATGTCAATATTTTATCATTTACCTAATTTACTCAATCATTATACACATAGTGAAACATTACTATATGTAACATTCAAATCATATTTTGGTGCTCTTTTTCAACTGAACTAAATGTAGAAGTAATCCTTTTATTTTGTGGCCTTCCTAGCACAGTGAATATAAAAAGTATTGAAGAAAAAGTTGATAATTCAAATATATCATGACAAAAGAAAGCTTTTAGTATCCAGTATAAAGCTTTAAAAAGGAGCTTTTCAATTACTAGAGCCCATGTGATTGACTGATTGACCTAACAGAGTTATACTATGTGTTAGGAATGTTCTAAGTGCTTTAAGAATATTAACTCATTTAGACAGATACTTTCATTAATTTGCTTCTACATTTGCTGACATTTTAATATAGAGAGAAATGTAAATGAATTTAATATCTTCAAAGACTGTATGATCATCTGTTAAACATAATTCCCATTAAAAGTAAAACTGTTCGTTCACCATTCCTTATAAAGTGAATTTTACTTTGATTGAATAAGTTCAATTATTTTTTATCTGTTAGATATATCCCATGTACAAAAAGTAGATTATATAAACCTTTTCTCATAAAAATTGCATCATTTTTCTTTAATACTTATTCTTTATATTTAAGGTAGGGTAATGGTCACATTTTTTGGAAAGTATATATGGTATTTTAGGAGATTCATTTAAAATTTTTATCAAACTGTTTAGGTATATAAAAAAATCTGACCTAGCATGCTCTCTCCCCACATCATCTCCCTGTCTGGGTTTTTGTTTTTTTCTGTGTTGCCATCTTTTTTAAAAACCTGTTCAGTGTTGCCAATCAACCAACGGTCTGTGAGGGGCAGCATGGGATCAGGCAGCAGGGTTCTTCCCCGCCTTGCCTTGGTTCCTTTGCAGGATTGAGCCACCTGGCCGTGGGGGAAGGGGTCAAGCTATATCCCAATACGTGTAGGGTAATGGTCCCTGGTGGCACATCCAGGTTGTGGGCCGAGCTGTGCTGGGGAGAACAGACCTGGGCATGGAGGGGAACTGCTCCCCAAAGGTTTCCGGTTGCCTCTCCTCTTCCTACTTTTGTCAGCCGATCAGTTTGTGGTTTCTGTGCCCGCAAAGGCTTCAGGAAGCATTAACAAAAGAAAACTATATATATATATTTTTATATATAAAGGTATACATTTAATATAATTATATAAAATATATATTATATATAAATAAAATATACATATTATATATATAAAATACATATATATATTTTTTTTTTCCGAGGAATGGGGCAGGGATAATGGAGATGGTGCTGGGAAATGAGTCCCCTGGGAGAGGGGGCCTGGCCATGATGCTGAAATATCTCAGGCTTCTGAATGGCTGGATTTCCCTAGGACCCTCAGAATAACAGACCTCAGATCCTCAGACCTGCCCTGGGGCCTGGTGGTGAAACTGAGGCCCGTACAAGGCAAGTCGAATTCTGAGTTGTTGGGACTAAGCCTGACCCCCTCTCTATGCAAACCCTCCCCCGCCCCACTCCCCCACCCCCCACCGTGGCCCTCAGTAGGGTTTTGTTTTGTTTTTTTGAGATGGAGTCTCAGTCTGTCACCCGGGCTGGAGTGCAGTGGCACAGTCCTGGTTCACTGCAACCTCCGCCTCCCGGGTTCAAGTGATTCTCCTGCCTCAGCCTCCTTAGTAGCTGGGACTACACGTGCCTGCCACCACGCCCAGCTAATTTTTGTATTTTTAGTAGAGACAGGGTTTCACCACGTTGGCCAGGATGGTCTCGAACTCCTGACCTCAGGTGATCAATCCACCCACTTCGGCCTCCCAAAGTGCTGGGATTACAGGCGTGAGCCACCATGCCCGCCCCTCAGTAGGTGGAGCCCCCAGCCCTTCTCCCCTTCCTGGCCTGACCAGCCATACTGCTTCATCACCCCGGGCCACAGGCCCTGTCAAGTACTGCACAGGGATTCCCACCCAGGGGCCCTGCACCATGAAATAATGTGAAATACTGACTGTGGACCAAACACAATCAAACCTCTGTTTTTAAGAAGAAAAAAAATCTGAGTAAGCTAATTATTCTATGTATCAAAGTCGACTGAAACTGATAAATGAGAAGTCACTTAGAAATTAATAGCTTTAAATTTAATCTAGCTAGTTCACAATTCTACCAACATAAATACTTTTATGAATATTTTATGAGAACTCATGAGAATTAAATTCCCAAGAATAAGAAACAGTTTACTAGTGGGCTTAATACTAGTTTTATAGCAGTAAAAGTTGTTATAGCATTCATCTTCATGTTTTTCTCTATTTCATATTTGGGAAATATTTTCTATTTGTCTAAAATCTCAGAATCAAAGGGAGAGCATATTTTCCATAATAGCCTGTTTTTATCCACTTACCTTCTGACATATGCACATTCAGTCATTACTCACACAAGATTTTGAATATACACACTGGGAACATAAAACTATTAAATGAATTTCCAAGCTAGTCAGTGAGACTATCAAACAAATAATTATCTTTTCCAACAGTAAATACTAAAATGGGGGAGTATCTAAAGATACCTATTTTTCCCCTAAGGTATACATTTATTTTTATTTATTTTTTTGAGACCGAGTCTTGCTCTCTTGCCCAGGCTGAAGTGCAGTGCCGCGATCTTGGCTCACTGCAACCTCTGCTTCCCGGGTTTAAATGATTCTTGTGCCTCAGCCTCCTGAGTAGCTGGGATTACCAGAGCCTGCCACAATGCTAGGCTAATTTTTGTATTTTTCTTAGCGACAGGGTTTCACCACATTGGCCAGGCTGGTCTCGAACTCCTGACCTCAAGTGATCCACCGGCCTCGGCCTCCCAAAGTGCTGGGATTACAGGCGTGAGCCACCAAGCCCAGCCAAGGTATACATTTGATATAATCCCAATCAAATTTCCTACAGAACTGTATTAAAACCTGATTTAGTAATTCTGAAATTCATTCAAAGAATAAACAAGCATAGCAAAGAATAATTTAGAAGAGGAGTGAGAGTGGATAGACAAATGGAGACAAGTGGAGAGAGGATAGACAAATATCACATATTCTAAGATTATATTAAATAAAAAGAGCATCGTGCTAGCATAGAAACACAGAGATGCTTGGGAGAAAGGTGCAGAAACAGACCCAACAGATTCAAGATTCTAATATATGATAAAAATGGCATTTCAAGTAAGTGAGTAAAGGATGAAATGGGAAAACATTTTGGGGAAATAAATAAAATTAACTTCCCATCTAATACCAAAATTTAAAACTAACAACAAATGAAAAAATTGAAGAACATATGGATGAATACGTAACTTTGAGATGACTAAGGACTGCCTAAAAGCATGATACAAAACAAAAATTATTAAATATTTAAAAAGCAGCAGTTTATATTAAGTAGAAAAAATGTCAGTAGGCAAAAGAAAACAAAAAATGCAAAAAACATCATAAAGTTAAAGAAAAATGAAAAGCTAGGAAAAATATTTGTAAATACCCAACAGATCAAGGACTAGTATCTTTAATATGTAAAACTACTGCAATATAAAAAGGACATTATTATACAGTGTGATATTTCCTAAGTGTGATATACACATCACTGATGGTACCTGAAAATTTTAGGTGTTACATTAGAATTTTAATAATTGTATTTTAAAAAATTATAAAGATCACATTAAATACAAAAATCACAGTAAATCTGTGATTTCACAAATATTTGGATGAGGCTAAGTTGCTTGATTTACTTTAAAAAAAGTTTACTTTATTTATTTTTTTTGAGACAGGGTCTCACTGTGTTGCCCAGGCTGGAGTGAAGTGGCATGATCACTGCTCAATGCAGACTCGACCTCTGGGGCTCAAGCAATCCTCCCACCTCAGCCTCCTGAGTAGCTGAGACTACAGGCGTGTGCTACCATGCCTGGCTAATTAAATTTTTTTTTTTTTAAATTTCATAGAGACAGAGTCTCCCTACGTTGCCCAGGCTGGTCTCAAACTCCTGAGCTCAAATGATCCAACTGCCTCGGCCTCCCAAAGTGCTGGGATTACAGGCATGAGTCACTGTGCCTGGCCTTAAATGTTTATTTTTAAAATATAAATGTTTACTATAAAAACTCAAGCAAAACAGAAAAGTACAAAGAAGTATTTTAGAAATAATTAAAAATCCCATGACTGCAAATAACCAGGGTTCACATTTGGTGAAAATTATTTGAGAAAGAGGTGTTAATGACCTAAGTAGTAGGTCTTGATGAGTAGATATAAATGGAACTGTGGTATTCAATCAAAGACTAAAGATGGCCTGGGCTAACACAGCTTTGTGCTGGGAAGATCCAGCCACTGATTGAAAATGAAGATGCCGGGCATGGTGGCTCACGCCTGTAATCCCAGCACTTTGGGAGGCCAAGGTGGGCGGATCACCTGAGGCCAGCAGTTTGAGACCAGCCTGACCAACATGGAGAAACCCTGTCCTACTAAAAAAAAAAAAAAAAAAATAGCCAGACGTGGTGGTGCACACCTGTAATCCCAGCTACTTGGGAGGCTGAGGCAGAAGAATTGCTTGAACCCAGGAGGCAAAGGTTTACAGTGAGCTGAGATCATGCCATTGCACTCCAGCCTGGGCAACAGAGCAAGATTCCATCTCAGAAAAAAAAAAGAGAAAGAAAATGAAGACAACACGTTTTTTCTGAAATGATTTTTCTTAAATATTAACATTGTTTATATGCTTATATTCGTACTGTAGTCACAGGCGCTGGTCCACATGTGTGAGCTAAACTTTATGCTAAATTTCATAGTATAAACACACACACACACACACACACACACACGTTCTTTCAAAACCTGCAACCATTTCCTCTTTGGAAGGTATAAAGATACATAAATGAAGAACATCCATCCATCCATCCATCCATCCATCCATCCACCTCAACTAATATTTACTAAATATTTACTCTGTGCCAGGTACCACCACAGGTGAAATACTCTAAATGTAATTAACTTTCAAAGAAATAAAAATGGTAGTATTTATAGCAGTGGTTAAAGAACGCAGTGGGGGAGCGACTTGAGGGGGTATGGTTTAGGAACACAGGTAAGGTATGAGAAAACGTCACTATGTGAGAGTGATGTAGGGCAGTGGTCTTCAAAGTGAGGTCCCCAGATCGGCAGAATCAACAACATCTAAAAACCTGACAGACATGCAAATTTTTAGGACCCACCCCAGACTTAATGAATCAGAAAATCTGGGGGTGGGTCCAGCAATATGTGTTTTAACAAGCCCTCTAGAGAATTCTGATAATCAAGGTTGAGAACCCCTGTCTTAGATTTACCAAAAACAAGCTCAATACCACCATTTTGCTCAGGAGGCTGACTATCTTAGGTTTGGATCTGTTTGTGTAGTTTGTGCTTCTGATCTAGTTGCAATTTTATGAAGTCTATTTAGAGGAAAAACTAGGAAAACAATAGTACTGGTGTAGTAGTTAAAAATACAGACTTTGCAGTCAGATAGACCTGGATTGGAATTCCTGCTTTACACTTATTTGTTGTGTGATCTTCTCTGAACCTCAGCGTCCTCATATTGGGATACTATTACCTACGTTATGGGGTTAGTATTGATTAGATGAGATGACACAAATAATACACTTAGCACAATGCTTGGTAGATAGTGAATACTCACATTATTATGAAACCAATAATGAAGAGAAATGCTAAATTCAGAAAACAGACCAAGAACATAAACAGGCAATTCACAAAAAAGTAAGGTCCAGATGGGGAAAAAATTTCTTTAATAATTAAATGCAAAGTTGGCCGGGTGCAGTGGCTCAGGCCTGTAATCCCAGCACTTTGGGAGGCCGAGGTGGGCAGATCACGAGGTCAGGAGATTGAGACCATCCTAGCTAACACGGTGAAACCCTATCTCTACTAAAAATACAAAATATTAGCCAGGCGTGGGTGACAGAGTGAGACTCCGTCTCAAAAAAAATAAATAATATAAAAATGCAAAGTAAAGCTGTGAATAACTTTTGCCCTATCAAACTAGCAGAGAGATAAGAAAAATAATAATACTAATTGTTGGCAAGGGTATTTCATAAGCTGCATCTTCATACACTGTTAAGTAGACTGTAATTACTACAATCTAACTGAAGGTGTAGAGGACTTTTATAGTCTCCTCACAGAGAAAAGACCTGGAATGGAATGTACTGAATAGCTAGATTAGGGTTTGCATAACCTGGAATGTACCAGTCTGCCTGTCTGATAACCAAAAAACATAGTATCAGGCACTAACATCTGGAATTGTTAACTAACATCTGCACCTGTGATACCTAAAAGGACATGTTTGTATAGAAGCTATATCTAAAGGAAATAACTCTCTAAGATTTTCTAATAAAGTGGGGGGCTTTTTTTTTTTTTTTTTGAGACAGAGTCTCGCTTTGTTGCCCCAGGCTGGAGTGCAGTGGCGTGATCTTGGCTCACTGCAAGCTCCGCCTCCCGGGTTCATGCCATTCTCCTGTCTCAGCCTCCAGAGTAGCTGGGACTACAGGTGTCCGCCACCATGCCCGGCTAATTTTTTTTTTTTATATTTTTAGTAGAGATGGGGTTTCACTATGTTAGCCAGGATGGTCTCCAACTCCTGACCTCGTGATCCGCCCGCCTCGGCCTCCCAAAGTGCTGGGATTACAGGCATGAGCCACCGCACCTGGCCCGGGGGAGCTTTCTAATAAACCTGAAATAACATCTGCAAATCTGAATAGGGAAAATTTGTTGATATTTGCCAAAAAGCTTTAAAATGCCTTTACCCTTTAACACAGCAATTCCATCAGAATTTATCCTAAGGAAAAGTAAGATTTAGCGGTGACGTTTAGCAGGAATTATCGTTTACAACTGAAATCTGAAAAACAAGCTAGTTCAGTAAAAGTGGATTCATGGATCAAAAGACAGATCTATCCATCTGTCTATTTATAAGATAGAAAACCATGCAGCCTAGTAAGTGATGCTGTAGAAAAATTTTTCACTGAAAGGCTACTGCCTGAAAAAAATGCAGAGTATAAAAGTGTCGGTATAACAACATTAAAGTGGATAATAGCAATTTCTGGGTGACCAAATGATATGGGATTTTTAACATTAGTTTTGCTTATCCAGCTTTTCATATTTATTAATATGTATTACTTATACAAAGGCAATAAGTTATTTCAAAATTCAAAGGCAGTTTCTCAATAAATGGCATAACTTTTTTACAAAATTTGATTATAGAGAACTAAGATACTTATTTTTCAGCCTCTGAACAAGGATTATAAAATGATAGTCTTAAAACCATTTTATATTTCAAGACTTTTTTATGTTGGTTTTGGGAGATGGCATGGTAGCAATCTGTTGCTCATTTGCAGGATAAAAAGCACTAGTATGAGAAAGAGTTTGAAATGTCAAAGTGAAATGCCAAAACAATAGATTTGTTCTCGCCATCAAATCTGTCACTCACCAAACAAAAAAATGTGTGAGATATTCCGCATTTCTCAAACTTGAGTAATGTATGTAACTCCATCTTTTGCAAATTCAGTAGGTAATAAAAGCATATTTTTAAAAAGGAAAAATATATGTAAAAAGTTAATCTGCTACTCTGTCCTCCAAGCACTCAATTTCTCCTTCCAGAGGCAGAGTCAGCCACTATTACTAGTTTCTTGTGCATTCTTCTACACATATTTTAAGGGTATATAAGCAAATACGTATTTGTCCATTGTATTATTATTCTTATTCGGATGGTAGCAACTGCTCTGTACATTCCTGTGTTTTTTTTTTTTTTTTTGGCTTTGCAATAGGTCTTGAAGATCATTCCAAATGAACACTTACAGATCTGCCTCATTCTGCTTTATCATATGGCTATAACACAGTTCAACTGGTATTCCCTTAATGAGCATTTAAGCTACCTGGAATTCTTTGTTACCATTGTTGGTGTAACAAAATATTCCAGATAATTTAATATGCATACCTTTGTATACAGGTATAAATGTGTGTGCAGTACAAATTCTTAGAAATGGAATTAGTAAATGAAAAAAAAATGTGTTTTAAACTTTTGACATTTATTTTGCCAAAAAGCTCCTAAAGACAACCTCTGTGAATGTCTATTTCTCTATACCCTCACAAAAAGCATATCACCAAACTTTGATCTTTGATAGTCTAATGGGTTCAAAATGGTGTTTGTAATTGTAATGTATATTTCTCTTATTACAAGTGAGTATTAATCTCACTTATTATCAGTGAGATTGAGCCATTTGTATTTCCTTTCTTGGGAATGGCCTGTTCACTATAGAGCCCTTTTAAGAATTAAAAAATTCTAGGAACAACTGAGCATACTTCTGTGGCCTCTTCTTTTGTAGAGATAAAATTTTACTTATGAAAATTACTTTTAGTTGAAACTGTCACTGCAAAAAAAAGAATACTGCTTATAATTGATAGAAGTTTAAAGTTAGTCTAAAACGGAAACATTGAAATTTAAAACAAAATCTCCAAAGATCACTCCACATCTCTCCCACAAACTCTCCCAGTTTCTAGTTTGAGAAAGACTGGTTTTGCCACAAACTTTCAGACAGGAGGTTCCTATCGTAAGGTGACCCAAGTTCATTTTTATAAACTATTTTCACCTTCCCATTTCTTGACACATCGCTTCTTTCTTCACAGAGCTTGTGAGCTCTGGCTTATATTTCATTAATTTCCATTTTTGTATTTTGGTACTCTTCCCACTTAGGAAACCTCACTGACTATGTTTAAGTTGAAGAATACCTTTACAAACGAGCTTTTGAATGAAGCCTACTCACAACCTCTGTATTAAACCCTCAGCACTGAACATATACAAGATATTTTATATACATATATTTCCCATATATGAATCACATGTATATGAATATATATATATGTGCTAGTGTTTGTGTGTTAGTGTGTTTTACAGTTCTCAATTTGCTTTATTTATTGATTCCATCTTCCCACCTAAACTCCTGAGATCCTTGAGGTTTTTTCGTTCTTATCCCACTTTATCAAATAAAATCTGCCTGATGGTCCAAATAGCCAGCGCTATCATTAGCTTCATTAGTATCGTAACACTATTGTGCTCTTTTTAATTTTTCTCATACCAAACTAACCTTATTTGTTCCTGCTGGCTTAATTTCACTGTAATTTCTGCTTAGAAGAATTGCCTTATCAAGGAAAGTAAGCTCTACTCATCTTGGTTTGAAGTCATGTTTGCCCATACATATGAAGATAGAGTTTACGCACACTGCAATCAGGATTTCCATTTTACACAGCGGCTGAAGCCTGGGCTCTGAAGCTGGATTGTCTGGATTTGAATTTGGCCTCCATTCCTTACTTATTATGTCATTTTGGGCAAGTTGGTTAATATCTCTGACAGCATTTTCTTATCAATAAAATGGGGATTTTAATAGTTCCAAATTCAGGGTTCTATGAAGATTATTTGGGATAATTCAGGGAAAGCATTAATATGGAGCCTAGGCCATAGCAAGAATTAGGTTTTGCTTTTTTTTTTCTGAGATGGAGTCTCGTTCTGTTGCCCAGGCTGGACTGCAATTGCGCGATCTCGGCTCACTGCAACCTCCGCCTCCCGGGTTCAAGCGATTCTCCTGCCTCAGCCTCCTGAGTAGTTGGGATTACAAGCGGCCACCACCATGCCTGGCTAATTTTTGTACTTTTAGTAGAGACAGGGTTTCGTCATGTTGGTCAGGCTGGTCTCAAACTCCTGACCTCAGGTGATCCGCTGCCTTGGCCTCCCAAAGTGCTGGGATTACAGGCATGAGTCACCACACCCGGCCCAACAAGAACTAGTTTTTAAATGAACAAAGGCTTATATAATTTCTTCTTTAAGGCTAAGTTAACTTTCCCCTTTCAGTTTACATGACAACCTTTCCTACCCACATGTTCACTAGGGTTTAGACCAAACTATTAACCACAGTTCAATATCAACTTAAGGTAATTACATAGACAAAAATGCATGACAAGTATAACGAATTATTTTATGCTTGCATATATCAGGACTTACCCCTCATTACCCAAATGGCACCATCTAGGCTTCCACTTTTTAGAAAAATTTCTGCTGCAACATTCACAATTTGACATCTTGATGCTAACTTCTCAGGCCCTATAAGTCCTTTTAAACTTGTAAAGTGTATTTTTAATTCATATAGTTTCTCTAAGACCTTCCTTCCCTAGAATAAAAATAAAGAACACTAATTGGGTATCAATCATTTACAAACACACAAAGCCACTGATAATTATTCACAAGCCAAGTATCCAGTTTGAATCATCATCCTAGACTGCTGGCTGTTAAGCTGCTCCAAGACTCTTTCCTTAAGCCCCTTCCTGTTCAGCCATACAGATGAAAGGGAAAGAGGAACAAGCAAGGCTCTGCCTCATATTAACCACCTCTTCCCACCAATACCACCAGACCCCCTTTATCAGAAGCCTTCTTTTTATTTGTTTTATACACTGTACTTCTCCTTAAGATTTCATGTGATGAAAGGCTTCCATGATTTAGCATAGAAAACTACTGATTATATGTTTTTGCTCCTCTTCTGTTGGTCAATCTGGGATCCAGGAGGGAGAGAAAGTAAAAATGAAAATAATTTGTTATCAAATTTAAACATACTCAGGAGGAGGCTGAGATGGGATGATCACTAGAACCCAGAAGTTTGAGATCAGCCTGGGGAGTGTGGTGAAACCCCTGCCCTACCTTCCAAAAAATTTAGACAAAGAATGATAGTGAAAAAAAGGATAAACTTGTTAGCTAAAATTCTTAATTCCGTAGACTAAGTATTTCATGTATTCTACATGAAAATTACCTTTGGTTTGGACATCAGAAATTGGACATATATCATTATTTTATACCATGAGCCAGCAAGCTTTTCCTGTAAATGGCCAGATAGTAAGTAGCTTAGGCTTTGCAGGCCACATTTAGTCTGTTGTACATTCTTTTTGATTGTTGTTTTTTAAATTTATAACTCTTTAAAAATGTGAAAAAGTCTTAGCTTGAGGGCTGTACAAAAACAGGCTTTGGGTGAGTTCTGGACCATGGGCCTTAGTGTACAGACCCTTGTTTTATATTCTATAATATTTGAATTAGATGCTTATTATGATGTCAAGCTACCTTCAAGATGACTGTATAAAAGAGTGCATTTTTAAAGGGATATGTTTAGTTTACTGTCAATGATTTTATTTTTACATTCAAAAAGGAATAGGTTTCATTAAAAAATTCATACTATGTAATAAAATAATTTTCTAAAGTAGTTAAAATTTTTAATTAAAATAGATAAAATTCACCAATCTACCAATGTCTCAAATAATAACCAAATAAAATTAAAATATACTCTAAAATTTCAGCAAAATCAGTCTGAGTTTCTCTTTTATTAAATTTGAGATGCAGTCTATAAAGACACATGCATATGTATGTTTATTGCGGCACTATTCACAATAGCAAAGACTTGGAATCAACCCAAATGTCCATCAGTGATAGACTGGATTAAAAAAATGTGGCACATATACACCATGGAATACTATGCAGCCATAAAAAAGGATGAGTTCATATCCTTTGTAGGGACATAGATGAAGCTGGAAACCATCATTCTGAGCAAACTATCGCAAGGATAGAAAACCAAACACCGCATGTTCCCACTCATAGGTGGGAATTGAACAATGAGAACACTTGGACACAGGGTGGGGAACATCACACACTGGGGCCTGTCATGGGGTTGGGGGAGGGGGGAGGGATGGCATTAAGAGATGGAGTCTTGTTCTGTCACCCAGGCTGGAGGGCAGTGGTGCAATCTCGGCTCACTGCAACCTCCGCCTCCCGGGTTCAAGCAATTCTCCTGCCTCAGCCTCCCGATTAGCGCCATCACCCCCTGCTAATTTTTGTATTTTTTAGTAGAGATGGGGTTTCACCATGTTGGCTAGGCTGGTCTTGAACTCCGGACCTCAAGTGATGCCCCCGCCTCAGCCTCCCAAAGTACTGGGATTACAGGTGTGAGCCACTGCTCCTGGCCCAGTCTGAATTTTTATAAAGGATCTTCTTGTTAGATAGTCCTCAAATTCCCAAGCACTAAATAGTCAAGAAATTAATGCTATGACCAACCTTAAGCTCAATTGTGAGAGCAAACACAAGGTACACCTTGCCTACTCCAGGCCTACCACACAATAAGAGCTAAGCCTCCTGAAGACTTTTGAGCCTGGAGACCTACTATACAACCATTCTAGGTTAAAAATTTTTTTCTTTTTACTTCGTGAATTTTGTAGGTATACAGGTGACCATGTACTTAAATGTTATTGAACGTATATATTCAATTGTGAAATAACCTCTTTATAAAAGCAGCAAGTAACAAAAGATAAACTTTAATAGTTAATTCAATAGTGACCACACTCTCTACTCTACTCTCTATATAAACTCCATCCCTCAGCACTTCCTCCCTATTTTGGATTTCCTGTCCTCTACTTGAACTTTTTTGAGTCTATAACTCCACCTGCCACCTCAGGAATATGTGAAGAATGGTAATACAACATGGTCTTGAGTCACTAAACCATCTCTATGGTAAGCTAAGCCTCAAAGTTAGACATCAAGATATATGGTATATAGTGTTCCAAGGTATTCTAAGAGGTGATTTTTATGAAGTTCTGTTAATTGTGAGTATTCTGAGTTCATCTTAAGAAATGTGTCTTGGCTGGGTATGGTGGCTCACACCTGTAATCCCAGCACTTTGGGAGGCTGAGGCGGGTGGATCAACTGAGACTGGGAGTTCGAGACCAGCCTGACCAACATGGAGAAACCCTGTCTCTACTAAAAATACAAAATTAGCCAGGCATGGTGATACATGCCTGTAATCCCAGCTACTTGGGAGGCTGAGGCAGGAGAATTGCTTGAACCTGGGAGGCGGAGGCTGTGGTGAGCCAAGATTGCAGTATTGCACTCCAGCCTGGGCAACAAGAGCGAAACTCCATCACAAAAACAAACAAACAAAAAAACCCCACAAACAAAGAAATGTGTCTTGGACTCTTCTAAAATTACAATATAACTGATACTCAGGTGTTGGCAAAATAATATGAATTGAAAGTTACTTCAAATAAATATGACATTTAGCATGGGTTCTTAACCCATTTATACCTAGTGTTACATTATTGGAACACTAAACTTATGGGAGTTATTTATATCCTACTGCTCAAGGTCATCACCAAGGTCTGATTTTTCACAAAAAACATTTGCAATCTCTGGCATAAATGGGTTAAGTGTTCTCTATACTGAGATTTTATTTATTTTTATAATAAAAATTATTTTTTAAAGATGGGAATCTGTCCACATTGCCCAGGCTGGCCTCGAACTCAGCTTCCTGAGTAGCTGGGACTATAGGTACATGCCACTGCATCCAGTTTGAGATTTTGAATAGTAGCCATTTGCTTAATATACCATCTAATAAATCACTCACTAGTCTGGGTCCCACTTTATCAATTGTAATGATTATTAGCAAACTCCTAATTTGCAGGGTTAACTTATATTCTGTTCATAATTTTAAAACTAGTAGTCTCTATACCAAGCCAAGACAAAAACTTAATGAAGTACCTTGGACCACTGCAACAGCTTGTGATAGAAGTACATAGCACTGATTCCAATTCTTCCCAGTACACCTTTATCTACTTTACTGTTTTGTGGATCTTTGCTAACTGAAACACAAATAGGCATACAAAAGAAAATAAAATAGTCACTTAAAATGATGGAAGAGGCAAACTAATACAGAATTATTGATACTACCATAAAGACCAGGTGTTGGCAAACTGTGCCCCGTTTTTGTATAGCCTAGGAGCCAACAATGGTTTTCCTGTTTTCAAAGCATCGTTTAAAAAGAAAATAAAACTATGTGATAGAGATCACATGTGGTGTGTTCGAAGCCTAAAATATTTACTATCCGGCTTTTTACAGAAAGTTTGCCAACCCCTGATAAAGGCTACAGTAGTAAAGAGCTCAGGTCAAAAACAAAACAAATTCAAAACTATATAGACTCTGTTGACTTGTAATAGTAAAGAGAGTAACAACTTAAATAATTCAAAAATTCAGGTGCTCCACTATAATTTGTTAGCAATAGTTTTACCAATCTGAGTGAAAAGAAAAATAAGAATGTGAAACGTTTGATACTAAAACACCAATTCTTGACCTTTTACCATAATCTAACAATAAATAGATGGAAAAATTCAGAAAGAGAAGGAAGAGTATCTAAAGCCTGCATTAATTTATCCACAACATGGAAAATATTCAAGGGTTTTACATTCTTTCTTTTTTTAATTTTTTTTTTAGTTTTACATTCTTGTTAAGAACACTGCCACTGGCCGAGCTGTGACTTATGTCTGTAATACCAGTGCTTTGAGAGGCTGAGGTGGGAGGATCCCTTGAGCACAAGAGTTCGAGACTAGCCTGGGCAATGAAGCAAGATTCTGTGTCTACAAAAAATAAAAAAATTAGCTGAGTGTAGTGATATGTGCCTGTAGTCCCAGCTACTTGGGAGGCTGAGGCAGGAGAAGTGCTTGAGCCCAGGAGTTCGAGGCTGCGGTGAGCTATGACCGCACCCCTGTACTCCAGCCTGGGTAACAAAGGAAGACCCTGTCTCTAAAAAACAAAAAAGAAAACTGCACCATCCTCATACACAATATTCAGGCCAATAGTTACATTTTACCTGTTTCAGCAAATTCACAAAAGGGAATATCTGGTCTTTCATCTTCATAGTTTTTTGTGAGTGTTTCAGCAATGCAAGCACAAAATGTCTGGAAATCTGCAAATTTTTCACAGCCCATTTTTACGTTAATGTATAATTTTCCCAATTTGGTCCAGTCACCTTTTTCTTTACAATGCTATCAAAATTATTAAAAACAAAACAAAAAAGAAAAAGAATGAAAACTATGTCATTTATGCAAACATGTCTTTAGGGCAAAGCATGTTTAGGCATTAGATATACATAAATTAATAAGACAAAATCTGCACATCTTATAAGCTTACCAACAAGTATCACATCAACAACACACTATTGTAACTTTGCTTTTCTGGCTATAGTAAAGCCTCTATAAATTCCAAATAACAATGCACATTTGTTTTAATTATCCAGGTCTTAAAGTATTTAACTGTATTCACCCCCAAAACTGAACCTGACAGTGGAGATGGATTTTACGGAAAACATGATGAGCAGCATAATTTGAACTGTCTCCATGGCAATGCATTATTTTACTACTTTTAGAAAGTACATTTTAATGTTATCTGGCCATTTATAATTTGGGCCCACATATCGTTTTGGACACTACGTTCTACAAAAGTGGCCACAAAGTAAATTTCAATCAACTTATTATCTTTCTACAATTTCTGTTATAAACTAAAGAAGTTGTTCACATCAAGAAAAAAAGTTGTCTTAAGAATATAAAAGTACTAATTAAAACCAGAGCAACAATTACTACATGAATACAAAAATGATATTAAATTTAAAAGTAAAAATCATCCTGAAGGTCCTCATTTCTTATACTCTAAATGGTTGGAGAGTTCAGTGTGACCTGGGCTTTCTCCCACCATTTCATGTACTGTAGCCATCCATGACAAGTACCTCAGCTTTCTTATGCACTGAGCGAGTCTGCCCAGTCTCAAAACTTAAAGACTAAGCTTCGAATTGTTATTTTACTTTAATATAATTTTGAAACTGAACAATTTTTAGAATTATTTTTAGTACAGTCCACAACTCTAGAAATTAAAACGTTTGCCTTTCAAAATATTAACTTGTAAGAAAAACAAAACTTCCTTTCCTTGAGCATTTTCTCTGTATAACAGCCACATTTCTAAAACTTTTCATAAAATGGGGTTATTATTCAAACCTTTTTTGTTGCTATTGATTTTCAGAGATCCCAGCAATGTATTTAAAATAATAAATGTCATACCTCTAATTTATTCAAGGCTGAATCTAAATCACACTTCCAGTTCTTTTTAAATCGTCTCATCTGTAACCTTTAACAAAAGAAAAGAGTTAATTATACTATATTCACCCCTTAAAAGTCACTGCTGCTTCTAATTAATCTGTCCTATGGTTTATAAGAAACCAGAAGAAAAAATGAATGTATATAATATGCTATAAACATTCTTCAGAGCTGAAAAAAAGGCAGCTATATAGACACCTACTTTATACTATTTCCTCCCCAAAACAATAAGAAGGAAAAAGCAAATTCCACATGAAATCATACCTTCAGCCTAACTTGTAGACAGAGGATGTCAAAACTTCAAAAATAACTGTGACTAAAAGGAGAAAAAAAATACCAAATCCTGGCACATGATCTCTACTGCTCCTACCCTACCCTTACTGCTCCACAGGATTTGTGGCAATCAAAGACCAAAACAAAAACAGAGCAAGTAAACACACAAAACCTGATGGGGAGAATTGAAGAGGGAAACTAGCAGAAAGAGCTAACATTGATTTAAAAATACTGCTGCAAAGACTAAGTCCACATTAAGTTTGAAAATGCTAAAAAAAAAAAAAAAAAAAAAAGCAAGCAAGCATCTGGGTAGATCAGAACCACAAGGAAGGATCTTAAAAGTCTGTGATTTAAAGAAGGCAATTTTTGAAATGCATAGTTTTTGGAAAAGAAAAAAAGACAAAAATGAAAGAAACACCCTTTGGCAATCAGAAGAAAATTTAAAAAAAGGCAGCTGGAATAAGAAGGTGTCATTGAACTAGTATTATGTAATACCTAACTATGAGTTCACCAATTTTGGTAATTCATCTAGAGCATTAAGAAGGAAGAACATACTGTCACATTTGGGATTAAGAAAAAAAAACAATTTTCTAACTCCTTTTATGAAGCAAGTATAACTGATATTTAAACTAGATAGACAGCCTGTGTGAGGTGGCTCACACCAGAAATTTCAGCACTCTGGAAGGCCGAGTTGGGCAGATCCATTGAGCTCAGGAGTTTGAGACCAGCCTGGTTAATATGGTGAATCCTACCTCTGCAAAAATTAGCTGGGTGTGGTGGCATGCACCTGTAGTACCAGCTACGTGGGAGACTGAGGTGGGAGGATCACCTGAGCCCAGGAGGTCCAGGCTGCAGTGAGCTGTAATTGCACTACTGCACCCCAGCCCGGGAAACAGAGCAAGATCCTGTCTCAATCCATCAACACACAAACAAAAAACAATAGCTTTTATAAATACAAAAAAACCACATAATAATACAGAAAACCTCATTCACAATAGCACCCAAAATATTAAGTACTTATACAAAGAAAATTATAAAACACTCCTGAAAGACACATTACTACTACACGGAGTTAGGAAGTTGATACTAAATATATGGAGAAGCGTACATCCAAGAAGATCCAGGAAAACACTGAAAAACTATGAAAAAGAATTATCCCTACCAAAAATTAAAACATACTATTAAAGCTTCTACAGTTACTATAGTGTGGTTCCAGTGCAGGAATAGGCAAACAGTCCAGTGGAATAAAATACAAAGTCAAGAAACAGACCCCATTGTATATGAAATTTAGTATACGATGAAGGTGGCATCTCAAATCACTGGAGGTAAAGATGGACATTTTATTTTACCATTATTATTTTCTGAGATGGAGTCTTGCTCTGTCACCCAGGCTGGAGTGCAGTGGTGCTATCTCGGCTCACTGCAAGCTCCGCCTTCTGGGTTCACGCCATTCTCCTACCTCAGCCTCCCGAGAAGCTGGGACTACAGGTGCCCGCCACCACACCCGGCTAGTTTTTTGTATTTTTAGTAGAGACGGGGCTTCACCATGTTAGCCAGAATGGTCTCTATCTCCTGACCTCGTGATCTGCCCACCTCGGCCTCCCAAAGTGCTGGGATTACAGGTGTGAGCCACCACGCCCAGCCAAGATGGATATTTTAATACATGTTGTTGGAAAAGTTGTATAATCATTTGGAAAAGATAAAACTGAATCCATTTCACATAACATACCTAAGAGAAAAAACTCCACGTAGATTAAAAACCTAACTGTAAAAATGAAGTCATACAAATAGTAAAAGAAAACGTGCCAGTTTGCCTAAAACCTTCATGTAGAGAAATGATGACTCAAAACCACATGCAATAAAACATAACCTTGACTCAAAACTGAGAAAAAAGATTGAAATATAAGGTTGCATAAAAATAAAACTTTTTGCATGGTAAAAAACACCAGAAGGTCAAAAGACAACTGACAAACTGGAAGAAAAATTGCAATATATACTAATATATACTACAAAGGCCTAATACCTGTAATATATCAAGAACTCTAAAAGTTTAAGAACCAAAAAACCAAAACCTAATAGAAAAAGGGGAAAAAGAGTGAAGAGTTCACATAAAACATGTAAAAATAGCCCTCAAATATACGAACAGAAAATGCTCAAATTCATTCATGAGAGAAATGCAAACTAAAACACCATTTGTCATCTAATAGATTGGCAAACATTGAAAAACATTCTAACACATTATGTTAGAAAGCTAGGCTGAAATAGGCAGTCTCATATTTCTGATGGGAACACAAATGGGTACAAGTATTCTGGAGGAAAATTTGGCAATACCTAACAAAAGTTATATATACTTATCTTTAAAAGTTATAAGTTATATACTTATCTTCACAATTTTTTGACTTTTAAATAAGCTCACAGGAATTTCCAAAAATAGTACACTGTGCACTCTTCACCCAGCTTTTTCCAATAGTGACATCTTATATACCACCAGGAAACTGACACTGGTACAATATTGTTAACTACAGGCCTTATTCAGTTTTTATCAATTTTTACATGTATTTGTGTGTGTGTATGTAACTGCAACTGTTCCATTTCTACAAAGGAACTTTCTCATGATACCCTTTTATACTCATCCCCTCTCCACTGTCCCTGTCCCCTGGCAACCACTAATCAGTTCTCCATTTCTTAGTTTTGTTATCTCGGGAATATTACATAAATGAAATGTATGCACTGTGTAGCATGTAGCCTTTTGAGATTAGCTTTTAAAATTCAACACAATTCCCTTGAGATCAATCCAATTTGTTGCACATTTCATAGTTTCTCCCTCTTTTTCCTGAATAGTATGCCATGGTATGTACCACAGTTTAACTATAACTACTCATTCACCTATTGAAGGGTATCTGAGTTTTTTTTTTTTTTTCCAGTTTCTGGTTATTACAATTAAAGCTGCTAAGAACATTTACGTGTAAGTTTTTATGTGACCAAAAGTTTTCATTTCTCTAGGATAAATGCCCAGGAGTTCAACAGCTGCCTTTGGGATGTGCATGTTTAGTTTGTAGAGAAACTGTCAAACTGCTTTTCAGAGTGGCTGTACCATTTTATATTCTCACTAACAGCATATGATCCAGTTTATCCACACTCTCCCCAGCATTTGGTGTTAACAATATTTAAAAAAAAATTCTGTTATTCTGATAGGTGTGTGGTGATATCTCATATAGTTTTATTTTACATTTCTCTTATGGCTAACAATGTTGAACTTATTTTCATGTGCTTAGTTGCCATCTGCATATCCTCATTGGTGAAACATGTTTATGTCTTTAGCCCATTTTCTTTTCTTTCTTTTTTTTTAAGACGTCTCACTCTGTCGCCCAAGCTGGAGTGCAGTGGCACGATCTCAGTTCACTACAACCTGGGTTCAAGTGATTCTCTTGGAGCCTCAGCCTCCTGAGTAGCTGGGACTACAGGCATGTACCACCATGCCTGGGTAATTTTTGTTATTTTTAGTAGAGATGGGGTTTTACCATGTTGGCCAGGCTGGTCTCAAACTCCTGACCTCAAGTGATCTGCCCACCTCGGCCTCCCAAAGTGCTGGGATTACAGATGTAAGCCATGGCACCCAGCTCTCATTTTCTTTTTTTTTATTTTTTATTTATTTATTTATTTTATTATTATTATACTTTAAGTTTTAGGGTACATGTGCACAATGTGCAGGTTAGTTACATATGTATACATGTGCCATGCTGGTGTGCTGCACCCATTAACTCATCATTTAGCATTAGGTATATCTCCTAAAGCTATTGCTTCCCCCTCCCCCCACCCCACAACAGTCCCCAGAGTGTGATGTTCCTCTTCCTGTGTCCATGTGTTCTCATTGTTCAATTCCCACCTATGAGTGAGAATATGCGGTGTTTGGTTTTTTGTTCTTGCGATAGTTTACTGAGAATGATGATTTCCAATTTCATCCATGTCCCTACAAAGGACATGAACTCATCATTTTTTATGGCTGCATAGTATTCCATGGTGTATATGTGCCACATTTTCTTAATCCAGTCTATCATTGTTGGACATTTGGGTTGGTTCCAAGTCTTTGCTATTGTGAATAGTGCCGCAATAAACATACATGTGCTTGTGTCTTTATAGCAGCATGATTTGTAGTCCTTTCGGTATATACCCAGTAATGGGATGGCTGGGTCAAATGGTATTTCTAGTTCTAGATCCCTGAGGAATCGCCACACTGACTTCCACAATGGTTGAACTAGTTTACTGTCCCACCAACAGTGTAAAAGTGTTCCTATTTCTCCACATCCTCTCCAGCACCTGTTGTTTCCTGACTTTTTAATGATTGCCATTCTAACTGGTGTGAGATGGTATCTCATTGTGGTTTTGATTTGCATTTCTCTGAAAGCCAGTGATGGTGAGCATTTTTTCATGTGTTTTTTGGCTGCATAAATGTCTTCTTTTGAGACGTGTCTGTTCATGTCCAGCTCCCATTTTCTAACAGTATCATTTGTTTGTTTACTATTGAATTTTGAGACTTTCAAAATATATTCTCAGCTGGGCACGGTGGCTCATGCCTGTAATCTCAGCACTTTGGGAGGCCGAGGTGGGTGAATCACGAGGTCAGCAGTTTGAGATCAGCCTGGCCAACATGGTGAAACCCAGTCTCTACTAAAAATACAAAAATCAGCCAGGCATGGTGGCACGCATCTGTAATCCCAGCTACTTGGGAGGCTGAGGCAGGAGAATCACTTGAACCCAGGAGGCGGAGGTTGCAGTGAGCTGAGATTGTGCCACTGCACTCCAGCCTGTGTGACAGAGCAAGACTCTATCTCAGGGGGAAAAAAAAAAAAAAAAAAAAAAAAATATATATATATATATATAATATATATACATAAAATATATATTATACAAATATATTATATAATATATATAAACATATATATATAGGTTTCCAAATTTTCCCCTATTTTTTCCTAAAAGTTTTTTTGTTTAAATTCATGATTCATTTTGAATTAATTTTTGTATAAGGTGTCGGGTTTGGGTCAAAGTTTTTGTTTTTTTACTATGGCTGTTCAATTGCTCCAGCATCATTTGTTTAAAAACTAGCTTTCTTCCATAAAATTGCTTTTGTACCTTATAAAATCAATTGAACATATTAGTAGTGGTTTATTCCTGGATTCCCTCTGTTCCTTTGACCTATGTCTCTCTCCCTCCATCCAATAACATACTTTCTTAATTACTTGATTACTGTTAGTAAGTCTTAACATTAAGTAGAGTGAATCCTTTTACTTTACCCTATTCTTGTTTTCTTTTTTGAGACAGGGTCTCTATCTGTCACCCAGGCTGGAGTGCAGTGGTGCAATCACGGCTCATTGCAGCCTCTACCTCTGGGGCTCAAGTGATCCTCCCACAGCTACAAGTCCCAGTTAGCTGGGACTACAGGTGCGTGACATCATGCCCAGCTAATTTTTTGTAGAGATGGGGTTTCACCACGTTGCCCAGGCTGGCCTCGAACTCCTGGGCTTAAGTAATCTGCCTGCCTCTCCCTCCCAAAGTATTGTGATTACAGGTGTGAGCCACTGCACCCAGCCTATTCTTTTTTAAAAGTTGTCTTAGCTATTCTAGTCCTTTTACCTTTGCACATAAATTTTAGAATATACGTTTTTATACCTACAAAAAAATCTTGCCAGAGGGATTCTGATAGGAATTGAGTTAAACCAATGGATGAAATTTTGAAGCATTGACACCTTTATTAAGTCTCCCAACCCATGAATGTAGTATCTCTATTTATTTAATCTTTCAATTTCTTTTATCAGCATTTTGTAACTTCCAACATACAAGTTTAGCATGTGTTCAGTCAGATTTTTACTAATTTTTGTTTTTAGCCATTGTAAATTATATTGTTTTAAATGCTGGTTTCCCCAGTTCGTTTTCAGTATATAGAAATATGGTTGATTTTTGTGTTGATTTTTGTGCTGCAACCTTGCTGCACTCCTTAGTTCTAGGAGAGTGTTTTTTTTTTAAATTTTGGTACATTCCTTGGCATATATGCAGAAAATGTCATCTGCAAATACGGACAGTTTTATTTCTTCACTTCCAATCTGTATGCTAGCTATTTCCATTTCTTGCCTTACACTGGCTAAGATTTATCATAGTATGTTGAATAAGAGTGGTATCAGTGAACATCCTTGCCATGTTCCCAGTCTTAGGAAGAAGCATCCAGTCTTTCATCTAAATATAATATTTGCTGTAGGTTTCTTACAGATACTGTTTGTGAAGTTAAAGAATTTCTTCCTTTATTCATAATTTGCTGACTTTTAAAAATAATGCATGGATATTGAATTTTGTCAAATGCTTTTCTGTATTAATTGAATAATCATGTGGTTTTTCTTCTTATGTTGTAGATATGATGAATTACATTGATTTTCAAATATTGAACCATCTTTTCATTCTTGAAATAAACCCTGTTTGATAATGGTGTATAATTCTTTTTACAAATTCCTGGATTCAATATGGTAGTATTTTATTGATAATTTCTGCATCAAAGCTCAGGAGAGATAATACTAATTTGTAATTTTCTTTTCTTTTTTCTTTTTTTTTTTTGAGACAGACTTTCACTCGTTGTCCAGGCTGGAGTGCAATGGTTCAATCTCGGCTCACTGTAACCTCCGCCTCCTGGGTTCAAGTGATTCTCCTGCCTTAGCCTATCAAGTAGCTGGGATTACAGGCATGTGCCACCATGCCCAGCTAATTTTGTATTTTTAGTAGAGACGGGGTTTCACCATGTTAGTCAGGTTGGTCTTAAACTCCTGACCTCAGGTGATCCACCCACCTCGGCCTCTCAAAGTGCTGAGATTACAGGTGTGAGCCACCATGCCCGGCCGTAATTTGCTTTTCTTTTTTTTTTCTTTTTTTTTTTTTTTTTGGTATTCTCTGTGTCTGGTTTTGGAGGCTGGGTAACACTGGTATCAAAATATGCTGGTAAATGTTCCCTCATGTTTTCTGCAAGAGATCGTGTAAATCCATGCTGATTCTTCTTTGAATGACTGGTAGAATCGTCCAATGAAACTATCTGGCCCTTGAAATGTCTTTTTTGGAAGCTTTTAAATGATGGATTAAATTTCTTCCATAGTTGTAACACTATTTAGATGATCTAGTTCATATTGCATCAACTTTGTTTTTTTTTGTGGTTTTTAAGGACTTGCTCCTTTTCATCTATGTTGCTGAGTTTATGTCAAGTTGTTCAAGGCAATCCCTTATGATCGCTTTAATGGCTGCAGTAACTGTACTGATAACCCTGGTCTCATTCCTGGTATCGATAATTCATGTCTTCATGTCTGCTTTTTTTTTTAGTCTTGCTAGAGGCTTGTTAATTTTATTGATCTTTTCAAACAAACAGCTTTTTGTTTCATTGATTTACTTTTTGTTTTCAGCTTCATTGATTCATATTCTTAGCTTTATTGCCTTTCTTATGCTTACTTTGAGTTTATTTTGCTCTTATTTTTCCTTGTTTTGTGAGGTGGGAGCTTAGAATATTGTGTAATGGATTTTCCTCTCAGGATTGCTTTAACTGCATCCCCAAGTTGTGACATATTTTCATTTTTATTCAGTTCTAACAGTTCACTTAGTTTTGAAACTTTCTCTTCACACGTGGATTATAGAGAAATGTGTTGTTTAATTTCCAAGTGTTTGGAGATTTTCCTATTATACCTCCATTGTTGATTTCCAGTTTGATTCCATTACAGTCAAATAATGTACTCTGTATAGTTTTAATTGTTTTAAATTTTTTGAGGTTTATGATCCAGGATATGGTCTACCTTGGTGAATATTCCATAGATGCTTGAAAAGAATATGTATTCTGCTGTTTTGGGGTACAGTGTTCTATAAATGTCTATTAAACCCTGTTGATTGATGGAGGTGTTTAGTTCTATATCTTTGCTGATTTCCCAGTATTTCTATCAATTATTGAGAGAGGGATATTGAAGTCCCCAACTATAATTATAGAATTGTCCATTTCTCCTTTCAATTCAATAATTTTGTTTCATGTATTCTGAAGCTGTTTTTTGGTGCATATACTTTATAATTGCTATGTCTTCTTGGCATATTGATCATCTTATTATGTAGTGTCCCTCTTTGTACCTGTAGTTTTCCTTGCTCTAAAGTCTATTTAATTCGTTATTCATATAATCACTCATGCTCCTTTTAAAACTAATGTTTGCATGGCATATTGTTTCAACTACCTATATCCTTACAATGAAAGTTAATTTCTTGTCAGGGGCATATAGTTATACTTTTATATATATTCTGCCAACTGCAATCCTTTAATTAGTGTATTTATAACATTTACACAAACAGTATATGGATATCACTCTAAATAAATTCATAGAGAAATTCTTCATTTTTTAATGGCTGCAAAGTACTTCATTGTGTGAATATACTATATTATTCATCTACTGTATTGGTATTTAGATTGTTCCTAATATTTTGCAAGTATAAACAATGCTGCAATGAATAACCTTGGGTGTGCATATGTTTGTATTGATAGAGGTGTGTTTTCAGGGTACATTTGTAGAATTGGGATTGCTGAGTCAAAAGGTAAGTGCATTAGAGCAACAACTAAAAAATATATATCTACAAAGAGAGATACTCAAAAACTACAGTTAATCAGAATGGAATTCTAAAAAACGTTCAAGTAATCCCCACAGGAATATAGAAAAAGGTAAACAGGAGATAAACAAAAAGTAACTAATAAAGTTGCAGACTTAAGCTCCAACATTTCAATACCCACTTTAAATGTGAAAGTTTTAAAATAATCACTGAATGTTAAGAAATTTCCTAAGTTATAGGCACATATAAATTGTCACTAATGTCCTGAATATAAATGTTAAAATTCTTTCTAGCAGCCTTATCTTCTGTGAAAGTCTTTCAAATGAACTGTAAACTAGCTAATTAAAAATATAATCAAAATCAAAATATAAATGTGCATTAAAATTCATTTGACTATTTTGGGATGCTGAAGCAGGCAGATCACTTGAGCCCAGGAGTTCGAGACCAGACTGGGCAACATGTTGAAATCCTACCTCTGAAAAAAATACAAAAAAATATAGCTAGGGCACAATGGCACGTGCCTGTAGTCCCAGAGGGTTGGGAAGCTAAGGTAGGAGAATTTCTTGAGCCCAAGAGGTTGAGGCTGCAGTGAGCCATGAGCCATGATTGCACCACTGCACTCCAGCTTGGGAGACAGAGGGAGATACTGTCTCAAAGAAAAAAAAATAATTGCCTAGTGCAGAATAGGGTGATTATTTCAAAGAGTCAAGAAAATTCAAGTATAAAATAACATACTACTTTTTTTTCTTTTGCCTTGGAGCTGGGTTCACATGCTCAGTTATGATCTAAACTCCTTAACTATCCAGTTATTATCCTACTCTCTCAAAACTCTCTCCATCATCAAATAGGTCACCAACGTTAGTACCTCTTAAAGAATACTATATACAGTCATGCGTCGTTTGATGGCTATATGTCTTTTTTTTTTTGAGACAGAGTCTTGCTCTGTTGTCCAGAATGGAGTGCAGTGGCACGATCTTGGCTCACTGCCACCTCTGCTTTCCAGATTCAAGCAATTCTCCCACCTCAGCCTCCTGAGTAGCTGGGATTACAGGCGTGCACCACTACAACTGGCTGATTTTTCTATTTTTTGTAGAGATGAGGTTTCACATGTTGGCCAGGCTAGTCTCAAACTCCCAACCTCAGGTGATCCACCTGCCTCAGCCTCCCAAAGTACTGGGATTACAGGCATGAGCCACTGTACCCGGCTGGGGATATGTTCTCAGAAATGTGTCTTTATGTGATTTTATCTTTGTGTAATCATCATAAGGGTGTACTTACACAAACCTAGATGGTACAGCCTACTAATCACCTAGGCTATATGATATAGCCTATTGTTCCTAGGCTACCAACCTGCAAAGCATGTTATTGTACTGAATACTGTAGGCAACTGTAACACAAACTGTAGACTTTACAAATACTATATACTTAGGCTACACTTAATTTAGAAAAAAAGTTTCTCTTTCTTCAATATTAATTTTAACTTACTGTAACTTTACAAACTTTTTGACTCTTTTGTAACAACACCCAGCTTAAAACAGAAACACACTGTATATCTGTACAAAAGCATGTTCTCTATATCCTTATTCTATAAACTTTTTTCTATTTTTGAAAATTTTTATTTTTATCTTTTTACTTTGTAAACTGTTTTGTTAAAAACTAAGACACAAATACATGCATTAGCCTAGGCCTACAGAGAACAAGGATGATCAATATCACTGTCTTCCACCTCCACATCTTGTCTCCCTGGAAGGTCTATGGGTCAATCACAAGTATGGAGCTGTCATCTCCTATGACAATAATGCCTACTTCTGGAATACCTTCTGGAGGACCTGCCTGAATCTGTTTTACACTTAACTTTAAAAAAATATAAGTAGGAGTACACTCTAAAATAATAATAAAGTACAGTAAATACATAGACCAGTAACACTAATTTATTATCATTATCAAATGTTATGTACTGTACATAGTTGTATGTGCTATACTTTTATATGACTGGCAGCGCAGTAAGTTTGTTTACACTAGTATCACCACAAACATATGAGTAGTGCATTGTGCTCTGACATTATAACAGCTAAGATGTCACTAGGAGATAGGAATTTTTCAGCTCCATTATAATTTTATGGGATCACCATGGTATATGTGGTCCATCATTAACCAAAACATTATTATGGGGCACATAACTGTAATGGTTTGAAGTGGGAGCACAGAAAGGGGCAGAGGGTATAAAGATACAGTTTTCAAAGTTATATACTGTAAAATAGACTAAGAATATTCATGATTGTGTTGCTTGTGTTTGAAAGCACAATAGGGCAACTACAGTTAACAGAAATGTATAGCATATTTCAAATAACCAGAAGAGAAGCTCTGGAATGTCCCTAATACAAAGAAATGATAAATGTTTGAGGTGATGAATATCCCAGTTACCCTGATTTGATCATTATACATCGTATACATGTATCGTTAAAACTCATGTACTCTGTAAACATATACAACTATTACACATCAATAAAAAAAGTGAAAAGCTGGATTGTTCTGGGGTCTTCCTATATACTAACAGGATCTGCTGTCAATCATTGCATGAAGGGTGAAGTTCAGTAGCTATTCAGGGCACCAGATACTGCTATTCTCTTGAGCCTTGATGCATACACTTTCCCTGTGCTAACTGCTACTGAATCTGGTGCGAGATTAACATCTGTTAGTCATGTGAGCTCTCTGCCATAGCTGCCACTGCCCAAAATGGGAAAAGTTTTTCACATATCGCTCTGGGGAAGAATGAACTCAATGATTGGAAGACAACATCAATGCACCCTACTTAAAAACAAATTAGACTCCAGAACTACATGCTGGATGAATTATACTTTCCTTACAAAAATTTGTTTCCTAGGTAGTCCCCAAAATCTATTTAGCCTAAACAGTGTTACAATTTTCATGGAAAACATGAATATTGTTAATTATCAGTAATTAAATTAAAAAATCATAGAACTTGGAAAACTCAAATTAATTTCAATGTTAGTGATTGAAGGGAAGAAGTACTATTTAGAGCTGCAATTCTTTTAACTGTACCGAGGCATCTAGGGCACAATGGCAAACTCCCCAGGACACCATAGGTTAGTTTAAGCTTGTTAAATAAGCCTATGTTAAGGCTGACACCTGTCAGACACTGAACAAATGACTACTATTAACTTGTTTGGACCTAACTAGTTAATAAATGGGACAGTTAACATCTTTCTTTTGGCCTAGGGACACAGAACCAAGAAAGTTTGGGAACCTCTGCATTAGAAGATAATGAGAAATGAGATAAAAATAGCGATGGAAGCTCCATATTGGAGATTTCTGGGCATTCTGAAGGATTTCAGTAGTTGATTTGCTCTTTATCAAATCTAATTACATTTAAAAAGTTATGATTCATTTAAACACATAATTTATATCTTTTTTTCTATGTATGTTATACTTTGATTTTTTTTTTTTTTAAGTCATGGCCTTCCTTTTTCTTGGTGTAAGTACATTATGGTACCACTTGTATAATTGTTAGAGTTTTTTTTTCAGTTTTTATTTATTTATTTATTTATTTTTGAGACGGAGTCTCGCTCTGTCGCCCAGGTAGTGGTGCGATCTCGGCTCACTGCAACCTCTGCCTCCCAGATTCAAGTGATTCTCCTGCCTCAGTCTCCTGAGTAACTGGGATTACAGGCACGCGCTACCATGCTCAGCTAATTTTTGTATTTTTAGTAGATATGGGGTTTCACCATGTTGGTCAGGATGGTCTTGAACTCCTGACCTTGTGATCCGCCTGCCTCGGCCTTGCAAAGTGCTGGGATTACAGGCGTGAGCCACGGCGCCTGGCTTTTTTTTTTTTTAAAGGTCTTTGGAGGCCCACAAGCTGAATAGAGAAAGTAAATAAGGGAGGGGCACTAAAGTATTTTATTAAGCTAACAACAAAAAATGAGTCAAATAGAAAAACGCATTAAGGTAATTTGTACACATATAAGAGAGTACATTAGGTGTAATTAAGTGGTGAAACAGAAGATAAAAGACACTCTTTTTACACTTGATGAGCAGGACATTGAGAGGAAATGAAGTACTAAGAAAAATAAGGTGAGGCTGGCCACAGGCAGCTTGACTAAAGTAGGGCACAGCCAAGAGACAGGAGAAGGGTTTATGACAGGCCACTATCTAAATGTTTGGGCATACAAACAGTTATTAGAGCTTTGCCTTCAGCTTTTATAAGTCCCCACCAAGACACATATATTTTGGCTTAAATAATAATGATTTTTCTCACCTCGATTTCATTTCCAGAACTGCAGTTATTTCTTGTTTGGAAGCTTGTACTTGGTATAAAAGCTTAACAATATAGTTAAAGTGCTCTGGGTCAAGCACCATCCCGGCTTCAACAAGCTGTAGAAGAGAAAAGAAAGAGTGGTTATTCTTACAAAAATGTGACAGAATTGAGGAGCCAATGTGTGTGAAACAACTAAGACACTAATGGAAGAAGTGAAACATGGAGACAAGTGGAATAAAACTCATTTAAAAAAATTGAGGCACAGAACCACAAAAAGATATCCTAAGAATTTAAAGCAAAAATGAAAATATTAAGTTTTTGGATTTTCTTCCTGCTCTCTAAGTTATCTCAACCACTTTATCATATATACCTCTTATTTAGTACTCAGTCTGTCTTCTAATCTAGGACTGGTATTCATACCTCATCCCTGATTATAAACTTCCTGAGAAGTATTGTTCCTGTGCCTCACATAGGGCCATGGCCAGAGAAGAATCAGTGATTCCTTGATAAATTAATCACTCAGGTGGACCAACTGCCCACATGTAACATAGCACGTAATTAAAAAAATACCAATTCAAAGGCTTTATCTGTCATTCACATATGACTCATTTCCTGTCTTCTTCATGAGCCTCAACGCTAATGAAGAGAACCAACAAGGGAATATCTGGACACTTCTAGTGTGAGAATAGATGAATGAGAGGCAGGCCTTTTCTGACAGCTCTTCTACATGACATTATCCTGGAAACGTGGGAAGATACAAGGTTGTGAGCTGGCAGTCT
Organism: Homo sapiens; assembly: GCF_000001405.40. NCBI lineage: Eukaryota > Metazoa > Chordata > Mammalia > Primates > Hominidae > Homo > Homo sapiens. Next base: position 44,290,107 of record NC_000003.12, on the reverse strand, counting down.
TATTAGTTGCCCCAGCTCAAATGATCCTCTTGACCTTGGTTCAAAGGTATAATGACTAGGTCCTCCAATACCTCCATAATACTTCAAAGGTATTATGACTAGCTACCCTGGACAAGGATTTAGAGAGTTAAGAATGACTCAACTGAGTGGTGTTTGAAATTCTCTGAGCAATATTTTTGCTGAGAATTTTATTTGGTTCTATTCTGGTTTTCAGAAAAATTCCCCTTTTAAGAAATTACTTAAATATCAAAATATATTTTGAATGTTTGGGAGAATGTATGCTTTGTCTCCAGTATAGATCTGAAGGGAGTACTAGGAAATAAGAATTTGGGGTAGGATAACAAAACAATACCAGGGGTAAGTGGAGAAGCTACCTGTTTCAAGGTATAATGTGAGATGCTGTAATTTGGCTGTTAGAACTCACAATTATATATTTTGAGATAGAATTTCTTTTAGTGAAGGACAATAGTAACAAGCTGCTGAGAGATTTTCCCCACCTTTGAACTCCAAGGAAAATTGTCTCAAATTTAGTGGTACTCGGCCCCTTTTGAATGGGTCCTAGAAATGCTACCCTAAGACACGTTATTCAACAACTTTAACTAAAAATAGTTTTGGTAAAAAAAAATCCTGTAAAAATGACTATTTAAAGCCTGTTCTAAAGATTAGGCTCTAATCCTTAAGCTCTATTAGCTCCTCTAGATTCAAAGCATGCTCAATTTTATTTTAAAAGAGGAAAACAGCTCCTCTCCTAAACCTACCAATCCACTACCTTAACAAATAGTTTTCCAAACATCATGAAGTAAAGGACTGGACATCATGATTTTTTTACTGTTACGCTCTACAACATTTGAAAGGGTCACTGGTGGTCTAACTGTATTCACTGACCTTGCAACGACTTTTGACTAAATGAACAAGGCCAACTATAAACAAACCTGCAAGAGAACAAATCAGTTATCTGGTAACTGACATGCCTTAAAAACTCTGCCCTTTAACACTGCTCAAAGACCAGGGTAAATATAAATTGTAACAGACTAGGTAACAATCTAAGGCAGGACAAAAATGTTAATTATCTTTTCTCAGTGATATTTTTGTTAAATACATGGAGTATGGTACACTGCTAGAATAAAGAGGAGGAAAAGCATCTTTCTCCATGATGATATTATGGTGTTATTACTGAACCCTGAAATAGTCTTAACAGGGAAATTGGCACTGGTTTTAAACAACTTCCAGAAATGATGGCTCCATATTAGCCATGCAAAAATGAAAATCATTGTCTTTGTTAGATATTCTCCACTAAGGGTAATTTTATTTAGACAGTCACTGCGGGGTACATTTTGCAGAAAGCCAAGTTATTCAGTATCAGACAATTTATGGAATCCTTACTGAGATTTTCTACAACCTCTACGGGTTATCAGTAACTTTTTATTTTTTGAGATGGAGTTTTGCCCTGTTGCCTAGGTTATGGCACAATCTTGGCTCACTGCAACCTCCGCCTCCCAGGTTCAAGCAATTCTCCTGACTCAGCCTCCTGAGTGGCTGGGATTATAGGAGTGCGCCACCATGCCCGGCTAATTTTTTGTGTGTTTTTAGTAGAGATGGGGTTTCACCATGTTGGTCAGGCTGGTCTTGAACTCCTGACCCTGTGATCTGCCTGCTTCAGCCTCCCAAAGTGTTAGGATTACAGGCGTGAGCCACCACGCCTGGCAATCAGTAACTTTTGATTCCAAACATCTCTAGGCAAGCAATTGTCAAGTTTTGTAATGTGAAATCTGAGGTATTCACTCACATATCTGTTCTTCTGCTTGAGTTCTTCCAATGTTGCTTCTGAAAGAAAACTGGCAGTTTTCCTATCAGGCCTATTCTGAAGTAGACGATTGAGTAGTATCAAATACTAGGAAGTATTTAACAAAAGTTGAATTTTATATTTTTGTAAGTCTTTTTTGGTTTGTTTATTTCTGTTGTAAATGATCTCAAGTCTTTTAGAGAAAGAAAATTTTATTTAATCATCCTTACGGAGTAGAGACGAAGACAATTCATACATCAAAAAGCAATAATCTGAGTGTCTGAAACTATTTAAGAGGAAGGCTTATCAGCCACTGGATTCTTTTTTTATAAACCCTATTTCAAGAGAAAAAGAATACTTCTGGAAATAGAATTCTTTGGCATCCAGAATGTGAATAAAAGGCAGCTCAAGGGTACCCCCCCATGGAAACAATTATTTTCTTGGTTACTCGCCATCAGAGAATAAAAGAGAAAATAAAACCATACCTTGCAAAAGATATCAATTAAAGCAGGTACAGCATTCCTTAATTTCATAGTTGCCACATACTCAAATATGTTTAGTAATATTTTCAGAGAAGGCTGGATAAAACAAAAAAATTACACTCATTTTCAGATCTTCTTTTAGTACACCTTAAATTTCTCAAATTCATTTATGTTGAAAAACACAAGTGGTTTCTAGGAAGTATTCAACAAATACAGAAATTCAACTGCTAAGTTCAAACAATGAATATGACAGAGAAATTAACATAAAATATTAAAATAACATATATTTTCAGGCTACTTACCAGCATTTTAACCATTATGCTGAGGTTCACTATCTGAAATACTTCTTTCAACAAACAATGTTTGAGTAAAGAATTTAGAAGGTCATTTAGCACTTGTAAATCAAAGTATACACCTGGGGGAAACTTTCTGTAGTACTCCATAAATATGTTTACTGAAAATGAAAATATATATACTAAAGTCATTTGCTGCTTCAGATATCTGTATTTCTTAAATTTGATAATTTTTCTATATATAAAGATAAAATAATATGAATTCAATGTAAATTCTTGAAAGGTACAGTTCTAGTATTAGAAAGAGTAGATGAAAATTAAAGCAAAAGTCAAAATGGCAATAATATTTGAAGTCAACCAAGCATGCTCAGCATGAAGTAACCCATGTGCTACCTGCAAAGAATAGGTCCAAACTGCCATTCCCATACATCATAGCGTCAATATGAGCTCCTACAGAGTCAAGCTCCCAGGCAGTCTTGAGGCAGTAGCCTTGGTACATATGCAAGGTTATATAGTTTGGTGATGGATGCAGACTGTTTTGACACATACCCATGCTTGTTGCTTTAAACCCACCAACATGTTGACATTATTTTTAACTTCTCCCTGCCTTGTCATGGATGGGGATATTTTTTATTTCAGTTTGTGATTGTGGAACATTCTACTAAAAATTACAACAATGCTGATTAGTTTTCTTTGAGAAAGTACTTCCTTCATGCCCATCCAAATCCTTAATTTTCTATGTAACATGATGTTTCCAATTTTTCCCCATTAATTTTACTAAAATTATTTACATTAGGATTCTTTCATTGATCATTTTTTTCTTCATTCCAAAATTTCCCAGGTTAAAATCTGTATACCTTAACTGCCTTAGTAAAAATACTTTTGGTTTTATTTTGTGTTAATTACTTCTATTAGAAATATTTATTACTAGCTGGATTACCTGGTATTGTTTAGGAAAGCCAGTAGCTACTGACAAAGTTCAGTGGCACAAATGAAAAATTAATGTTAAAGTTTTAATAATTTTTAAAACTTTAATAATATGGTATAACAATATTCAAATTTCTTGTAAAGCTTTTTTATATACTACAATTATTTTCCCTGGACACATACAGATAAATTCTTGCTGCTATACTTTTGGCAGTATTTATATAGTCGCCTATACAGAAGCTGATCAACTGATAAAACGGTAAACTCAGTGTTATTATAGCTTATTAATAAAACTGAAATTGCAGACATTCAAAAAGGTGCAGTTAATCTATGTTAGCCAGTGTGTAAATAGTCCACTAATTGACATGAAACCTTTCTCCTTTTTGTCATTAAGTTATTTATTTTTTTGAGACAGAGTATCGCTCTGTCACCCAGGCTGGAGTGCAGTGGCATGATCTCAGCTCACTGCAACCTCTGCCTTCCAGGTTCAAACGACTCTCTTGCCTCAGTCTCCAGAGTAGCTGGGATTACAAGCATGCACCACCAAACCTGGTTAGGTTTTTTTTTTGCATTTTTAGTAGAGACGGCGTTTCACCATGTGGGCCAGGCTGGTCTTGAACTTCTGACCTCAGGTGATCTGCCCGCCTTGGCCTCCCAAAGTGCTGGAATTATAGGCATGAGCCACTGCACCTGGCCTCATTAAGTTATTTTTAAACTGTTAATATATTATCTGCATTGAAAATAATGATCCTCTCGGCCAGGCGTGGTGGCTCGCACCTGTAATTCCAGCACTTTGGGAGGCTGTGGGCGGATCACCTGAGGTCAAGAGTTCGAGACCAGCCTGGCCAACAGGGTGAGACCTTGTCTCTGCTAAAAATACAAAAATTAGCCAGGCATGGTGGCACAGGCCTGTAGTCACAGCTACTCAGGGAGACTGAGGCAGGAGAATCGCTTGAACCCAGGAGGCGGAGGTTGCAGTGAGCCAAGATCGTGCGACTGCACTCCAGCCTGGGCGACCGGGGAAGACTCCGTCTCAAAAAATCAAAAACAAATAATGATACCTTCTTGTTAAACTGTTGGGTGGAAACTGTCTGAACATTTTAATACATTTTGACACAAACTACTGCATTGTCTTTTATTTTATTTATTTATTTTTGAGACACGGTCTTGCTCTGTCACCCAGTGCTGGAGTGCAGTGTTGTGATCTCGGCTCACTGCAACCTCTGCCTCCTGGGCTTGAGCGATCTTCCCACCTCAGCCTCCCAAGCAGTTGGGACTATAGGTGTGCTCCACCATGCCTGGCTAATTTTTTAAATTTATTTTTATAGAGATGGGGTTTCGCCATTTTGCCCAGGCTGGTCTAAACTCCTGGGCTCAAGCAATCCACCCACCTCAGGCTCCCAGAGTGCTGAGATTACAGGTGTGAGCCACTGTACCCAGCCTACATTGCTTTTTAAAAAGGGTTGTCAATTCATAACGCTACTTTACCAATTACTCACCAGAATCAGGTATTTTTACTCCTTTCTTTGGTTAGGAATGCATAATTCTAGTGAATCATTAACCACTGGATTTTCCTCTTGAAATGTTTCTAATTTTCACAAGAAGAAACAATATTCATGTCTTTCTAAATAGCTGATTGGACTCATTATTCTTATATATTGGAATAGTTTTGTATATTACCAGTGGTAAATCTAAAATATTGAAGATAATAGCTTTTTAGTTCAAATTTATGTGATCATATTTATATCTTTTATACTCCCTTTGATTACTTTAAACCACAGAAATTGTCATCTTTCTAAAAATCTGATTTAAAAGAAAAGACTTTTTTCTACTGAATTGCTAATTGCTATACTTCATTGATTCATTCTGGTATATGCTAAATAGCAGTTGTTTTAAAATGTTTTTGGCCATAAAACTTCTGGAAAGGGAAATTTTATGTGGAAATTCAAATATAAAACAGATAAAACAGGACCTATAGTTTTACTCTTAGGTATATACCCGAAAGAACTGAAAGCAAGGACTCAAGTAGATACTTGTATGTCAAAGTTCATGGCAACATTACTCTAATACCCAAAAGGAGAAAACAACCCAAGCGTCCATCAACAGATGAATATATAAACAAAATGTGGTATGTACATACAACAGGATATTATTCAGCCTTTAAAAGGAAGGAAATTCTGATACACGTTACAATATGGATAAACCTTGAGGACATTATGCTAAGTGAAATAATCCAGACACAAAAGGACAAATATTGTATAATTTTACTTATATGAAATACCTAGAATAGACAAATTCATAGAGCCAGAAAGTAGATTAGAGGTTATCAAGGGCTGAGAATGAGGGTAATGAGGAGTTATTGTTTAATGCATACGGCATTTCTGTTTGGAATGAGAAAGTTCTGGGAATGGATAATGGTGATGGTTACACAACATTGAATGTACTTAATATGCCAGTGAATCGTACACTTAAAAATGTTTAAAATGGTAAATTTTATGTATATTTTATCACATACATACTCCCAAAATGTCCAAGACAGACGGTGGAAATGTTCTAGATTAAAGGAGGCTAAAGAATCATGACAACTAAATGCACACCTGATCCTGGACTGGATCCTAAACTAGAGGGAAAAATGCTATAAAACGCCATAATTGGGTCAAGTGACAAAATTTGAATATAAATAATAAATTAGACAAAACTACTGTACTCATGTTAAATTTACTAATGTGGATAAATGTACCATGGTTATATAAAAGGATAGCCTGTTTTTCGGAAATATGCATTAAACTATTTGGTGGTAAAGGGCCATGATGCGTGCAACTTAACTTCAAGTGGTTCAGGGAAAAATGTGTGTGCGTGTAAGGCCATGCACATATGTGCACACGTGTGTGTACACACACATATATGGAAGGAAGGAGAGAGAGAACAAATGAAAATGATAAAGGATATGCCTCTTGTTTGTATTATTTCCATTTTCACAGATTTTTGTAAATTTAAAATTTCTAAATAAAAACTTAAAATTTAAAAACTTCTCAAAAGAATTTTATGTGGAAATTCAAATATAAAATAGATAAACAAGAAACTATGGTTAAACAGGGGGTGGGGGAGTCCACTGACTCAGCTTCTTCCTCTTGTGCACCAAAATGGTTCCTGAGGCCTCTCTGTAGAGCCTGAGTAGCTAAATCCATAACTTATTTATACCAGTGGTATTCAGAGCCTCTTTAAGTTGCTATCTAGTTATCTTATCATTCTTAAAGTGATTCCTCTTGTCTCAAATCCTATGGTCTTTCTAAACACTAAACCCCTCATATGTATCAGGTCTATTCTGAGCTATCTATTATTTCCCACTGATCTAAGTTTTTATTTTTACACCAAAAAATTTCCACAGGTTCTTGACAACTTTCTACATTTATTCTACAGGTGCTACATTTATGCTACAGGTGCTTATTTTTGTTCTGCATTCATTGTTTTAAAGCAAAATTCAGAAGTATTTTTCCTGTGGCCATATTGGATCTTTATACAGTCAGACTTATATTTTTGGGAGTTTTGCATCCTTTTCATGACATCCTTTTTCCTTCCACATCTCATGTTATGGAATTATTTCTGGAATTTAAAAGTTCATCCATATCTAACCTATATAGTTCCTCCTCCTTGGCTATCAAAATCCCTCAGGTCACAAGTATACTCCCATATAGGTATCTATTACTTCACCTTAACTACTACTTCTTTGTTATAGTTATATTAAGTTCAGACTAGCAATTCCATTAGGTGTTTCCTTTAATCCTTGGGGAGAATGATATTACCAGCAAAACAAAACAATAAACCTGTCAGAGACTTTTTTTTTAGCAGAATGAGATCTCAAGCAGAAATATATGAAGTGAAAGTGCTCTATTACCACATCTACTATGTGGCTTTGGTGGTTGTGTCAGGGTGACAAATATAAATAAATTAAGCATGGTGTCTATCTTCTTGCAGCTCACTATTAGTATGGGGAGAAGGTGGCAAAGAATGGGATGGGGTTGTGGAATCAGATAAGGGCCTAATAGAGGAGGTAATCCTATTTCCTACGACCTAGCCCTGAAGGCCGAATAGCCTTTCCTTTGCCATGAGGAAATGGGATGGAACCAGAGGCATCTCTGACAGAGAGAAGTGGTAATAGTAGCCTTGAAGTTTGAACACAGCCTGGCATGTATAGGGAACTGCACAGAACTTACTGGATGGTACACTGGCTACAAGAGGTAAATGTAAAAAGAGAAGAAGGATGAAGAAGTAGGAAAGAGTCAGCTTCTGAAAAATCCCTTTAGATAGAGTTAAAGACTAATTAACAATACCATTTTCTCCATCTTACACTTATAAATAAAATTTGTAAGTCATGAAAACATTAATGTGTAAGGGAATGACAGTGTTAGGTAGATTATCATTTTTTTATTAACCAAAATATCTCATTTATTTTCAATCCTTTCTTAGGCCAACAGAGCTACTCTTGGGTAAGGCATTCAGTTTTCAAACTTACAAATTATTGAATTTACTTTTAAACTATTTTCAAACAACACATTAATAGCTTCATACTAATTATTTAATTGTTTCATACCTGCACGCTGTAGCAAACACAGTTCATTGATATTTATATATTTCTTAAACACATCCATGCAAACCTGCAAAAGTCACGAAAAATGTAAAACTACCTTTTTTAAATATTCTGTAAGAACTATACACATTTCAATCCTATCTTTTTGCTTATATTGAAATTTTTAAATGATCTCAAAGGATTGGAATAAAGAAGCTGATGTTTGGTTAACTCACAGATTTGAAGTACATATTGAATTCATTACAAAAATCTTATGTTATTTTTTAAATAACCATTTGCTGGTGCAAGGATAAACACATTGACCAATGTATTAGAACAGAGATCCCAGAAACAGACCCACTTATATACAGTCAGCTGATTTATAACATGGTATCACTGTAGTGTAGCGGGGAAAAGATGGTCTTTTTGATAAATGGTAATGTGTCACCTGAAGATCCACATGGGAAAAAATTGTATCTTGATTCTCTTCTTATATCATAAACAAAAATCAATTCTAGCTGATTTGATTCTGCAAAAGGTAAAACAAACTTTTAAAGGAAAAACATAGAACATTTTCATGATCTTGGCAAAGATCTTCAACAGGATGCAAAAAGTCAATATTACAAAAGAAAATGAAATATTGGACTATAAAAATGAAGAAATTCTATTTCTCAAAAGATACTTTTAAGAGGGTGAAAAGGGGTTTCTGACTACCATAGCATTGCAGTGGGTATTAAATGCCTGAAGACCTGGCCTTGGACCAGCCACTTCAGTGGAGAAGTGATGGCATGGTGAGCCAAATGGATGAATGCAGTTCAGTGGGATTTTGCTAGAAAGTAGAAGAAAATGCATTTGCTTAGTTTGCTTGTCTTATACAGAGAAAGAATCTCATCAGGGTTAAAACCTACTAGTGGAGTTAGAGAGGCTCCCTAATACAGGGAAAGTGTAAATGAGAGACCCCCAGTGGTCCACACTCCGGCTGCAGACTCCTATAATCCTAGCCATGACAGAGTCCCTTGGCCCTTGTGGGTCCTGAGACTAATGTAGGGGGTTGCCTGGAAAAGCACTGCTCCAGAGAGGAAGAGCTCATGCTCAGTCCCACAAATTCCTCAGTCCTAAGTAGCTGCTAAAAAAGCTGCTAATTAACAACACCCTGGTGCCATTTTGGGAGCCCAGCCCCCACAGATTGTAACCCTGCCCTGGGGCCCAATGGAAAATCCCTGGAGCCCCACTGACATTCCTGGCCTGCAGCTGCTGCTGCCAGGGCTAAGGTGGGAGCCAATGGCAGTGACTCAGCGCCCCCACCAGAACCAGAAAGATGGCTACACATTTTCACACGCCAGAAGGACAAATTCTACTATTTGCAACCATCACTGCTGTGGGCTGCTAAAATAACTTTTGAAAAAGAAGAACAGGCTGGGTACAGCAGCTCATGCCTGTAATCTCAGCACCCACCAAGGCGGGTGGATTGCTTGAGTCTAGGAGTTCGAGACCAGCCTGGGCAACATGGTGAAATCTCAACTCTACTAAAAATAGAAAAATTAACTGGACATGGTGACATGCCTGTAGTCCCAGCTACTTGGGAGGCTGAGGTGGGAGGATCACGTGAGCCCAGGAGGCAGAAGCTGCAGCGAGCTGAGATCACACCACTGCACTCCAGCCTGGGCAACAGAGAAAGACCCGGTCTCAAAAAAATAAAAGAAGAAAAAGAAAAGAAAAGAAAGAAAAGGAAAGGAAAGGGAAAAAAAAGAAAGGAAAGGAAAGAAAAGGAAAGGAAAGGAAAAAAAAAAGCATCTAGTCACTTATAAAGAAATCTCCATCAGACTAACAGTGGATTTCTCAGCAGAAACCTTACAGACCAGGAGAGAATAGGATGAAGTATCTAAAGTGTGCTAAAAGAAAATATGGATATTATACTCAGCAAAGTTTGCCTTCATAAATAAAGAGAAATAAAGTCTTTCCCAGACAAGCAAAAGCTGAGGGAGTTCATCACCACTACACCAGCCCTACAAGAAATACTTAAGGGAATCCTACACCTAGAAGTGAAAAGAATGATATCTACCATGATGTAAATATAAACACTACTGATAAAGCAGAGCATACAAACAAGAAAGAGAAAAGAATCAAATGTTAGCACTACAGATAGGCAATAAGAGAGAAAGAAAGGAACAAAGGATATACAAAACAACCAGTTATCAATTAATAAGATGACAGGAATAAGCCCTCACACATCAATAATAACCTTGAATGTAAAGGAGTTAAACTTTCCACTTAAAAGATATAGATTGGCTAAATGGATTAAACAAACATGATCCAATGATATGCTACTTACCAGAAACTCATCTCACCTGTAAAGACACATATAGATTGAAAGTAAAGGGATGGAAAAAGATATTCCATGCAAACAAAAGCCAAAAGCAAGCAGGAGCAGCTATACTTATCAGATAAAACAGACTTTAAGTAAAAAAATAACAAAAAAGATAAAGTCATTATTTAAAGACAAATGGATCAATTCAGCAACAGGATATAACAACTTAAAACACATGCATCTATCAATGCAGCACCAAGACACATAAAGCATATATTATTACATCTAAAGGGAGGGACAGACTCCAATACAATAATAGTTGGAGATTTAAACACCCTACTCTCAGCATTAGACAGAACATCTAGACAGAAAATTAACAAACAAACATTAGTTTTAAACTGCACATTAAATCAAAGGACCTAACAGACATTTACAGAACATTTCATCCAACAGCTACAGAACACACATTCTTCTCATCAGCACATGGAACATTTTTTAGACCATATGTTAGAATACAAAACGAACCAGCAATTTAAAAAATCAAAATCATATCAAGTATCTTCTCAGATACAATAAAATAGAACTAGAAATCAATAACATGAGGAACTCTGGAAACTGTGCAAATACATGGAAACTAAACAACCTGCTCCTGAATGACCATCGGGTCAAGAAAGAAATTAAGAAGAAAATGCAAAAATTTCTTGAAGCAAATGAGAAAACAAAATACCAAAATATATGCGATATAGCAACAACTATTCTAAAAGGGAAGTTTATAGCATTAAATGCCTATGTTAAAAAAGTAGAAAGATTTCAAATAATCACTCTAACAATGCATCTCAAGAAACTAGGAAAGCAAGAAGAAACCAAACCCAAAACTAGTAGAAGGAAAGAAATAAGATCAGAGTGGGGCTGAAAAAAATAGAGACAAAAAAAAAAAAGGAGGATCAACACAATGAAAAGTTGGTTTCTCAAAATGATAAACAAAATTGATAAACTGCTAGCTAAACTAACCAAGAAAAAGAAAAGACCCAAATAAAATCTGAAATGAAAAAGCAGACTTTACAATGGATACTATGAAAATATAAAAAGATCATCAGAGACGATTATGAACAACTAACTATACATGAAAAAGTAGAAAATCTAGAGGAAATGGAATAAATTCCTGGACACATACAGCCTACTGAGATTGAATTAGGAAGAAACAGAAAACTTGAACAGACCAAAAACAAGTAATGAGATTGCATCAGGACCAGATGACTTCATTGCTGAATTCCAAACTTTCGAAGAAGAACTAATACCAATTTTCCTCAAACTATTCCAAAAAATGGAAGAGAAAGGAATTGTCCCTAACTCATTCTGTGATGCCAGCATTACCCTGATAACAAAACCAGACAAGGCTACAACAACAGTAAAAACTATAGGTCAATACCCCTGATAAACTCAGACTCAAAAATTCTCAACAAAATATTAGCAAACCGAATCTAGCAGCACATAAAAAAAATACATCATGATCAAGTGGGATTTATTCTAGGAATGTAAGTTTGGCACAACACACACAAATAAATAAACATGATATATCACATTAACAGAATGAAGGACAAAAACCATATGATCATCTCAATAAATGCAGACAAAGCATTTAATAAAATTCAATATCCCTTCATGATAAAAATCTCAATAAACTAGGCAAAGGAGGAATACACCTCAATATAGTAAAGGCCATTGTATTATTAGGTCATTCTTGCATTGCTATAAAGAAATATCTGAGACTGGGTAATTTACAAAGAAAAGATGTTTAATTGGCCCATGGTTCTGCAGGCTTTACAGGAAGCATGGTGCTGGCATCTGCTCAGCTTCTAGGGAGGCCTGAGGAAGTTTACAATCATGGCAGAAGGTGAAGGTGGAGCAGGCACATCACATGGTGAAAGCAGGAACAAGAGAGCAAGAGAGAGTGGAGCGGAAGGTGCCACACACTTTTATATGACCAGATCTCATGAGAACTCACTCACTATAGTGAAAAAAGCACCATGCCATGAAGGATCCACCCCCATCACCCAAACACCTTCCACCAGGCCCCACCTTTAGGATTGCAGATTACAGTTCAATGTGAGATATGGGCAGGGACAAATATCCAAACTCTATCAGCCATATAAGGCAAACCTGCAGCTAACATCATACTGAATGACCAAGACAAGGATGCCTACTTTCACCACTCCTATTCAACATAGTACCAGAAGTCCTGGCCAGAGCAAGCAGGCAAGAGAAAGAAATAAAAGGCATCCAAGTTGGAGAAGTCAAATTGTCACTCTTTGCTAATTATATGATTTTATATTTAAAAATAACCAAAGAATACACCAGAAAACTCTTAGATGTGATGAATAAATCAGTAAAGTTGCAGGATACAAAATCAAAACACAAAAATTAATAGTGTTTCTATACACCAATAATGAACTAGCTGAGAGAGAAATCAAGAAGGTATTCCCATTTATAAAAGTTACAAAAAAATACTTAGGAATAAATTTACCCAATGAGGTAAAAGATCTCTACAAGGAAACCACAAGGCACTGATGAAAGAGACTGAAGAGGACACAAACAAATGGAAAGACATCCCAAGCTTATAAATTAGAAGGATTAATGTCATTAAAATGACCATACTGGGCCAGGTGTGGTGGCTCATGCCTGTAATCCCAGCACTTTGGGAGGCTGAGGCAGGCAGATCATGAAGTCAGGAGAGCGAGACCATCCTGGCCAACATGGTGAAATCCCGTCTCTACTAAAAATACAAAAAAATTAGCTGGGCGTGGTGACATATGGCTGTAGTCCCAGCTACTCAGGAGGCTGAGGCAGGAGAGTAGCTTGAACCCAGGAGGCGGAGGGTGCAGTGAGCCGAGATCTCGCCACTGTACTCCAGCCTGGCGACAGAGCCAGACTCCGTCTAAAAAAAACCAAAAAAACAAAAAAGCTGCCCAAAGCAATCTACAGATTCAATGTAATCTCTATTAAAATACCAATGTCATTTTTCACAGACATAGAAAAACAACCCTAAAATTCACATGGAACCAAAAAAGAGCCAGAATAGGCCAAGCAATTCTGGAAAAAAAAAAAAAAAAAAAAAAAAAAAAAGAACAAAGCTGGAGGCATTAAACTACCTCACTTCAAAATACATTATAAGGATACAGTAAACAAAAAAGCATGGTATTGATATAAAAACAGACCTATAGACCAATGGAATAGAACAGAGAATCCAGAAGTAAATTTACCTATTTACAGCCAAATGATTTTTGACAAAGGCGCCAAGAACATACATTAAGGAAAGGACCCTCTTCAATAAGTGGTGCTGGGAAAATTAAGATATCCATATTCAGAAGAATGAAACTGGACCCCTATCTCTCACCATACACAAAATCAACTCAAGATGGATTAAAACTTAACACCTAAAACCATAGGAGAAAACATAGGGGAGATACTATAGGACATTGGTCTAGGCAAAGATTTTATGGCAAAAACTGCAAAAGCACAGGCAACAAAACAAAAAATAAGACAAATGGGACTATATTAAACCAAAAAGCTTCTGCACAGCAAACACAGTGAAGAGAACCTGTTGAATGAAAGAAAATATTTGCAAACTATTCATGTGACAAAGGACTAATATCCAGAATATACAAGGAACTCAAACAATTCAACAGCAAAAAAAGCAAATAATCTCATTAAAAAGTGGGCAAAGGACATGAACAGACATTTCTCAAGAGAAGACATACAAATGGCTAACAGGTATATGAAAGAATGCTCAACATTACTACATATCAGGGAAATGCAAATCTAAACCACAGTAAGGTATCATCTTACCCCAGTTAGAGTGCCTATCACTAAGAAGACAGAAAATAACAAATGTTGGTGAGGATGCAGAGAAAAAAGAACTTTTATACACTGTTGGTGGGAATGTAAATTAGCGCAGCCTCTGTGGAAAACAGTATGGAGATTTCTTAAAAAACTAAAAGTAAAACTACCATATGATTTAGCAATCCCACTACTGGGTATTTATCCAAAGAAAAAAAAATTAGTAAATTAAAGGGATACCTGTACTCACATGTTTATTCCAGCACTATTCACAATAGCAAAGATATGGAATCAACCCAAGAGTCCATCAATAGATCAATGAATAAAGAAAATGTGGTATATATACACAATGGAATATTATTTGGTCATAAAAAAGAATGAAATCATGTAGTCTGCAGCAATATGGATGAACTGGAGGTCAGTATGTTAAGTGGTAACAAGGAGGCACAAAGACACATATACCATATTCTCACTCTTACGTGGGAGCTAAAGAAGTTGATTTCATTGAGGTAGACAGTAGAATGATAGAAACAGAGGCTGGGAAGAATGTGTAGGTAGGAGGGGGAAAAAGAGTGGTTGGTCAAATAGTATAAACATACAGTTGGAAGGTATAAGTTCTAATGTTTGATAGCAGTGTAGGATGACTATAGTTAGCAACAATGTATTGTGTATTTCAAAGTAGCTAGAAGAATTTGAAATGTTCCCAACTCATAGAAATGTTAAACACTCAAGGTGATGGATACACCAAATACCCTGACTTGATTGATCATTATGATCTTGATTCACAATATTTTACATATTTATGGGGTATATGTGGTATTTTGTTACATCTATGCATGTAAACTGTATGGATGTATAATAATAAATTTTATGTATTTATGGGGTATGGGATATTTTGCCACATGCATAGATGTACAAAATATCACACACATAGATGTAACAAAATATCACATATACCCCATAAATATGTAAAATATTATGAATCAAGAGCAATTAAAAAAAAACCTACCAGTGGAGGTACAAAATAAGAACTGTCATCTCTCACTTAAAAGAATTAAAGGCGGCCGGGTGCAATGGCTCTGTAATCCCAGCACTTTGGGAGGCTGAGGCAGGCAGATCACCTGAGGTCGGGAGTTCAAGACCAGCCTGACCAACATGAAGAAACCCTGTCTCTACTAAAAATACAAAATTAGCCGGGCATGTTGGCGCACGCCTGTAATCCCAGCTACTTGGGAGGCTGAGGCAGGAGAATCGCTTGAACCCGGGAGGCGGAGGTTACAGTGAGCTGAGATTGTGCCATTGCTCTCTAGCCTGGGCAACAAGAAATCCATCTCAAAAAAAAAAAAAAATTTAAGGCTTTACTTCCATTTTGTGCCTTTTCAGTGCTTAGCATTGTGCCTGGCATGTTGTAAATATTCAATAAATGGTAGTTATTATTATTATGTTTCTTTTACTTAAACTCTTTTTGGCTCTCATTTTCTTTTCTTTTCTTTTCTTTTCTTTTTTTTTTGAGAGGGAGTCTTGCTCTGTCACCCAGGCTGGAGTGCAGTGGCTCAGTCTCGCCTCACTGCAACCTCCACCTCCTGGGTTCAAGTGATACTCCTACCTCAGCCTCCCAAGTAGCTGGGCGCCCACCACCATGCCCAGCTAATTTTTGTAATTTAGTAGAGATGGGGTTTCACTTTGTAGGTCAAGCTGGTCTTGAACTCCTGACCTCAAATGATCTGCCTGCCTCACCCTCCCAAAGTGCTGGGATTACAGGCCTCAGCCACTGTGCCTTGCCAAAAAAAAAAAAAAGAGACAGGGTTTCACAATGTTGGCCAGGCTGATCTTGAACTCCTGACCTCAGGTGATCTACCCGCCTGGGCCTCCCAAAGTGCAGGGATTACAGGCATGAGCCACCGCGCTGGGCCTCTCATTTTCATCATCAAAGAAAATGGGGATTAAATCAGTTAATATACGTAAAGCACTTGAAACAGAATCTGACATATATGGTAAGTCACTCATGAATATATTTTTATTTTTTCTATGAAGCTTCTTCTGATCTTGTTTGAATTAATAATTTGCCTATCTATATTCTGCTCATATTTTACAACACATCCTTTATATTAAATAACATTGATTTGTTTGCTTGTGTGTCTCTCTGCCAAATGGGATTCTTGATAGCTGGGACCTATCTTACTTATCTTAGTGGTCTTAGTGCATAGTCTTTTCTTGCCACATATTATTGTGGCTTTGAGCTGGGTTTTAAAGGATGAAGAGGATGGTGTGATTGGAGCATGGGGGGTGGTACATCAGTGGGAAGTGAAATTTGACAAATACACTGACAAGTGATTGTAAGTTGATGAATGCCAAACTAAATAATTTGAATTTATTTTGTATACGGAAGGGAGACTTTTTTATTATTGACCAGATTAATTCCATATTTTAGGAAGATAATTCTGAATGCGGAGTAGAGAATATAGTGTAAAGAGGAAAAGAGATTGAAAACAAAAAGAAGATGTAAGAAACTCTGGCTCTTGCTATATTAGAGAGTTCTTATTTTAGCAGAGGTCTTCTAGAATATAGCCTTTTACCACCATGTAACTAACCTTTTAAGCCTTATCACAGAAAGGCTTCAGTGTGTCCCTGCTAACTTTGTTTTGACTTCTGTTAAAAGAAAAACTTCAGAAAAAATAAATTTAATAGAGTTTATTTGAGCATTAAAAGATTCACGAATGAGGAAGCACCCCAAACTAGAGAGGTTCAGAGAGCTCTGTTTCAACAGTGTGAACAGTGGGATTTCTTATAGACTGAATGTGGAAACAAAGTAGAGAAATTACTTGAATGGCTATAGCTAGGTGTTTGCCTTATCTGGGCACAATCTGGTGGTAAGTCCCTCATTAGAGGATAGTTGTTGGTTTGTTTAAGATTGAGTTTTGACAACCTATAGGTTGGGAGAAATATTTGCAAGCCATACATTTGATAAGGGGTTAGTATCTAAAATATATAAAGAATTCAAATAACTTTATAGAAAGAATACAAGTAATCCAATTTAAAAATGGGCAACGGAGGCTGCGTGCAGTGGCTCATGCCTGTCATCCCAGCACTTTGGGAGGCCGAGGCAGGCAGATTATGAGGTCAGGAGATGGGGACCATCCTGGCCAACATGGTGAAACTGTGTCTCTACTAAAAATACAAAAATTAGCCGGGCTTGGTGGCACAGGCCTGTAGTCCCAGCTACTAAGGAGGTGGAGGCAGAAGAATCGCTTGAACCAGGAGGTGGAGGCTGCAGTGAGCCAAGATCGTGCCACTGTACTCCAGCCTGGGCAACAGAGCAAGACTCTGCCTCAAAAAAAAGGGCAAGAGAGCTGAACAAACATTCCTCAAAAGAAGACATATAAATGGCAAATGTACGAAAAAAGGCTCAACATCATGAATCAGAGAAATGCAAATTATAAACCTCAGTGAGATATTACCTGACATCTGTCAGAATGGCTATTATCAAAAAGACAAACAATAACAAGTGCTGGTGAAGATGTGCAGAAAAGGGAATCTTTGTATACTGTTGGTGGCAATGTAAATTAGTATAGCCATTATAGAAAACTGTATGGTCATTCCTCAAAAAACTAAAAATAGAATTACCATATGATCCAGCAATCTCACTTCTGTGTATTTACCCAAAAGATTTGAAATCAGTATGTTGAAGAGATGTCTGCACGTCTATGTTCATTGCAGCACTATTCACAATAGCCAAGGTATGGAATCAACCTAAGTGTCCATCAATGGATGAATGGATTAAGCAAATGTGGTATATATACACAATGAAATACTATTCAGCCTTATAAAAAGAAAGAAGTTTTGTCACCATAACACAGATAGACTGGAGAACATGCTAACTGAAATAAGCCAAGTACAGAAAGACAAATGCCATATATGTTCTCATTTACATATGGAATCTAAAACTCAAAGAAGCAGAGAGTAGAACAGTAGTTACCAGAGGACAGGGGTGGAGGGTGGTTAGGGGAATGGGGAGATGATGGTCAAATAGTACAAAACCTCAATTAAACAGGAAGAAAAAGTTTTTTTTTCTTTGATATCTATTGTATGGAGTGGTGACTATGGCAAATAATAATGCACATTTCATAATTGCTAAGAGTAAATTTCAAATATTCTTGCCACAAAAAAAGATAGTATCTTAGGTGACAGATATGTTAATTAGCTTGATTTAATTATTCCATATCATATTCATAAATCAAAACATCACACTGTACCCCATAAATAAACTATAGTTTTCAATTTATAATTTAAAAATAAAAATTAAAACAAAATACAAAAGGTGAAAAGGCAACTTCTAAAGTAATAAATGATTTTATATATATAGATATACATACACACATACAACCAAGAACTTGTATACAGATTATATGATTAATTATTGTAGACTGAGAAGAAAAAGAATCCCATAGAATATAGGGAAAATATCTGTATATTTCCAAATAGAGCATATCCCATTAATGCCCAATAAACATTGAAAAGTGCTCAACTTCATCAATCATCAGGGAAGGTATCACTACCCACCCACCAGAATGGCTATATGCAAAAGGCTAATAATATCAAGAGCTGGTAAGGATGTGAAACAACCAGAATTCTCAGACATTGCTGGTAAGAGTGTAATTTGGTAAAACCCCTCTGGAAACCTATTTGGCTGTTATCTACTAGGGCTGAATATATGCAGACCCTATGACACAGCAGTTCCAGTTTTAAGTATAACCTATCAGAACGTATACATATGTTCACCAAAAGACATGGGGAACACTGACAGCATCACAATTGTAATATCCAAATCTGCTCCACCCAATATTCCATTTTGATACACTCATAAAATGGAATATTAACTATTATAGGACAATGAGAAACATCTACAATAGGTGTTTGCTCAAAAATATCGAGCAAAAGAAGACAGACTAAAGAATACACATATGATTCCATTTATATAAAGAACAAAAGCAGGCAAAACTCACATCTATGCTATTAGGAGTCAATGAAAATCTAAATTAAAATGCATGACTGAGATAGTTATTAAAACAATCTCTACTTTAAAGACTTTATATGTTTTACCTTTTCATCCCCTTGTTCAGGCACATGAGCAAACTTGCACAGTGGTCGCTCACAGCCACGTAATGTATTAAAATGAAATTTGCAATATTTATAGGGTATCATCAACCCTAGGGACTTCTGGAACACCTAGAAAATTAGAAAGATTCACTTTCTGTATTAACTGTAAAGCACTTACTATAGTTAAGCAAGACAGCATTTGAAGCAACACAAATAACATATATTCCAAAGAGTATCAAGATAACTTGTTTGCTAATTTAATAAGAAAAAATAAAACTTCAAACAATTTATATTTTCAAAAATAATTAAAAAATCATTTCAGAGTGATTTGTCTGGATTTTAAAAAATTTATCTTTGTGTAAAATATTCCATCAAGGTTATTCTCTTTTATGTCTCATTTTTTAAGACTGTTTTTTCTGGAGCAGGTACAGGTTCACAGAAAAACTAAGGAACAGAAATATCCCATGGACTCCCTGCCCCCACATACTTTACATATTTAAAAAAATGTACACATTCCTCTTCCCTTTCACGTACCTGTCTCTGCTTTTACAAAAAGTTAATTCTATTATAATATGCACTATATTTCAGATGCATTTATTAGAACCAAAATTCTCCTTAGTTTTTCTGATTAATAGAACAAGGCAAATGACAGAGTTAAAGCTTTTTACAACAAACTTTCCCCATAAACTGCTTTATATCAGCAGCTTTCTCTTTCATCACAGAAAAGTATTCAGCCTGTTTTTTCTGTTTTGGATGTTCTCCCTCTGCTGTTTTCAACCTCTTACACTATTTGTGAATATCCTCTAACTCACTACTTATTTTCTACCTCTTACCACAAACCTCCATTCAAAATCCATATAATATCTGGAACTGCTTAAAAAATGATGATAGGCTGGGCACAGTGGCTCACGCCCGTAATCCTTTGGGAGCCCAAGGAAGGAGGATCACGAGGTCAGGAGTTCGAGACCAGCCTGGCCAACATGGTGAAACCCCATCTCTACTAAAAATACAAAACTTAGCCGGGCGTGGTGGTGGGCGCCTGTAATCCCAGCTACTCAGGAGGCTGAGGCAGGAGAATCTTAAGGCTGAGGCTTGAACCCAGGAGGCAGAGGTTGCAGTGAGCCAAGATCATGCCATTGTACTCCAGCCTAGACGACAAGAGCAAGACTCCGTCTCAAAAAAAAGGATAGGGAAATACAACCAAAAGGTCCAAAGTATTGGTTTTATGAAAATTTTTTTTTTTTAAGGGGCAGTGAGCCGAGATCATGCCATTGTATTCTAGCCTGGACGACAAGAGCAAGACTCCGTCTCAAAAAAAAAAAAAAAAAAAAAAAAAAAAAAAGATGATAGGGAAATACAATCAAAAGGTCCAAAGTATTGGTTTATAAAATTATTTTTTTAAGGGGAGGATAAAAGAGGGAGTGGAGGAAAGTGAGGAAGAGGAGGGAGGAGAAGGAGGAGGAGGGGGAGGAGAAAGAGACAGATTATTATTATTTTTTAAAGTAGACTTACCCCCACATTTTTTTCCCTCTTGAATATTTCACAAGTTTCAGGATTCTGCAGCTTTAGGACAGAATGTTTTCCCAGAAATCTGAAATCTAGAAATGATTTAGAGTGGCATTACACACCAATATGTTACAACTTATTTTCTTCATAACAATGAAATAGATGATCACTACTATCTGCTTTAAAGTTTCACTTTGAAATATTCATATTCAGTTCACAGACTGTGCTGCCATGTGTGTTCCTGTGAAATATAGTACGATATACATCTTAGGTACCCTCAAGTATTTCTAGACCTGAATTTAAAATTTTAAACTCACTATAAGCTGCAGACAACTTTCTTAAAAACCTCACATAGCAGCATTGGGCACTGTATTCAAATGATATGTCTCTAAGTTAAATAGACAAATATTATACACAATAAACATTTCTAAGGGAAGAAAACTAGTGACAAATCCAGGTGCGATGGACTGAACTGTGTCCCCAAAAAATTAACATGTTGAAGCCCTAACCCTCAATATGACTATATTTGGAGATAGGGTGTTTATAGAAGTTAATCAGGTTAAATGAGGTCAAAGAGGTGGGGTCCTGAATCAATGGAATTAATGTCCTTATATGAATAGGCACCAGTCTGGTGCGGTGGCTCACACCTGTAATCTCAGCACTTTGGGAGGCCCACGTGGGCAGATTGCCTGAGGTCAGGAGTTTGAGACCATTGAGACCAGCCTGGCCAACATGGTGAAACCTCGTCTCTACTAAAAATACAAAAATTAGCCAGGCATGGTGGTGCGTGCCTGTAATCCCAGCTACTCGAGAGGCTGAGGCAGGAGAATCACTTGAACCTGGGAGGGGGAGGTTGTAGTGAGCCAAGATCACATCACTGCACTCCAGCCTGGGCTATAGAGTGAGACTCTGTCTAAAAAAAAAAAAAAAAAAAAAAAAAAGAATAGGCACCACAGAGCTTACACTCTTTCCTTGCACACACCAAGGAAAAGTTATGTGAGGACTTAGCAAGAAGGTAGCCATCTGCAAGCCAGAAAGAGAGCCCTCATCAGAAAATGAACCCTTCTAGAACCTTAGCCCTGAACTTCTAGCACTGTGCAAAATAAATTTCTGTTGTTTGAGCCCTTTAATCTGTGGCATTTTATTATGGCAGCCCAAGCAAACTAATACACCAGGCATCATATCCCTTAATGTTGGTCTTTTAAAAAGAGAACTAGGGCATTTAAAAATGTTCTTTTCTAAAGATAAAAATAACAAATAAAAATAAAAGTATTTTTAATTTTAAATCATTTATTTTTTACTTTGGCAGCATCCAGCTATAATCTGAAACAAGCTGAAGTTTTTGCTGCATAACTTCACAGTAATTTGCATTATGAAAACTGTAAGACTTTTAAGATAAAACACATGACCATCATGGGCTTGCTGTTATAGTATACAACACGAGGCAGCATGAAGTCAGTAGGTATAGTAGGGTAGATATAGAAAAGTTAGGTGTGTGCTATACAATGTGATTTTACAGATTCTAAATTCATCCTTTAATGTAGTCTATTTTGTTCAAAATATTGTTAATTATCAAAAAACTGACACAAGTTCTAAAATACATATACACACTCCATCAAAATATATTTTAGATATAACCTGTAATTTACTCGTACTACCACTATCACATAAATACAGATATTTCACACGTTGTTCCATCAAAAGTACTAAGTAGGCTGGGCGCGGTAGCTTACACCTGTAATTTCAGCACTTTGGGAGGCTGAGGTGGACAGATTACGAGGTCAGGAGTTCAAGACCAGCCTGGCCAACACCGTTAAACCCCGTCT
This sequence comes from Homo sapiens, assembly GCF_000001405.40. Taxonomy (NCBI): domain Eukaryota; kingdom Metazoa; phylum Chordata; class Mammalia; order Primates; family Hominidae; genus Homo; species Homo sapiens. The sequence goes on along the minus strand of NC_000003.12, from coordinate 44,267,481 downwards.
CTACTAAAAATACAAAAAAATTAGCCGGGCATGGTGGCAGGTGCCTGTAATCCCAGCCACTCAGGAGACTGAGGCAGGAGAATCGCTTGAACCTGGGAAGGTGCAGGTTGCAGTGCACTGAGATCGTGCCACTGCACTCCAGCCTAGGCGACAGTGTGAGACTCTGTCTCAAAAAAAAAAAAAAAAAAAAAAGTACTAAGTAAAGGTGCACAAACCTTCTAATTTTAACATATTCTACATGATTCCATTTTTCTTTTTTAATCGTTTTTTGTTTTTGGTAGAAAAATCTCCTAGTTTCTATATCACCAAAAGCCAACAGGATTTCATTAAGAAAACAAATAGTACCATTCATCCAGGTATTCAGTATTGTGTCTTCTTGACGACCACTTAGATTCAAAGGAGGTACTAATAAACACAGAGGTTTCGGGACTGGTACTGCAAATTGACATTCGCCGACCATAAAGTCTGCATTTCTAGAATCTTTGCTGTGTGAAAGGAAAAATTAACATCAGAATTTAAATGTATTTTTAAACATTAAAGTAATGCTTTGCAGATATCAGATATTTCTTTTTAAAAAAATTTTTTATTTTTATTTTTTTACAAATTGAAGCACTGTGGCAACCCTGAGTCGAGCAAGTCTAATTGGTGCCATTTTTCTAACAGCACGTGCTCACTTACGTCTCTGTGTCACATTTTGGTAATTCTCACAATATTTCAAATTTTTTCATTATTATTTTATCTGTTATGGTGCTCTATGATCAGTGATCAGTGTTACTACTGATATTGTTTCAGGGCACCATGAAAACTAAGCCCCTATAAGAGGGTACACTTAATCAATGAATGATGTGTGTGTTCTGACTGCTCCACCAACTGGCTGTTCCCCCATCTCTCTCCCTCTCCTTAGGCTTCCCTATTTCCTGAGACAAAACAATATTGAAATTAGACCAGTTTATGACCCTACTATGTCCTCTAAGCAGTCAAGTGAAAGGAGGAGTATCACATCTATCACTTTAAATCAAAAGCTAGAAATGATTAAGCTTAGTGAGGAAGGCATGTTGACGGATAAGACAGGCCAAAAGGTAGGCTTCTTGTACCAAATAGTTAACCAAGCTGTCAATGCAAAGGAAAAGTTCTTCAAGGAAATTAAAAGTGTTACTCCAGTGAACATACGAATGAAAAGAAAGTGAAACAGTCTTACTGCGGAAATGGAAAAAGTTTGAGTGATCTAGATGGAAGATCAAACCAGTCACAACATTCCCTTAAGCCAAAGCCTAATACAGAGCAAGGCCCTAACTCTCTTCAATTCTGTGAGGGCTGAGAGTGATAAGAAAGCTACAGAAGTATGAAGCTAGCAAAATTGGTTCATGAGGTTTCACGAAACAAATCATCTCTGTAACATAGAAGTGCAAGGTCAAACAGGAAGTGCAAGGTCAACTTGCTAATGGAAAAGTTGCAGCAAGTTATCCAGAAGATCTAGCTAAGATAACTGATGAAGGAAGCTACAACAAACTGATTTTCAATGTAGACAAAACTGCCTTATACCGGAAGAAGATACCATCTAGGACTTTCATAGCTAGAGAAAAGTTAATGCCTGGCTACAAAGATTCAACGAATAGACTGGCTCTCTCTTGTTAAGGGATAATGTAGCTGGCAACTTTAACCATTCCAAAAATCCTAGGGCCCTTAAGAATTATGCTAAATCTATTCTTTCTGTGCCCTATAAATGAAACATCAAAGCCTGCAAGACAGCACATCTGTTTAAAGCATGGTTTACTGAATATTCTAAGCCCACTGTTGAGAGCTATTGCTCAAAAAGATTCCTTTCAAAATACCACTGCTCATTGACAATGTATCTTGTCACCCAAGAACTCTGCTGGACATGCTCAAGGAGAAGAATATTTTGGTTTTTTTCTGTGTTTGTTTTTTGAGATGGAGTCTTGCTCTGTCGCCCAGGCTGGAGTGCAGTGGTGCGATCTCAGCTCACTACAACCTCCCCCTCCTGGGTTCAAGCAATTCTCTGCCTCAGCTTCCTGAGTAGCTAGGATTACAAGTGCCCGCCACCACGCCTGGCTAATTATGGCATTTTTAGTAGAGGTGGGGTTTCACCATCTTGGCCATGCTGGTGAACTCCTGACCTTGTGATCCACCCACCTTGGCCTCCCGAAGTGCTGGGATTACAGGCGTGAGCCACCATGCCCAGTCTGAATGTTGTTTTTATGCCTGCTAACACAACATCTATTCTGCAATCTATGAATCAAGAAGTAATTTTGACTTTCAAGACTTATTATTTAAGAAATACATTTAATTAGGCTCTATCTGCCATGGATAGTGATTTCTCTGATGGATCTTGACAAAGTAAATTGAAAACCTAGGAAGAATTCACCATTCGAGGTGCCATTAAAAACATTTGTGATTTATAAGAGAAGGTCAACATATCAACGTTAGCAGTCTGGAGGAAGTTGATTCCAACCCTCATAGATGACTTTCAGGGGTTAAACACTTTAGTTGTGGAAGTCACTGCAAATGTGGAGGACATAGCAAGAAAACTAGAAGTAGAAGTGGAGCCTAAAGTTGTAACTGAATTGCTGCAATCTCATGATAAAACTTGAATGGATTAAGAGTTGCTTCTTATGGATGAGCAAAGAAAGTGGTTTCTTGAGATGAAATCTACTCCTGATGAAGAAGCCATTAACATTGTTTAAGTGACAAAGTATTCAGAATATCACACAATCTAGTTGATAAAGCAGAGGTAGAGTTTGAGAGGATTGAGTCTGATTTTGAAAGAAGTTCTACTGTTGGTAAAATGCTATCAAACAGCATCACATGCTACAGAGAAATCTTTTGTGAAAAGAAGTGTCAACTGATGCAGCAAACTTCATTGTTGTCTTATTTTAAGAAATTGCCACAGCCACCTCAACCTTCAACCTTCACCCCAATCTTCAACCACCCTATTCAGTAAGCAGCCATCAACATCCAGGCAAATATGACTCACTGAAGGCTCAGATGATGTAAAAACTTTTTGGCAATAAAGTATTTTTAAATGAAGGTGTGTACATTTTTTAAAGACATAATGCTATTGCACACTTAATAGACTAAAGTACAGTGTAAGCATAACTTTTATACGCACTAGGAAACAAAAAAATTCATATGACTCATTTTATTTGCTTTACAGCAGTAGTCTGAACTCAAACCTGCAATACCTCCAAGGTATACCTGTATATATTACAATTCTTCAGCATCTCCAATAGGTTGTTCCTGCCTTCTTAACTAGAAAACCAGCACTTCTTAAGTGGTTGGAGTAGAGGAAGGAATGGGGTGGTGTGGTTAAGATTAGAGCAAAATATTTTTGACTATGCTAAACAAAAGGTCTGAGGAGGAGTTAGGTTAGTGTTCTAATCAGAAAAGGTCATTAAATTATTCTACTGATAATGCAATTAAATGAATTATAAATTAGTCTTCAGGAAAGGTATACACAATAAGCCTATAAAGGCATTTGAGTGCTTTCTCTGGGGAAAAGGTATTAAAAATGTTATTGTTCCAGGGTGGCTGATTTAAACAGCTTTAATTGTATTCTAATATGTGAGATCCTACATAAGCAATTTTACAAAAATTTAATTTGGACACTACTTATCTAGAAAAATAATTCAAGTAAGGGGAGAGAGAGAAGTACTTCAGAGCTGATTAGTAAATACAAATGCATTTACTTTTTAGGAGAGAGGTTTACACCAACATTCAGATACTATAATCTTTACCTTAAAAATAATTCTAATAAGTTTTTCAGCTTGTGTTTTCTGCGCCAGAGGAGACTAAAAATAGGAAGAAGAGGGACCCATATTTATAAGAGTTGAAATTTAGTATCATTGGTAGAATTTAAGATTTTCACACAAAATAAAGATATTCACTTCTCTCCCCAACTTGGGATGTCACTTACTATGTATTATCAGTATGTCCTCCACAAATAAAACAAAAGCGGCAACATAAACAAAGAAATAGAAATTATGAATTTTTATAGATGGAAGAGATGATCTATTTTTTATTTTTGATCAGATGACTGAAGCCCATGGTGATGTAATGACTTAACCGATCAATGTCAACTGGTGATCGCTATGCTAGAGTCAAGTTGATAAACCTTTGCAGTCTGCAATTACACTATGTTAGTTTGTAAGCAAAATGATTTCAACAGAAAAAAAAGTTAATCTTATTGCTTTTTCTTTAGTATCTTCCTTTTTCTTTAGTATCTCCAAATGGTCATGAACCAAACTAAACCTTCTATGCCAATTTAATTCTTGCCCAGTCTTTCCCTTAACACAGTTCTCAAACTTGAGCATGCATCAAAATCAGCTGGTGGTCTTGTTAAAAACAGATTGATAGGCCCATCCCCAAAGTTTGATTCAGAGATCTGAGATGGGACTCAATAATTTCAATTTCTGACAAGTTCCTACATGATGATGCTTCTCCAAGGATCACACTTTGAAAATTACTGCCTTAACATTAAAAGCCTCAAATGCATCCATCACCTGTCCTGGGTGAGCCTTGCCTCACATGCAAAATGAGGGTGGTGGAGGATGGATCAGATGGTCTTTAAGGTGTCCTCCAATTCCAAATGTGGTGGTTTTATATGTTCCAGTGGGTGTGCTATAACTCTTAGTATGAATCGCTGCAACTATGTAAGATCCTTGCAAACTGCAATGTGAATCTGATTTCAGCCACTCATATCTTCATAAAAGTCAAACATACATCATTTTTTCTTTTTATCACTACTCCTTATCTTTCCTCAAAAAATATTTTAATGGCTCAAAAAACTTAGTGACAGCTTTAAGGTAATTTACAATACCCCTTACACCTGAGTACATCTGACACATTAATTAAATTATACCTATATATGGCTTATGGCATATAGCCCAAGCATATAAACAGCAGAGAATAAAAAACATACTCAAGATATAAATTAGATGAGTGACTATTTTAAGTTATGTAATTAAGAATTATGTTACAGACCTTTTGCAAACTTCATAAATATTTTCTTTTTCTTCTTTGGTAATCACTTTGTCTGTAAATCTATGCTGTGAAGAGATTATGGTTAAATAAGTACAAGTGAAGGTCTCTGTATTACATACTAAGCTATGAGGCTTACTGGATTTATTATAATGTATTAGATGTTAATTAAATAACTAGTTTATGGCCAATCCCTAAAAACAATTCTACTCTACATAATTTAAAATACTGAATACTGACTTTAAAATTTCCACTGCTGCTTAAGAGAAAAATTAATATAAGTCAAAATATTTGTCCAGGTTTTGATATCCCCTTTAATTACCCAAGTTGCTATTTCAAATTATTAGGTAAAACTAAAGTTGAGTTTCTTTTTATTCAGAAAAAAGCTTGAGCTTTGAGTTATTTTAAAGTGGTATTTATGAACATAAAATTTGTATTTCATAAGAAATATTTAAATGTGTTTTAAATATAACTATACTTACATTTCACAAGTAGCTGTTTTGAAATCATGATTTTTCAGTCATAAGAAGGTTATACATGTTCAAATATTAAACTTTTGAAAAAACAGGCATCCACTAAAAGAATAAAATACCTAGGAATACAGCTAACCAGGGAAGTGAAAGATCTCTATAATGAGAATTACAAAACACTGCTCAAAGAAAGCACAGACGACATCAACTAATGGAAAAACATTCCATGATCATGGATAGGAGAGAGCAATATCATTAAAATGGCCATACTGCCCAGAGTAATTTATGGATTCAATGTTATTCCTATTAAACTACCAATGACATTGTTCACAGAACTAGAAAAAACTATTTTAAAATTCATATGAAACTCAAAAAGAGTGCGAATAGACAAGGCAATCCTAAGCAAAAAGAACAAAGCTGGAGGCATCATGTTACTGACTTCAAACTACGCTACAGGGCTATAGTAACCAAAACTGCATGGTACTTGTACAAAAACAGATACACGGACCAATAGAACAGAATAGACAGCCCAGGAATAAGGCTGCACACCTACAACCATCTGATCTTCAACAAAGCTGACAAAAACAAGCAATGGGGAAAGGACCTCTATTCAATAAATGGTGCTGGGTAACTGGCTAGCCATATGCAGAAGACTGAAACTGGATCCTTCTTTTCCCATATGCAAAAATCAACTTGAGATGGTTAAAAACTTAAATGTAAAACCCAAAACTATAAAAGCCTTGGAAGACAACCTAGAACTCTTAGAAAACTACAAAAATCAACTGAGAAACATAAAACATAACAAACCGAGGACCTACCATGTTCCTGGATGAGAATACTAGAGTTAAAGATGCTAATTCTCCCCAAATTAATTTATACATTAAAAAAACTACAATGTGAGTTTAAAGCACTCTTTAAAAAAATACAAGAGAGAGAACCACCAAAACATATTTTACCATTTAATATTTTACTTACTATTTTTCAAAAAATTGACAGTATGCTATTGGTGTAAGGACTAGCAATCAATGAAACAAAAAAAAAGAAACAGATCTACACATAAAACTTTGAAAATATTAAATATGGCACTTGAAATTTAGGAGGAAATGATTCAATAAATGGTAGAACAACTGGCTAGTTAATTGGATGGAAAATAAGTGTGCTCCTAACTCACCATATGCCAAAATACCTTTTAGGTTTATTAAATATTTCATTAAATTAAAAATAAATTCTAAAAGTAGCAAAAGAAAATAAAATAGCAAAACAAATCAAATATATAAATGAGTATATAATTTGGAGGGTTGGGAAAGCCTAAGCGTGACACCAAAGGCAGAAACCATGAAGTAAGATATCAATGGTTTGACTATAAATATTTTAAATATTTTCATATGTTAAGAGAATAAAGAGTACAAAATGCCATCTGCTAAAATAAGGAAAAGTTACATTGTTTCTATATTCCTTCCCCTAAGATAAATTTTACATAATAAGTAACACCAAAAAACCCTAAAAGAAAATATGGGAGAAAATTTTAAATGTTGAGATGGGGAAGGGTTTCTCTAAATGTGACTTGTAACTCCTATTATAAAAGAAAACTGACATATTTGATTAAATAAAAATAAAAGGCTTTTACAAGATGAAAAGCTCCTAAACGAAGTCAAAACAAATGAAATCCAGGAAAAGGTATAGCCACATATGACAAGAATAGATATGTTTATTTCATGAAAAGTTCCTACAAGTAAAAAAGATCAAATCCAGAAGAAAATGGGCAAATGGGCATGTATTAGTCCGTTTTCATGCTACTATAAAGAACTGCCCAAGACTGGGTAATTTATAAGGAAAGAGGTTTAATTGACTCGCAGTTCAGCACGGCTGGGGAGGCCTCAGGAAACTTACACAAGGTGAAGGGGAAGCAAGGCCCCTTCTTCACAAGGTGGCAGGAAGGAGAATGAATGCAGGAGGAACTACCAAACGCTAATAAAACCATCAGATTTCATGAGAACTCACTATCATAAAACAATATGGGGGAACTGCCCCAATGATTCAATTACCTCTACCTGGTCTCTCCCTTGACATGCAGGGATTGTGGGGATTATGTGGATTCAAGGTGAGATTTTGGGTGGGACCACGGCCAAACCATATCAGGACATACACAGCAAGTTCATAGAAAACAATATAAATGGCTTCTAAAGATGTTTAACTAGACTCATAAGAGAAATGCATATTAAAACTAAAATAAAGTCATTTATAAAAATAAGCAGATGGACAAAAAATTAATAATGAATTAGTGTGTGGGGAGAAAATGGCATTCTCACACAATATTGTTGAAAGTATAAATCAAAGCAATCTCTATGAAGGACAATTTGACAACTCCACTTCTAGGAATTAATCCAAAAATGCTTGCACATATGCAAAATGCCTTATGCTCAAGGATGCATAATGCAGCAATATTTAAATAGCAAAAAAATGGAAACAAACCAAGTGTCCATCAATAGTGGGACTTGTTAGATTATATTCATATAGTAGGTAATTATACAACTATAAAAACAAGACATCATTACATACATTGAAAGGAAAAACATCTTAAGCAAGGTAAAGAACAGTACGCTACCATCTGGATGAAATTCAAAAGAATTCACAATGGGTGTACTTTGAGAAATGGCAGAGAATCTCCTATTGGGGTAACTCTTCTGCAGATAACAACCATAAACCCTGGATAAAATATTTTTAAACTACCTGAAAAGCCTGGAGAGATATGAAAAGCAGGCAGAACCTAGAGGGAAGTCTACACTCAAAAAGATGGAATGCCACTGGGTAAATGTCTTGCTTTTATGGCTGTATACCCAAGGGCAGGCCCTAGTTGGAACCACTTGGGGAGGACAACAATTTGCCCTACTAACAACCAGAAGAACAGAGTTTGGGGTAAAATCAGAAACTGGAAAGTGAGGCTAGGAATATGGGAGAAAGCCTAACAGATAAATCCCCCAAATCTACTTATAACTTGGCCCAAATCTCTAGCTGATCTCTGAACTATATGTATGTAACGTGGATTCCAAAGAGCCCAGCTAAGACTCAAAGAACTGAACAAACATTTCAACTGACTCCAGCCGCAGGAGAGTAATCTGGAGGATGAGTTCACCCAAGTCAAAACCTAACATGCGACTACTATATAGCTCAGCAGTTAACAGCCCATTTATCCCAGAGAAATTAAAACACATAGATACACAAAAACCTGTACATGAACGTTTATAGATAGCAGCTTTATCCTGTAAGAGTCCCAAACTGGAAACAATCTAGATATCCATCAATGAGCAAATAGCTAAACAAACTATGGTACACTTATACCATGGAGTATTACCAAACAGTAAAAATGAATGAACTACCGATATATGCAATGACTTGGTTGAATATCCACAGGATTATCCAGGTGGAAAAAAAAAAAGAAACCAATCTGAAGAGGTTACATACTGTATGATTCCATTTATATAATACTCTTGAAATGACTGAATTATAGAAATGCAGAACAGATATGTGGTTGTCCAGGGTTAAGGAATGGGCGATGGAGGAAAGAGAGAAGAAAGTAGGTGTGCACTATCAAAGGGCAACATGAGGGATCCACGTGGTGACGGAAATGTTCTGTAATATCTTGATCGTATTAATGCCAATATTCTGGTTGTGATATTGTACTATGGTTTTGCAATATATTACAACTGGGAGAAACTAGGTAAAGGGTAGATAGATATCTATGCATTATTTCTTATAACTGCACGTGAATCCACAATTTATCTCAACTAAAAGTGGGATGCTGCTGAAACAGTATTTATGGATACATTTATAGCACTAAATGCCTCTATTAGAAAATAATAATGGTTTCAAATCAATGACCTCGGCTGCAACTTTAGGAAGCTACAAAAAGAACAACAAATTAATCCAAACTAAGTAGAAGGAGGAAATAACCAAAGCAGAAATCAGTGAAACTGAAAACAAAAAAGCAACATAGGAAAAAAAATCAGTAAAACTAAAGCTGTTTTTTTTTAGAATTATCAATTAATAATCCTCTAGCCAACCTCTTATGAATCTTCATTTTAAAATGCCAAAACTATAGAAATTATTGGGGGAGGGAAACAGGTATGACTGTTAAGAGGTAGCATAAGGGATATCTTTGTGGTGATGGAATAGCTCTTTGACTGCAGTGGTGGTCACATAAATCTGCATATTTGATAAAATACACTGAACTACACAAACTTATTTTATCAATATCAAATTCCTGCTTCTTATACTTTAAGATGTAATTATAGGGGAAAACTAGGTAAAGGCAACATGGGTCTTCTCTGTACTACCTTTGTAACTTCCTGTGAATCTCTATTTCAAAATAAGAAGTTAAAAAAAAGTACACTAGTACTTTATCAGGAGCCCAACAGTAGAATCATCAAGTAATTACTACCATGGTAAACCTAAAAATTGACAAGTGATACACAGGAGAAAAGAAAAGGCCTCTGGAAAAGAATCATTCACACACACACACACACACACACACACACACACACACACACTATATATATATATAAAATAGATACACACACATTTTATATATATATAAAATATATAAAATAGACACACACACACACACACACACACACACACACACACACACACACACACACACACACCCCTATGTTTTCTTTTTTGAGACAGGTCTTGCTTTGTTGCCCAGGCTGGAGTGCAGTGGCCCGAACATGGCTCACTGCAGACTTGACCTCCCAGGCTCAAGTTATCCTCCCACCTCCACCCCGCCAAGTAGCTGGGACTACAGGTGGATGCCAGCACGCCTTGCTAATTAAAAAAAAATTTTTTTTTGTAGAGACAAGGTCTCACTATGTTGCTCAAGCTGGTCTCAAATTCCTGGCCTCAAGTAGTCCTCCCACCTCAGCCTCCCAAAGTCCTGAGATAACAGGCCTGAGTCACTGCACCCGGCATATTGATCTTTTATTTCCCACTATACATGTATGTACTTGTACATACATACATACTTGTACATACATACACATATAGTGGAAGTAAAAGATCAATAAGGAAGCATTTCTAAAAATTTACAGCCAGCCATATATAAAAGCAGAAAAGAAGGCCAGGCATATGTCCCGTAAGTCAATCTACTTAGCCTCTAATGTTCCTAAAATGTAAGGTAAGAGAGAGACGAAAACAAGTTTGTTAATTCCCAAATTTGGGGGCCAGATATCTTAAGAGCAAATATTACTGACTAATTTTGTAAAGGGTTAGTACTTTGAAGCCTACCATGGTATTAGAAGGATAAATATATAATCCCCCTTCCCTCAAACAAAACAAAGAAATCATCCCATACTAGGAAGCATGGCCCTCAGGTACTATGCTACCTGAAAATTAAGGAAGATCAAACGATTTTCAGTACTTAGTGTTTTCTGAGGCAGAAAAATATGTAATATTTTATTTAGAAAGACTTTCATAGGTTTGTGACAAACTTCAGATACTAAAAAGCTAACTACAGTATGTAATTAAACAGTACATCCCATTTTCCCAGGCAAGGAAGATCTTTTTTATACTATGCTTACACCAAGTATCAAGGGATACATCCCATGGCTAGAGTGACGTGATTCTTTTATTCAATAAAGGGAGTTACACTTGCCACCCGATAGCACTGTTAAGATGGATTTATGCATTACCACTATTTAAGACCAAGAAATAAAAAAACACAAAAGATCCCCTAGTACCTTTTCATCCAAGTCTGAACCTTTTATTTGTTCACTGAAGTCTCCCAGTGTTTCATTTTCAGAGGTCTCATTAGCAACTTCTCCTAAGGAAGTGTTTACATCTTTGGGATCACGTTTTATTTCACTTTCTGAAAAGAAATAATATTCAACTATAGAAACTTTAAAGACAAAATAACTGAGTTATTCAAAGGCTGTTCTAAAAAATGACTCAGAATTCAGAGGCTCTTTTAAGGTCTAATGTGACAAATATGAAGCAGAGTTTTCAGCGAATTATACAATAATTCCTCTCTATCAAAATAACTCCATTATATTATATAAAAAGAAACAGATATTTAAGAATTTTTCTTGATCATCTCAAGAATTTTAAATTTTAAATGCACTTATTTTAAATATACTTATAAAATATACTTTTAAATATACTTATAAAATAAAATGTATTTTAAATATACTTATAAAACTTGAAAGTCAAAGTAAAATTAACTTTCATACTAAGTTATGCCCTATGAAATAAAGATTCAGGTATTTAAACTTTTGACTAGCTGTTAACCATATATATATGTGTGTGTGTGTGTGTGTGTGTGTGTGTGTGTGTGTGTGTGTGTGTGTGTATATATATTTTTTTTTTTTGAGACAGAGTCTCGCACTGTTGCCCAGGCTGGAGTGCAGTGGCGTGATCTTGGCTCACTGCAAGCTCCGCCTCCCGGGTTCACACCATTCTCCTGCCTCAGCCTCCCAAGTAGCTGGGACTACAGGTGCCTGCCACCACGCCCGGCTAATTTTTTGTACTTTTAGTAGAGATGGGGTTTCACCATGTTGGCCAGGATGGTCTCGATCTCCTGACCTCGTGATCCACCTGCCGCGGACTCCCAAAGTGCTGGGATTACAGGCATGAGCCACCGCCCCTAGCCAACTATAAAATTTTTTTAAGCAACTGAGATTTAAAATGTGATAAAGCTTAAATACATATTTCATTTTCAAAATAAGATGACAAAAACTGCTGAGGTCAATTACCTATCTTTTGTAGATAAAGCCTAACAAAGTTATTTATTAAATAATCAAACAGAAAATATCTCAATCTGATCTTCCAACCAGTCAATTAAAACAGGAAAATTGACAAACTATAAAACATATGGTCAACAGACCCTAAAATGAAAAGCTTCTTGTTCTAGTGAATTCATCTTGACTAGGCCTGAATGGAGATATAAAGAGATGCTTCAATATTGCATATTCTGAAAATGTCAACTTTTACCTGCTGAGTTGGAAGCACAGATGTCTGGCTTTATCCATCCACAGTCCAGTACAGGAAGTTCTCTATTATAAAGCAAACAGAGCTTAAACATTATAATAGATTCTAAGCAGAACTATCCACTTCTCTAAACATTAATAATAGTCACTTTAGCTGCTGGTGAACATCAGCTCAAGTCCTCCAGGGCAGAGTACTTACTATAATGAGACACAGAACCCAGTGCACCTGAGTGGATTTTTTGTTTGGTTCTTTAATCACATATGCCTCAACTGTTAGGGGGTGCTGCCACTCAAACTTTGTTACTGAGAGCTTGACAAGATATACAAAGCATGTAAAATTCAAAAAAGTATTACACCAATACGAGATAGTGTTTAACTTCTACTCTTTTTTTTTTTTTTTTTTTTTGAGACGGAGTTTCGCTCTTGTTGCCCAGGCTGGAGTGCAATGGCGCGATCTTGGCTCACTGCAACCTCTGCCTCATGAGTTCAAGTGATTCTACTGCCTCAGCCTCCTGAGTAGCTGGGATTACAGGCATGCACCACGACGCCCAGCTAATTTTGTATTTTTAGTAGAGACGGGGTTTTGCCATGTTGGTCAGGCTGGTCTCAAACTCCTGACCTCAGGTGATCCATTGGCCTTGGACTCCCAAAGTGCCGGGATTACAGGCGTGAGTCACTGTGCCTGGCCAACTTCTACTGTTAAGCATGTATATGTATGTCATACGGTCAATGTCAAAGGAAGACAGCTTGAAAGCAGCTCAATTTTTTTTGGTAGTCCCTAAAGACAACTTACAGTCTAAAGATTAAGAATATGTAGAACAGAGTTAGACCAGTCTGGGTTCAAACACTGTTCTGCTACTTGCTGTGTAAACTGTGGCAAAACTACTTAACTTCTTTAAGTTTAACCATATCTGTAAAATGAGAATACCACCTAACCACAAGGTATTGTGAGGATTAAATGAGATAAGATGTCCTTAAAGCCAACAGCATAGGCCCAACAGATGAAAACTACATTTATAGGAGCCACTCAAATACAAATGGCCAAACACTATTCCATTTTTAATCACTTAGACAAAAATTTAAAACATATCAAAGTACACAGAATAAAATAAACACTCATAATCCCACCATTTGTTCATTTAACAAGTGGATAAGCATATCCTTCAGCACTGCGACTGCTCCTGGTTCAGAATTACTTCCTAGCCAAGAAAGATGAAAACTAAACAAAACATTTTGTATTTACTGTTCTTTGAAGTTTAGAAAACAAAGTATTTTTTCCCAACATAAACCCTAGAAACAATGAGAAGTATAGTTTAAAGGATGGGGAAATAATACAAACAGAAAACATACACAAATGCACATCTTTCTCTAACCTGGACCTTTCTAGATTCATATCCAGCTATCTACTAGAATATTTCCATCTCAGTATCTCAAAGGCCTCTTCAACTCAAAATGTCTAAATTTCACCTCCCCAATACAGCTTTTTTGCATGGGAGATGGATGGTAATGTTCTTCTCTAAGAGAGAAACCAGGTATCAACCTTAACACCTCCCTCTGCCTCACCCCCATCTGATGAACCAATATTCACTTCTTAAACCTCCCTCAAATTCACTCCCACTTCTGTGTAAAGTCACCACGTTCTTTTGGCTTATTACAATAGCTCCCTGCCAGTTTATCCTCCACACCAGAGCTATAATGATTTTTAAAAGTAAATGTGATCAAATTATCTCTCTTATTTAAAAGTCTTTCCATGAATTCCTATATGCTTAGCATAAACTTCACACTCACCATAAATTCTAGTTTGCCTAGGAAGGTCTGCTTACGCCTGTTGTCCTGGCATATTATTAACAGCTCCTCATGTCCTTTTCAAAAGCTTTGCAAACCAGAAGGTAAATTCTATGGTCATTTTACTCTCACAGCCCTTCATGACAGCTTTTGCACATTCTGTAGCTTCATTTCTTGCCATTTGAACACCAAGCCATGAGACATTATTTTGGTGTCTCAATTTTCCTCAACAATTAGCTAATTCCTACTTATCCTTTAGTGATCATTTTAAATGCCACTTTCACCAGGAGGCGTTTAACATCTTGCACTTCTCCTATCATTTTATGGTACATGCTTATTTGCCTCCCTAAAAGCACTGTGAGGACAAGGCTTATATATGTCTAGTTGTTCTCCACACATGCAGCACCTAACATATTCCAAGCTAAGGAGACCCAAATGAAGACGCCTCCCTCCTTTCCAGCAATTCCAGTACAAGGTGGGGCTCACATACAAGCAGACATAATATACTGAGATATGTGCCAAGAGAACTACTGGAACATATCCCTGGAATAATATCTCAGATGTGACTGACGGATAACTGAATGCAAAGAAAGGGACTTTCAGATAAACATATGCAAAAGGCCTAAAGTACATGGTGCATTGTAGAAACAGTGAGCTGCCTGCTATGTTTATCTTTCATTATTAGCCTTTCACCCCACTTTCCTCCCTCCAATACCATAGTTGCCAAACAGGAAATGGATACAGATCCACTAAAGAGCCTTAAAAAGCCATGCCAAGCAATTTAGACTACCCCCACGTGGCTGAAAGCCAGTGAAACACTCTCA